>NT_187613.1:0-300000 GCF_000001405.40 Homo sapiens | reverse complement strand
GTTGTTGTTGTTTTTTGCTATTGTCTTTTTCTTTTTTTTTTTCCCCCGAGAGGAGAGTCTCGCTGTGTTTCCCAGGCTGGAGTGCAGTGGTGCAATCTCAGCTCACTGCAACCTCTGCCTCCCGGTTTCAAGCGATTCTCCTGCTTCAGCCTCCCAGGTAGCTGGGATTACAGACGCCCGCCACCATACCCAGCTAATTTTTGTATTTTTATGTAGAGATGGGTTTTCACAGTGTTGGCCAGGCTGGTCTTGGACACCTCACCTTAAGTGATCCAGCCACCTCGGCCTCCCAAAGTGCCGAGATTACAGGCGTGAGCCACTGCACCCAGCCTATTTTAAATTTTTACAGTAAATATTGCAGTAGCAAAATGGTTTTTTTGCTTTTTTTTTTTATTTTGACGGAGTCTCACTCTGCTGCTGTGGCTGGAGTACAGTGGCGTGATCTCAGCTCACTGAAAGCTCAGCCTCCTGGGTTCAGGCGATTCTCTCGCCTCAGCCTCCCAAGTAGCTGGTACTACAGGCACCCGCCACCACGCCCGGTTAATTTTTTGTATTTTTTTTTTTTTTTTTTTGAGACGGAGTCTCGCTATGTCCCCCAGGCTGGAGTGCAGTAGCGCGATCTCGGCTCACTGCAAGCTCTGCCTCCCGGGTTCACGCCATTCTCCTGCCTCAGCCTCCCGAGTAGCTGGGACTACAGGCGCCCGCCACCACGCCCGGCTAATTTTTGGTATTTTTAGTAGAGATGGGGTTTCACCGTGTTAGCCAGGATGGTCTCGATCTCCTGACCTCGTGATCCACCCGCCTCGGCCTCCCAAAGTGCTGGGATTACAGGTGTGAGCCACCGCGCCCGGCCTATTTTTTGTATTTTTAATAGAGATGGGGTTTCCCTGTGTTAGCCAGGATGGTCTCGATCTCCTGACCTCGTGATCTGCCCTCCTCGGCCTCCCAAAGTGCTGGGATTACAGGCGTGAGCCACCGCGCCCGGCCCCTTTTGGTTTTTGTATGTGTTTTTTTTTGGTTTGTTTGAGGACAACTGCTTAAGCAAAGTAGGGTTTTTAAGTGAAAGCCTTTCAAAGTTTGAGGAAAGGGGATTAACTGATACATTGGAACTTTAATGTTGACTATTATAGGCATGCTTCACTGCGCTTGACTGAATTTTTTTTTTTTTTTGCATTTTTAGTAGAGACAGGTTTTCACCATCTTGGTCAGGCTGGTCTCGAACTCCTGACCTCAGGTGATCCACCTGCCTCAGCCTCCCAGAGTGCTGGGATTACAGGCGTGAGCCACTGCGCCCAGCCAATGTAAAAACATTCTAAATGGCTAGTTGAGTTTGTCCAGATAGGGATCGTAACTGAAGAAGCTGTGGCTATTTAGCTAATACTGGTGGTTGCACCTTTCCTTGTCAGACTCCAGTCTAGCTGTCCCACGTGTAGCTCCAGTTTAAAGTCACTCGCATGCCTTTGCTCATGCTTCTGCTTAAACCTGAAGTGTGTTTTGTTTTCTCCTTATCCATTGAGATTAGTTCAAATTTGACTTTCCCTTTAATTGCTCCTCCTTCTGGGTCCCTGAAATACTTTATTTGGAATAGCACTTCATTCTTCTTCTTCTTTTGTTTTTGTGCTCTCTTGCCCAGGCTGGAGTGCATTGGCACAGTTTCACCTCACTGCAACCTCCGCCTCCCAGGTTCAAGGGATTCTTCTGCCTCAGCCTCCTGAGTAGCTGGGATTACAGGCATACGCCACCATGCCCGGCTAATTTTGTGTGTGTGTGTGTGTGTGTGTGTGTGTGTGTGTGTGTGTGTGTTTTTAGACGGAGTCTTGCTCTGTTGCCCAGGCTGGACTGCAGTGGCGTGATCTCGGCTCACTGCAGGCTCCGCCTCCTGGGTTCACACCATTCTCCTGCCTCATCCTCCCAAGTAGCTGGGACTACAGGCACCTGCCACTGCTCCCGGCTAATTTTTTTGTATTTTTAGTAGAGACGGGGTTTCACTGTGTTAGCCAGGATGGTCTCGATCTCCTAACCACGTGATCCGCCCGCTTCTGCCTCCCAAAGTGCTGGGATTACAGGCTTGAGCCACTGCACCCGGCCTAATTTTTTGTGTTTTTAATAGGTTTTGCCATGGTGGCCCGGCTGGTCTTGAACTCCTGGCCTCAAGTGATCTGCGCGCACGCATCAGCCACCCAAAGTGTGCTGATTACAGGCATGAGCCACCACAGCCAGCCTCCTCCTTGTAAAATAGTTATGTATTTGTCTACCCTCCATTTCTAAATTTTTAAGTTGATGTGGACTTAGATTATGTCTCTTTTTTTTCTATTGGTATATCGTATCGTTTGTTGGACATAGTACACAGTACTCAGTAAGTGTGGATTTTCTTTTAAAACTGTAAATGGCTTACATAATCACATTTCCATGGCGTCTGTGTTGCCTTTTATTTTCTTTGCTTCCCTGCCTCCATTAACGTGAAATTAAATTTTTTTAAACTTTGAGGTATTGTCCAAGATTTTCTTTTTGCATTAATACTTTGTTAAATATCTCAACCTTGTAATCCAGCACTTTGGGAGGCTGAGGCGGGCACATCACGAGGTCAGAAGATCAAGACCATCCTGGCTAACACGGTGAAACCCTGCCTCTGCTAAAAATATAAAAACAAATCAGCCGGGTGTGGTGGCGGGCGCCTGTAGTCCCGGCTACTCGGGAGGCTGAGGCAGGATAATGGTGTGAACCCAGGAGGCGGAGCTTGCATTTAGCCTACATCCCGCCACTGCACTCCAGCCTGGGTGATAGAGCGAGACCCCGTCCCCCAAAAAAAAAAAAAAAAAAAAAAAATTTTTTTTTTTTTTTTTTTTTTTTTTTTTTTTAAAAAATCTTGGGGGTGGTAGTGTGTACCGTTTGTCCCAGCCACTCAAGAGGCTAAGGTTCGGAAGATTGCTTGAACGCAGGAGTTCAAGTCCAGCCTGGGCAACATAACGAATCCCTTAAAAAAAAAAAAAAAAAAAAAAAAAAAAAAAAACTAGGCTGGGCGCGGTGGCTCACGCCTGTAATCCCAGCACTTTGGGATGCTGAGGCTGGTGGATCACGAGGTCAGGAGATCGAGACCATCCTGGCTAACACGGTGAAACCCCATCTCTACTAAAAATACAAAAAATTAGCCGGGTGTGGTGGCGGGCGCCTGTAGTCCCAGCCATTCGGGAGGCTGAGGCAGGAGAATGGCATGAACCTGAGAGGCGAAGCTTGCAGTGAGCCGAGATCACGCCACTGCACTCCAGCCTGGGCGACAGAGCCAGACTCCGTCTTAAAAACAAACAAACAAAACTTTTTGAAATAAGTGAACTATTGCCTAGAACTTGGAGGTATATTTTTTGGTGATGGTTTAGGATGGAAGTTGTTCTATGTATTTTATTAGTCGATATGTATATTATAGCATATCAGTAGCAGGCTTAAAGCATAGTAAGAAGTAGTGTTCCACATACCTTTAAGTTAATTTTTATTGTATTTGCTTTTTCTTTGCATTATCATTGTGACTATTACAAACTGGAATAACTGAAGAAAAGATTGCTGTCTAGCATGTCATTTCTAATTCTGATTTTGGACTTAATTTTTATAACACTTCTATTGAAATACCTTTAGGTTGGCAAAAGCAGCTTTTGATGATGCAATTGCAGAACTGGATACGCTGAGTGAAGAAAGCTATAAGGACTCTACACTTATCATGCAGTTGTTACGTGATAATCTGACACTATGGACTTCAGACATGCAGGGTGACGGTAAGCAAGCACGGAGTGAAACAGGCACCTCTTTCAGTTGCAGGATTTGTTTGTACTCTCTTTAGACATTCCTTGGCTTGTCGTTATATCAAGCTAGAATTTAGATTCACCGCCTGCCCTCTATGAAATTGTAATTGCTGCCTTTATAGGAAATGGTGCTACAGTACGGAGTTCCATTTTGGGAACTTAGTTTAGCTCTTCCTTTACACTGTTTCAAAGGTTGAGGACAGGAGGAGTGGAGAGCAAGCAGTTTATTTTATCTTCATTCAATTCAATTTTAGGGGGCTGAAGTTAAGTGTATTTAAATCCAGATGGTATCAGTAGGTATTTATGAAGTTTTTCTCTTTGTTGAAATATTTTATCTAAAAGGGAACTGGTTTCCCATTTCCCTCTGGGATTCTGTAGAGAAATTGAATGTTGGCCCTTGGGTCTCTTTTTTTTTTTTTTGAGACGGAGTCTTGCTGCGACACCCAGGCTGGAGTGCGGTGGCTCAATCTCGGCTTACTGCAAACTCTGCCTCCCGGGTTCAAGCGATTCTCCTGCCTCAGCTTCCCAGGGTAGCTGGGGTTGCAGGCACCCGTTATCACGACTACCTAGTTTTTGTATTTTTAGTAGAGACGGGATTTCTCCATGTTGGTCAGGCTGGTCTTGAACTCCTGACCTCAGGTGTTCTGCCCGCCTCAGCCTCCCAAAGTGCAGGGATTACAGGCGTTAGCCACTGCGCCCTGCTGTTTTTATTCTTTTCTTTTCTTTTCTTTTCTTTTTTTTTTTTTGAGATGGAGTCTCGCTCTGTTGACCGGGCTGGAGTGCAGTGGCGCGATCTTGGCTCACTGCAAGCTCCGTCTCCTGGGTTTACACCATTCTCCCACCTCAGTCTCCCGAGTAGCTGGGACTACAGGTGCCTGCCACCACGCCTGGCTAGTTTTTTGTATTTTTAGTAAAGATGGAGTTTCACTGTGTTAGCCAGGTTGGCCTCGATCTCCTAACCTTGTGATCCACCCGCCTCGGCCTCCCAAAGTGCTGGGATTACAGGCGCAAGCCACCGTGCCCGGCCTGTTTTTATTCTTAAGAGGTTTTCATTGCAAACGCTTCAGAGTATTTTAGTAAACTTAATTGTGATGTTGAGTGTGTGTTAATGTTTACTTTAAATACAGGAGCCCAAATTTGTTATGTTTGTTGATTTTAAAGGAAATTTTATTCTCTGTCTAGAGAATCATTTTGATCCATGGTAGATTGTTGAACAGGGATGGAGAAGAGGACAAATTAGTGTGATAGGAGTATTACAGGATAGTTTTACATTTGGTGGTGGTGGTGCTGGTAGGAGGTTGTAAACAAAGTCTGATGTCAGTTTTAGCTGCGGTTCCTTTAAGAATGTTTCTAAGGCTGTGCCGGGCGCGGTGGCTCATGCCTATAATCCCAGCACTTTGGGACGCCATGGCGGGTGGATCACGCGGTCAGGAGATCGAGACCATCCTGGCTAACACGGGGAAACCCCGTCCCTACTAAGTATACAAAAAATTGGCTGGGCGTGGTGGCGGGCTCCTGTAGTCCCAGCTACTCAGGAGGCTGAGGCCGGAGAATTGCTTAAACCCAGGAGGCGGAGGTTGCAGTGAGCTGAGAGATACGCCATTGCACTCCAACCTGGGCTACAGAGGAAGACTCCATCTAAAAAAAAAAAAAAGAGATAACGTTTCTTAGGCTGAAACATAAAACATATGTCGCGTTGCTTGAGGCTATCTGTAGTTTCTTTTGGGGAAACGGACCTGCTGTATTGTCTTTGGAAGTGTTATACTTTTTGAAAATGCTTCTGAAAGTGGGCACGTATGTGTCTTTTCTCTGGAAGGATCAAATCAGATTTGTGACTTTTGGGTTATGGTACTAAAGTGAGAATTAGGTGACTCAGCTTTTAACATTTACTAGCTTTATGATATGTTTAGGATTTGACTAGATCAGGATTGGCATGAGATATTCACATACGTAGGACTTACTTACACACTTGCAACAGTGCCAGATGGAGCCACAGAACACTTCCCAGCGCAGCATTTCAGGCAGCTACTCCCAGCCCTTGGGACTCAGAAATAATTTACCAACTGTGAACAAGTGGCTTCCAGCTGGAAAATCTGTCCTATGCCGGTTGCAGTGGCTTGTGCCTGTAATCCCAGCACTTTGGGAGGCCAAGGTGGGAAGATGCTTGAGCCTAGGAGTTCAAGACCAGCCTGGGCAACATAGTAAGACCCTGTCTTTAAAAAAAAAAAAAATGCCGGGTGCAGTGGTATGTGCCTGTAATCTCAGCTACTTGCAAGGCTGAGGCAGGAGAATTGCTTGAACCCAGGAGGTGGAGGTTGCAGTGAGCTGAGATCACGCCCCACTGCACTCTAGCCTGGGTGGCAGAGCGAGGCTTCATAGAGCAGGACTTTGTCTCAAAACAAAAAACAAAAACAACAGCCAGGTGTGACAACGCATGCTTCTCAGACGGCTGAGGTTGGGGGATCTTGAGGCTGCAGTGAGCTTCGATTGCGCCACTGTATTCTAACCTGGATGACTGAACGAGATGCCATCTCTTCAGGGAAGAAAAAAAGTTGTAACAACAATTATGAAGAAGAATGGTCAAACAGCTGTGGACTCGTAATGGTCATCCCCAGCTCAGATGCTAGTATCTCTCTGCCTGTTGATGGAGGGAAAGCATGCGGAGAGTTTGGGGCGCGGGATTGACTTCAGGAAATGATACACCTCTCACCTCTGGGGACATGTTTTTGAGAGTAAAAGTAATAAGTAATGAAAGTGACCTGACTTGAAAGTTTTTTCTGTGTGTGTGTTTTATTTTTTTTTTTTGAGATGGAGTTTTGCTCTTGTTACCCAGGCTGGAGTGCAGTGGTGCTCTCTCAGCTGACTGCAACCTACATCTCCTGGGTTCAAGTGATTCTCCTGCCTCTGATTCTCCTGCCTTATCCTCCCTAGTAGCTGGGACTACAGGTGTCTGCCACCACCACTCCTAGCTAATTTTTTGTATTTTTAATAGAGACGGGGTTCCACTATGTTGGCCAGGCTGGTCTCCAACTCCTGACCTTGTGATCTGCCCATCTCGGCCTCCCAAAGCGCTGGGATTACAGGTGTGAGCCACCGCGCCTGGCTGATTTTTTGTTTTGTTTTGTGAGACGGAGTCTCTCCCTGTTGCCCAGATTGGAATGCAATGGTGCGATCTCGGCTCACTGCAACCTCTGCCTCCTGGGTTCAAAGGATTCTCCTGCCTCAGCCTCCTGAGTAGCTGGGATTACAGGCGTGCGCCACCATACCCAGCTAGTTTTTTGTTTGTTTAGTAGAGGCAGGGTTTCACCATGTTGGCCAGGCTGGTCTCTAACTCCTGACCTCGTGGTCCACCTGCCTCGGCCTCCCAAAATGCTTGGATTACAGGCGTGAGCCACTGCGCCTGGCCATTTTTTTTTATTATTATTATTTTAATAAAAACATATGCTGGGCACAGTGGCTCATGCCTGTAATCCCAGCAGTTTGGGAGGCCGAAGTGGACGGATCACCTGAGGTCAGGAGTTTGAGACCAGCCTGACCAACATGGAGAAACCCCGTCTCTACTACAAATACAAAAATTAGCCAGGTGTGGTGGCGGGCACCTGTAATCCCTGCTACTCAGGAGGCTGAGACAGGAGAATCACTTGAACCCGGGAGGCAGAGGTGCAGTGAGCCAAGATCACTCCATTGCACTCCAGCCTGGGCAACAAGAGCAAAACTCTGTCTCAAAGAAACGAAACAAAACAAGAAAACACATTTGATACCAACTCATAACCAAGTCTGGATTACTTCTGTAGCTCATTATCACTGATAACCAAGAGTTGATTAATCAAAGTAGACTACCTGTCAGTCTATGTACAGAACTAAAGATAATCCTTATTCTTGGTTGTCGAGTACAGTTTTAGGAAATGGATCATCTTAAAATAGGGTAATACGGCCTGGTGCAGTGGCTCACGCCTATAATCCCAGCACTTTGGGAGGCCGAAGCGGGTGGATCACCTGAGGTCAGGAGTTCGAGACCAGCCTGACCAACATGGAGAAACCCCATCTCTACTAAAAATACAAAATTAGCCAGGCGTCGTGTCACATGTCTGTAATCCTAGCTACTGGGGAGGCTGAGGCAGGAGAATCGCTTGAACCTGGGAGTTGGAGGTTGTGATCAACTGAGATCGCGCCGTTGCACTCCAGCCTGGGCAACAAGAGAGAAACTTCGTCCAAAAAAAAAAAATACAGGGTAATACTTTCGCAGTTTTTAAAAATCTAGTGAAATTCGGCTGGGCGCAGTGGCTCACGCCGGTTAATCCCAGCACTTTGGGAGGCTGAGGCGGGCGGATCACGAGGTCAGAAGATTGAGACCATCCTGGCTAACACAGTGAAACCCCGTCTCTACTAAAAATACAAAAAAAATTACCCGGGCGTGGTGGTGGGCGCCTGTAGTCCCATTTACTTGGGAGGCTGAGGCAGGAGAATGGGGTGAACCCAGAGGCGGAGCTTGCAGTGAGCCGAGATAGCACCACTGCACTCCAGCCTGGGCGACAGAGCAAGACTCCGTCTCAAAAAAAAAAAAAATCTAGTGAAATTCATTTGTGTTCAATTCCTTATTGAGTCTGTAAATCAGTTGATTAAATTTGGTTAAGAAGAGTAATTTTCACTTAATTTTTATTAGGTGAAATACTTTTTATTTATATAATGCTTCCAGTCATGAAATAGTTCAACAGTGAAAAATTCAGGTGGTCTGTTGACATTCCGGTACAACTAACAAACTCTGAATACACAAATAATTGTGGGTACAAAGAAATTGTTCATCAGTTTGAGAAGTTGAATTTGTCAAAAATTAGAGTTTTTGAGATGGAGTATCACTCTGTTGCCCAGGGTGGAGTATAGTGGCGCAATCTCTGCTCACTGCAGCTTCCACCTCCCGGGTTCAAGCGATTCTTCTGCCTCGTCCTCTCTGAGTTGCTGGGACTACAGGTGCCCACCACCACGCCTGGCAATAATTCGTATTTTCAGTAGAGACAGGGTTTCCCCGTGTTAGCCCGGATGGTCTCAATCTCCTAACCTCGTGATCCACCTGCCTCAGCCTCCCAAAGTGCTGGGATTACAGGCCCGAGTCACCGCACCTGGCCTAGTATTACATCTTTTTTTTTTTTCCTTTTTTCGTGAGACAGAGTCTTGCTTTGTCACCCAGGCTGGAGTGCAGTGGTGCTATCTTGGCTCACTGCAAACTCCGCCTCCCGGGTTCACGCCATTCTCCTGTCTCAGCCTTCCTGGTAGCTGGGACTACAGGTGCCCGCCACCATGCCCGGCTAATTTTTTTTTGTATTTTTAGTAGAGGCGGGGTTTCCCCGTGTTAACCCGGATGGTCTCAATCTCCTAACCTCGTGATCCGCCTGCCTCGGCCTCCCAAAATGCTGGGATTACAGGCGTGAGCCACTGTTCCCGGCCTACATTTTTTAATAAATTGGTTTTGAAACTGCAATGGTGCCTGCCTGTAATCTCGGCTGTTCAGCAAGGTGAGGCAGAAGGATCACTTGAGCCCAGGAGTTTGACACCAGCTTGGGCAAGATAAAACTTCATCTCACAAAATAAAATACTACTTTTGTGACTTGGGTTCCGTGGTGAATATAGGAGAATCGTCATGAAAGTGGCAGTTTACTAGGATGTGACTTTGCATTTAGTTTAAGGATTATTTAGATTTTTTTGTTTTTTAAAGAGACGGTATTTATGTCTTTTAATTTTAGAATATGTTAATGTCTGTCCCAGCATGTTGGAACATAATTTCTTTAAAGGGAGGGATCATTGCTTTTTCTCAAGTGATTTTAGTCTCTTCACCCTGTGGTAAGAGGATTGTTTCATATACGAATCCATAGGTAGGAAATACATGTTCTCCCTGCCTGTTCCCCTCTCTCCAAAATGTAGATACACTGGGCAAAGAAACATAGCCAAGGAATCCTTTTTCCCCTAATATCTGTATGTCTTTCAAGAGGATATTACTTCCTTCTCAGAGTAGAAGGGAGGAGGAGTAGACAGATTGTTGCTTAGAGTGAAGTTTACACGAAGTAAGACCAAAGTCCGGCTCCTGTATCATTGTTTTCCTTTGTCCTGCTCTGTTGGTTTATTTTTCTTGTAATGTTGCTTTCATATGATTGTTCTCCCTCCCTTTTTCCTTGCAATATAGATTCCTAAAGGAAAACCCAACTCTTCCTTTCCTAAAAACTCTACTTTGTAAGTCACGTTCATGGCACAGTGAATTCCGCTTTCAGTTTTGGTTCTTCACTAATCATGCCTGCGTATGATCGTCCTGTTGCTTACAGACTCTGCCTGTTCCACCTTCCAGGGCGCTGACCTAAGCCTTTTCCGGCCTGCTCCTCCTGCCTACTGTGGTTGGATGTGATGTATATGACAGTGACATTTTTATGCCAAAGTTACTTGGAACTTCTGGCACATCTCATGGTTGCTTACAAGCGAGTTGTGTTCTAGTGTTTGTGTTAATGATACTTTGGCAGTGATTTGCTGTTAGAGTGAATGTTCCTATCATGTTTCCTACGTTTGAATACGTTATTGTCCTTTGGAGAACAGTTGGGTGCCCATCAGTTCTTTCATCCCTAAGCAATTTTTTTTTGCCTTTGCATATTTTTTTTCTGTCTTATGAATTAAAGATCTTCATGTATTTTAAGTAGTTTTAAAATTTTATACATTTTTTTGAGACGGAGTTTTGCTCTTGTTGCCCCGCCTGGAGTGCAGTGGCGTTCAAAGCTCACTGCAGAAATAGAACTCCCCCACCTCAGCCCCCCAAGTAGCTGGGACTATAGACATGTGGCCCCATGCCCAGCGTATGTAGTTTTTTTTTTTTTTGAGACGGAGTCTCGATTGTCGCCCAGGCTGGAGTGCAGCGGCAGAATCTTGGCTCACTGAAAGCTCCGCCTCCTGGGTTCACGCCATTCTCCTGCCTCCCGAGTAGCTGGGACTACAGGCGCCTGCCACCATGCCTGGCTAATTTTTTTTTTTTTTTTTTGTATTTTTAGTAGAGACAGGGTTTCACTGTGTTAGCCAGGATGGTCTCGATCTCCTGACCTCATGATCCACCTCTCTTGGCCTCCCAAAGTGCTGGTATTACAGGCGTGAGCCACCATGCCTGGCTCCAGCATACATAGTTTTTTACTTTTAGTTTTATTTATTCTTTTTTTTTTTTTTTTGAGACGGAGTCTCACTCTGTTACCCAGGCTGGAGTGTAGTGGCATGTTCTTGGCTCGCTGCAACCTCCGTCTCCTGGGTTCAAGCAATTCTCATGCCTCAGCTTCCCAGGTAGCTGGGATTACAGGCATGTGCCACCACGCCAGGCTAATTTTTTGTATTATTTTTTCAGTAGAGATGGGGATTTACTGTGTTAGCCAGGATGGTCTTGATCTTCTGACCTCGTGATCCGCCCGCCTTTGCTTCCCAAAGTGCTGGGATTACAGGCGTGAGCCACCGTGCCCGGCGTTATGTTCATTTTTTGTAGAGACAGGGCTTCACTGTGTTGCTGAGGCTGTAAGTGGGTTTTGAAGTCACACAGCAATGTCAAGCGTTTCCGCCGCAGAAGAGATTTGAAAACTACTGAAACCTTGATGCTGTGACATTTGTCATTTTGAGATCATTTAGGCTGTTTCAAAGCTGTACTCAGTGTAAATGCTTCATGTGTGTAGGCAGCTAGTTTGGTGTTATTTGTCCATCCTAATTAAATAATTTAACAAGCATTATGAATGGATAGTCATTTGAACATTTATGATTCTTGGGTTGATTTTTCATTTATTTTGTTTCAAACTAGTTAACTGTGTAGTAATTGTAAGTGGTTTTTTTAAAAAAGTACAAGTGAATGTAACTTTTACCTGTTACATCATTTTTAAGGGAAAAGCCTGCATGCTTCTTTATTTTGGCTGACTTGTTTAATGCATACTAATAGGTAGATGACCCTCCAACCAATAGGTGGCTTTCTGTTGCATGTCATAGTGCAGTTGAAACTCCTTAGGGTAATCACCCTCTTTAAAGGCAAAAGACAAATAGCATGAGTGAAGTGGTCCAAATGCCATTCTTTAATAACCTCAGTGGTCTGATTTACTTTGAGCATGCTGTGTTTCACTCTGAAGTAAAATCTGATTATAGTTTGGTGTATCTGGCCAAGATACAAAAGCTGAAATATTTATAACAGCAGAACCCCACAATAAAATACGATAGAACTTCTTGGCAACAGTTTATTGCTCAGTTAACTATTTTGAAGCATTTCTGATAATTAGCTTGTGGGTAAATTAGATTTTGCAAAAAGTTTGCAAAATACTCTTGATTCTTGAAGAGGTGAGGTTATTGAGAAAGAGTATTTTGACCCAAGATTTATGTGAAAGCTTGAATGTCATTTTAGTAAGATGGTTTCCTTGGCTGTCTACGTCAAGAGCTTATTTAGCGTAAAAACATTGAGTTGTACTGCGCATCAGTTTTTTTCATTCTGTTGACCAATAAATACTTTCAGGACCATAATCCCTTCTTGGCTTAGGCATCTCAGGTGTCAAGGATGATAGAAGTCCTTTGCCTGCGTTTAATACCAATTGTAGCAAGTAGAAGAGTCTTTATGCTTGGAATGACACCTTTGTTTGTGGCTGCCATAGCCTAATGTAGTCAATACGAAATAATTGACTTTTTTTCTTTTTTAACAGGTGAAGAGCAGAATAAAGAAGCGCTGCAGGACGTGGAAGACGAAAATCAGTGAGACATAAGCCAACAAGAGAAACCATCTCTGACCACCCCCTCCTCCCCATCCCACCCTTTGGAAACTCCCCATTGTCACTGAGAACCACCAAATCTGACTTTTACATTTGGTCTCAGAATTTAGGTTCCTGCCCTGTTGGTTTTTTTTTTTTTTTTTTAAACAGTTTTCAAAAGTTCTTAAAGGCAAGAGTGAATTTCTGTGGATTTTACTGGTCCCAGCTTTTAGGTTCTTTAAGACACTAACAGGACTACATAGAGGCTTTTTCAGCATTACTGTGTCGTCTCCGTGCCAGATGTGGCAAGATCACCATTAGCAAATGGAAATTACATTTGAAAGCCATTAGACTTATAGGTGATGCAAGCATCTAAGAGAGAGGTTAATCACACTATAGAGGCATAAGTGGTATCAGTTTTCATTTTTCTAATTGTTTAAACTGTGTTTTATACCAGTGTTTGCAAGTAATTGGGTGTTAGCTTGAGATGGTTAAAGGTGGTTTGGGGAGGGACTTCGTTGTAATGGTTTTGCTGTAAAAAATGTTTCCAACTCCGCTGAAATGTTGCTGAAAAGCATGGTGCTGGTAACAGTTCAACAATCCGTGGCTGCTCATTCTTGCCTACTTTACTCTCCCACTGAAGCAGGTTAGCGTTGAAGGTGGTATGGAAAAGCCTGCATGCCTGTTCAATTCTTTTGTTTCTTCTCCTTCCCCCTCCCCCTACCTCCTTCCCCTCACTCCTCCCCTCCTTCGCTCGCTCAACCTCTTTTGTTCAGTATGTGTAACTTGAAGCTAATTTGTACTACTGGATATCTGACTGGAGCCACAGATACAGAATCTGTATTGTTCTTACTGAAACACAGCATGGAATTAACATTAAACTTAAATAAAACAAACCTAAATTAAAAATGCCAAATATCGCGCCTCCATCCTTTATACTTCTAAAATAAAATCTCTAGTCCAAACACACTGACAGTATTATGTTTGCCTGAATGTGAAACATTCCTCCTTTTTTCTTCCATAAATAATTTGTTTGCTTCCCAAAGATGTATGTTTTGGAAAAAAATTGCCTGTAGTCTGGTTGTGAAGAACACTGAGTCAGTTGATGGTGTGTCTTGTCCTCCAGACCAGGCAGCAACATGGTATTTATTTTAATCATTAAAGTACAACATGAGTAGTACAAGGTGTAATTATGGATCATTTTCTAGCATAGTATTTCATACAACCAAATAAGGCTGAATGTCTTATAATAATTCTTAGAGGTAAAAACTGTGTGCCCTCTTCCTCCAGAGGCTAGTGGCAGTAGTGGAGAATTACTCAATCCTTTCTTAGTAATCCATACACACATTATAGACAGCAGGATAGCAGTCTCCCTTTCCAGAAACACTGTATAAGAAGCTTCTTTCCATAAACAGTTTATACATCAATGTGTATAGATACCTAGTTACTGTAGATCTTTTTATGTTAGGCATTCAGATGTGTCTCATTCTGACTGCGTAACATTGATGTACACCTGATTTTGTTAAGACCAGTTTGCTCCTTTTGGGCAGGTGCTGCAGGAAATACCCTTGGAACAGTTTTTGCTTAAATATTTGTATGTATCTGGAAGGTACATTTCTAGATTCCCTGTGTCAGTAAACATTTTTCAGTTGATAAATCCTTCCTCGTCACACTTGTCTTCTAAAATTGGATGTTGAGACTGCAAGTTTACTCTCGGTTTAAAGTGTTAGTAGCAGAGATTTAGGAAATGAACAGATCAGCGATATCCTAGTAGCGTTTAGTGAGTGCTGGCAATGAGAATAAACATGTTTTTGTGAGTTGCTTTTCCGAGAGATAGGGAGACCATTGAATATAATTATATGCTGCTGTTTGGAGCAACCTCCAAGAAGCTTTCAAGTTGATTTGCTCTGTTTCCAGCACACCTGCTACACTTAAAGGTCAAAATCCAAGGAATTCGTCAAGTCTGTTGCAGAGTTTAAAGAAACCACTCGGCTGGGTGCGGTGGCTCACACCTGTAATCCCTGCAATTTGAGAGGCCGAGGCGGGCGGATCACGAGGTCAGGAGATTGAGACCATCCTGGCTAACACGGTGAAACTCCGTCTCTACTAAAAGTACAAAAAATTAGCCAGGCATGGTGGCGCACGCCTGTACTCCCAGCTACTCGGGAGGCTGAGGCAGGAGAATCGCTTGAACCCGGGAGGCAGAGGTTGCAGTGAGCCGAGATCACGCTACTGCACTCCAGCCTGGGCGACAGAGTGAGACTGTCTCAAAAAAAAAAAAAAGGAAAGATCCTTATCAAAAATTGAAAGGCCGGGTGCGGTGGCTCACGCCTGTAATCCCAGCACTTTCGGAGGCCGTGGTGGGTGGATCACGAGGTCAGCAGTTAAGAGACCAGCCTGGACAACATGGGGAAACCCTGTCTCTACTAAAAATACAAAAAAATTAGCCAGGCGTGGTGGCGGGCGACCTTGCTGGGTGTAATTAACATCCAGTGACTTGGGAGGCCTGAGGCAGGACAATCGCTGGAAACTGGAAGGCGGAGCTTGCAGTGAGCCAAGATCGCGCCACTGCACTCTAATCTGGGCAATAAGAGCAGAACTCCGTCTCAAAAAAAAAAAAAAAAAAAAAAAATTGAAAGGGAGCCAGGGAAGCTGCAGAAAGGTGCCGTAGCCCTGTGAGGACGGTGTCACTCCCAGTTCCTGTATTTGTGGGCTGGAAAGGGAATTGCCCCCAAACTTTTCTGGTTTTGATTTGAGTCTTACTTTGAGGATCAGTCGACTTAAGTAGAAGTTTTTAGTTAGTTACAACTTGAATGTAGCTAATATGTGTTTTTAATTACAAATCTCAGTACTTTGCTGCCTTGGAAAACCCAAAGGCTTCCTACAATGTTAGAAGCGACAGTAAGTGGGTTTGTGTACATGCTCTGTTCCGGGTGGGTCCTCAGAACAGCACGTCTGCAAAGTTAAATTTCGGTCCTATAGGAAGATGGGGATGAACTTCCATCACTGAAAGGGGAAACTGGTGGGATAAATGGAGACATTAATTGGCTTCTGTCCCAGACAAATGCCTTGAGCCTTATAAATGAGACCCCAAATTAGCTGCTTCCTGATCCTAGGACAATAGAGGAGAGTGAGGCTTGCTGAAAAAGCGGGATAAAGGTGTGACCCCTGTGTTCTTTTGAAAATTGTAACAAGTAATAGTTCATGGAAAACTGGTGAAATCCTAGAGTGTGTCATTAAAGGAAGCCTTTGTGAGCACTGTGAGAGGAAATGGGAATGCTCCCAGATCCAACCTGGATCAGGAAAACCAAGCCCTGTGTTGTTTTATCCTGTTTCTTTGAGTTCGTAGGATTGTAATAGATACTGTTAATATTTAGCTAACATTGGCCGGGCGCGGTGGCTCACGCCTGTAATCCCAGCACTTTGGGAGGCCGACGTGGGCGGATCACGAGGTCAGGAGATCGAGACCATCCTGGCTGACACGGTGAAATCCCGTCTCTACTAAAAAATACAAAAAATTAGCCGGGTGTGGTGGCGGGCGCCTGTAGTCCCAGCTACTCGGGAGGCTGAGGCCGGAGAATGGCGTGAACCCGGGAGGCGGAGCTTGCAGTGAGCCGAGATCGCAGCACTGCACTCCAGCCTGAGCGACAGAGCGAGATTCTTGTCTCAAAAAAAAAATAATAATAGTTTTGCTAACATTGCGTACCAGCTTTGCACCAGGCACTGTGCTCGTTACTAAGCAATGTCTGGAATCTCACACGTAAGCGCTCAATAATAATCAGGTGAGCCTGCATTGTGCAGATGGGAAAAGCTGAATGGGAAGTAGTTAAGGAACTTGCTGAAAGCTGCATGGCTAATAATTCAAATACAGAATTCAGTTCATCTGTGTCACTGAAGAGTCTCATTAGGCCATACTACCTTTTGCTCTTCATTAAAACTATTTTCTTGAAATACTATATTCCCCCTTATTAATATATTCTAAAGTGATCATTTAAAGTATTTAAACTTTTTTTTTTTTTTTTTTTTTTGGAGACAGAGTCTCTCTCTGTCACCCAGGCTGGAGTGCAGTGGTGCAACCTCGGCTCACTGCAAGCTCCGCCTCCCGGGTTCACACCATTGTCCTGCCTCAGCCTCCAGAGTAGCTGAGACTACAGGCGCCCGCCACCAGGCCCGGCTAATTTTTTGTATTTTTAGTAGAGACCGGGTTTCACCGTGTTAGCCAGGATGGTCTCGATCTCCTGACCTCGTGATCCGCCTGCCTCGGCCTCCCAAAGTGCTGGGATTACAGGTGTGAGCTACCGCGCGCGGCCACATTTTCGAGGTCAGTACATGTTTCATGATTAATACGTGTCTTGGAAAAGCTGCAATACGCATATTCACCAGTGTATTAGATTTGAAATATAAATGATACAATTATTTAGAGCTCAGGTGGCTACTGTCCAAAAAGTTTATTTTGTAGGTTAAGGTTTTGGCAATTTTTGTTTTTTTAATTTAGCTTAATTTGGAAATTTAAAAAAAAAATTTACAATTGAGTACTTCATTTCAATTTACGATACTTCACCTTGGACAAATAGAGCCACAGTTTACATGGAGAACAGCGATTATGGGTTGTCAAGTTACCTCAGTGCCGTGACAGTTTTCTAGAGAACCAAAGCCTTAATACCTGAAGGTCATATTCGTTTGTAGCTGCTTTTGGTGGAGACATTTCCAGTGGGCCTGCCTTCTAGGAAACGGTCTCAGCTCCTGCTTTGGGGCAGAGCCTGGGTTGGCCCTTGTAGCACCAGTTCACTGTGCTGGACTGGAGGTAGCCGGCCTGCTGTGTATAAGGGGAGACAGAAAGTTATTTTTTCATTTTTATGTGAGACAGGGTCTTGCTCTATCGCCCAGGCTGCAATGCAGTGGCACGATCATGGCTCACTGACCTCAGCATCCTGGGCTCCAGGGATCCTCCTGCTTCAGCCTCCCGAGTCGCTAGCACCACAGGCGTGCACCACCGCGTTTGGCTAATTTTTGTATTTTTTGTGGAGATGGAGTTTCACCATGTTTCCCAGGCTGGTCTCGAACTCCTGGGTTTAAGCAATCCGTCCACCTCAGCCTCCCAAAGTGCTGGGATTACAGGCGTGAGCCGCCGCGCCCGGCCTGGAAGTGTTCTTGTATGCTGTTCCTGTATTTTTAAAGTAAACTTTTACTCAAGTGTAACGTAGAAACATAAACCAAACCAAAGGTGTATAGCTTCATGCATTTTCACAAAGGGAATGCACCATTTAACCACCGCCCACATCAAGAAATAGAACAGGACCAGCATCCTATAAGACCCCGTTATGACCCCCTCCCAGTGTTTACTCTCTTACCCCCAAAATGGAAACTAGTGTTTTATCAACTTCAGTTAGTCTTGGTAGTTTCTGAATTTGATAGAAATGGAATCATACAGTATTTTCTGGAGTTTTATCTGTCAGCGTGTTTGTGGTATGAATCCATGTCATTGTGATAATAGCGTGTTTTCATAGCTATGTAGTATTCTGTGGCAATTGTATACCACTGTTCTGTGGATGGACATTGGAGTATTTTCATGTTTTGGATGTTACAAATAATGTTACGAATATTCTTGGACATGTATTTTGGCATATACATGTGTGCATTTATAAGTAATTAACTGGGTCATTAGAGATGAACAGTAGATAAACTATAAAAGTTTTTTAAATGAGTTGTACTATTTTACAGTCCTATCAGCTGGGTTTGAGAGTTCCAGCTACTCCACATCCTCACTGACGTTGGATAAGATCACTTTTTTTTTTTTTCCTAGAGAGACAGGGTCTCACTCTATCACTCTGGTGAGCATGCAGTAGCATGGTAATAGTTCATTGCATTCTTAAACTCCTGGGCTCAAATGATCCTCCCATCTCAGCCTCTTTTTTTTTTTTTTTTTCGAGATGGAGTTTCACTCTTGTTGCCCAGGCTGGAGTGTAGTGGCGCGATCTCAGCTCACTGCAACCTCTGCCTCCCGGGTTGAAGTGATTCTCCTGCCTCAGCCTCCCGAGTAGCTGGGATTACAGGCGCCCACCACCACACCTGGCTAATTTTGTGTTTTAGGAGAGACGGGGTTGGCCATGATGGCCAGGCTGGTCTCGAACTGCTGACCTCAGTTCATCTTGCCTCCCAACTTTGCCTTGGCCTCCCAAAGTGCTGGGATTACAGGCGTGAGCCACCAGCCCCACCTCAGCCTCTTGAGTAGCTAGGACTGTAAGTGTGTGTCACCATGCCTGGGTAATTTAATTTATTTATTATTATTTTTTGGTAGAGATGGAGTCTCACTACATGGCCCAGGCTGGTCAGGAACTCCTGGTCTCAGGCGATCCTCCAGCCTCAGCCTCTCTGAGCACTGAGATTACAGGCATGAGCCACTATATCAGCCTGATCATTGTTTAGTTACAGTGATGCTGGTGGGTATGTAGGTGGGTATGTAGGAGGTTTAATTCTGGCTTGAGTTTGC
Source organism: Homo sapiens (assembly GCF_000001405.40). NCBI lineage: Eukaryota > Metazoa > Chordata > Mammalia > Primates > Hominidae > Homo > Homo sapiens. The sequence goes on along the minus strand of NT_187613.1, from coordinate 280,990 downwards.
ATTTCTCTGATTACTAATGAGGTTAAGCACTTTGTAATATATTGAACATTTGGATATCTCTGTTGTTACATGCACACTTTTTGCCCGGTTTTCTGTTGGGATGTCGTTTTGATACCGATTTCTAAGCGTCTTTATTTAGTATGTTTTTGGAGTTGTTTTTGTTACTGTCTTCTTCCATGCCGTGCCTTGCTTTTTCATTCTCTTAATGATGTCTTTTGAGGAACAGAAGCCCTTAATTTTAATACAGTCCAGTTTATCCATCTTTTCCTTTAAGGTAAGCACTTTCTATGTCCTATTTAAAAAATACTTGTCTATTCTAAGATCATAAATCTTTTTTTTTTTTTTGAGACGGAGTCTCAATCTTATGCCCAGGCTGGAGGGCAGTGGCGCCATCTTGGCTCACTGTAACCTCCACCTCTCAGGTTCAAGCGATTCTCCTGCCTCAGCCTCCCAAGTAGCTGGGATTACAGGTGCGCTCCACCACGCCAGGCTAATTTTTTTTTTTTTTTTTTTGAGACGGAGTTTCGCTCTCGTTGCCTAGGCTGGAGTGCAATGGCAAGATCTCGGCTCACCGCAACCTCTACCTCCCAGGTTCAAGCGATTCTCCTGCCTCAGCCTCCTGAGTAGCTGGGATTACAGGCATGCACCACCACGCCTGGCTAATTTTGTATTTTTAGTAGAGACAGGGTTTCATCATGTTGGCCAGGCTGGTCTCGAACTCCTGACCTTAGGTGATCTGCCTGCCTTGGCCTCCCAAAGTGCTGGGATTACAGGCGTGAGCCACCACGCCCGGCCAGGTCATGAATCTTTTATGTTATTTTCTAGGAATGGTTTGCCTGTCATGGCTAGATGTAGAATCATCTAGAATCTATTTCGTGCATGGTATGAGGGAGATGGTTAAAATTTTTTCCATATAGAGATCCAATGGTCCTAGCACAATGTATTTCCTCATCGGTCTATTTGTCCTAATGCCAGTGCCACACTAGATTTAAAATAATTCAATATTCGGTAACGTGAGGCCTCCAGGTTTGCTGTTCAAGATTTTATTGGTTTTTGCATTTCCGCATACATTTAAGAATCAGTTTGTCGATTTCAGTAACAGACCAGCAACAACAGAAACCTGCTGGGATTTTGCTTATGATTTTATTAAATCTATAAATCGATCTGGGGAGCTATTAACATTTTTTTTTTTTTTGAGATGGAATCTCACCCTGTCTCCCAGGCTGGAGTGCAGTGGCGTGATCTCGGCTCACTGCAAGCTGTGCGTATCAGTAGTTTATTCCTTTTATTCCTTTCATTCCTTTTATTGCTGAGACGTATTCCATTGTTTGATATACCTCAATTTGTTTATTCACCTATTTGATGGACATTTGGGTGTTTCCAGTTTTTGTCCATGACAAATAAAGCACCTGTAAGTGTTTGCGTATAAGTCTTTATATGGGCATGTCGTTCCTTTCTTGTGGATAAATGGCGGAATGGTTGGATGGCATGGCAGGAGTATATTTAACTTTTTTGGAAACTATCCAGTAGTTTTACAAGGTGGTACCATTTGACGTTTTCACCAGTGCATATGAACGCTCCCATTCCTCCACATCATCTCCAGCACTCAGCATAGTCCGGCATTGACATCTTGCCTCTCCGATAGGTTTATGGTGGTATCTTGCACTTTTAATGCCTATTTTCTAGTGACTAGGAATTGATATTGACCATCTTGTTATGTGCCATTTGCCATCTCTATATTTTCTTTTTCTTTTTTTTTTTTTTTTTTGAGACGGAATCTCGCTCTGTTGCCCAGCCTGGAGTGCAGTGGTGCGATCTCGGCTCACTGCAACCTCCGCCTCCTGGGTTCAAGCGATTTTCCTGCCTCAGCCTCCCAAGTAGCTGGGACTACAGGAGCGCACCACCACGCCCGGCTAATTTTTTCTATTTTTAGTACAGATGGGGTTTCACCGCGTTAGCCAGGTTGGTCTCGATCTCCTGACCTCGTGATCCGCCCGCCTCGGCCTCCCAAAGTGCTGGGATTACAGGCGTGAGCCACCGCGCCCGGCCTGTTTGGGCCTTCTTTAACTTAAGTAATGTTTTGTGCTGTTCAGTGTGTACAGGTCTGTCAATGATTGTCTCACATCTTCCCCTGAGCATTTAATAATGTTTGATGGGACTGCAAATGCTTGCTTTTTACATTTCAAAGCTTTCTTTTGATTGCTCGTTGCTACTTTAAAGAAATATAATTTATTTTTGTCTATTAATATTTTAGTCTGCAACCCTGCTAAACGGACGTATTAGTTCTAGTGGGCTGCTTTCTTTTGCTTGTAAATTCCTTCAGGTTTTCTACATAATCATGTCTATGAATCTATACAGTTTTAATTCTTTTATGCGTTTATCTTGCCCACTTGCACTGGCTGGAACCACTAGTACAACTTGTGTGTGTGTGTGTGTGTGTGGTTTTTGTTTCTTTGTTTTGAGGCGGATTCTCACGCTGTTATTCAGGCTGGAGTGCAGTGGCACAATCTCAGCTCCTGCAACCTCTGCCTCCCCGGTTAAAGTGATCCTCCCACGTCAGCCTCTCGAGTAGCTGGGACTACATGCGTGCCACCAGGCCCAGCTAATTTTTGTATTTTTTGTAGAGACGGAGTTTCTCCACGTTGAGATGGAGTTTCTCCCAGGCTAGTCTCGAACTCCTGGGCTGAAACGATCCTCCCGCCTCAGTCTCCCAAAGTGTTGAGATTACAGGCACAAGCCACTGTGCCTGGCCCTGATTCTTTTTAAAATTTGTTTTTCTGGGCTGGACATGGGTGCTCAAGGCGGGTGGATCACCTGCCTCAGCCTCCTGAGTAGCTGGGACTACAGGTGCACACCACCATGCCCGGCTAATTTTTGTATTTTATTAGAGACGGGGTTTCACCATATTGGCCAGACTGGTCTCGAACTCTTTTTTTTTTTTTTTTTTTTTTTTTTTTTTTGAGACGGAGTCTCGCTGTCTCCCAGGCTGGAGTGCAGTGGCGCGATCTCGGCGCACTGCAGCCTCCGGCTCCCAGGTTCAATAGATTCTCCTGCCTCAGCCTCGCTAGTAGCTGCGACTGCAGGCGTGTGCCACCACACCTGGCTAATTTTTCTATTTTTAGTAGAGATGGGGTTTCACCAGATTAGCTAGGCTGGTCTTAAACTCCTGACCTCACCTCAAGTGACCCACCCACCTTGGCCTCCCAACGTGTGGGGATTACAGGTGTGAGCCACTGCACCCGGCCAAGTGTTCTCTTTTCACCATATCTAAGCCAACATTTATTGCTTTTTGACTTTTAAATTACAACCATTCTTGTAGGAGTAAGGTGGTCTCTCCTTCTGGTAATTTAATTTGCATTTCCTTGATGATTAGTGATTTTGAGCATTTTTTTCATATGTGTTGCCTGTTTGTGTATCTTCTTCTAGAAATATCTATTCATGTCCTTTGCCCACTTTTTTTGTTTGTTTGAGATGGAGTTTCACTCTTGTTGCCCAGGCTGGAGTGCAGTGGCGCAATCTGGGCTCACTGCAACCTCCACCTCCTGGGTTCAAGCGATTCTCCCACCTCAGCCTCCCGAGTAGCTGAGATTACAGGTGCCCGCCACCACAGCTGGATAATTTTGTGTTTCTAGTAGAGACAGGGTTTCATCATGTTGTCCAGGCTGGTCTCGAACTCCTGACCTCAGGTGACCCACCTGCCTTGGTCTCCCAAAGTGCTGGGATTACAGGTGACAGCCCCTGTGCCCAGCCGTTCTTGGCGTCTTGAACAAGGAACTGGACAAAACGCACAAAGCAAGCAAGGGAGCAGTGAGGGATTTATTGGAAATGAAAGCACACTCCACAGTGTGGGGGCAGCCCGGGCACAGGGGCTCAGAGGCCGCCTTGCAGAGTTTTTGTGAGTTTGAATACCCTCTACTTGGGGTACGCCGTATGTGAAAGGAGAGGAGGTAGGAAAGTTACAAAGTCATTTACTTGGCTTACGCCCCACGGAGGGGATGTTTCCTGTCATAGCTGAAGTGTGAATGTGCCTTATGTTCCCTGACTCCAGACCCTATTTTCCTGCCTCAAAAAGACCAACATGGCCCCATACGAGTTTCTAATCTCGGTGCTCGAGGGAATTAAGGCAGATACTCAGGTTAGTATGATACAAGGCAGAATATGATTAGTGAGATGAGGTGCAGTCATAACACGTAACATTGTATATGGATAACAGATCTATAGTAACTTACACAGTATTTTTTCATGTATTATCTGTTTTTTGGCTTCATAATAATCTTTTGGTTAAGATAGAAATTATCAGTCTCATTTTACAAAATTAAGTATTGAGACGCTTGTCGAAGGTGAAGTGGGTGTGAAATGATGCGGAATAGATTTAAATCCAGGTCATCAGGTCATCAGTCTCCCGAGTCCAGTGTGTTCTTGGTGAGACCATTCTGCTTTCCTTGCTGGTGCTTCTGCTTCACACAGTGGCACTGCCTGTCACCCAGTATTTCCGTTTTAACAGCACGACTGTCTTTTGTCTTTTTTTTTTTGTTGTTGAGACGGAGTCTTGCTCTGCCGCCCAGGTTTGAGTGCAATGACATGATCTCAGCTCACTGCGACCTCCACCTCCCGGGTTCAAGCGATTCTCCTGTCTCAGCGTCCCAAGGAGCTGGGATTACAGGTGCCCGCCACCATGCCCGGCTAATTTTTGTATTTTTAGTAGAGATGGGGTTTCACCATATTGGCCAGACTGGTCTTGAACTCCTGACCTCGTGACCCCGGGCCAATGCGCCCGGCCTCTTTTGTCTTACTGTAGTATTTGTGCAGCTAACTTGAATTTTAAGTATTTTGGGCCAGGCATGGTGGCTCACGCCTGTAATCCCAGCACTTTGGGAAGTGCTGCTTGAGCTCAGGAGGTCAAGACCAACTTAGGCAACATGGAGAAACACTGTCTCTATAAAAAATACCAAAAATTAGTCAGGTGTGGTGGCGGGCGCCCGTAGTCCCAGCTACTTGTGGGGCTGAGGCAGGAGGATCACTTGAACCTGGGAGGTTGAGGAGGCTGCAGTGAGCCGAGACTGTGCCACTGCACTCCAGCCCGGGTGACAAAGTGAGACCCTGTCTTAAAAACAAAAAAAAAAAAAAAAAGAAACTTGTTGGCTCGATTTCAGTGTTCTTCAGACTTTGGTTGGTTGACTGCATGTACTATTGCGAGGGAAAAACATTCCATTTCAATAGCTTTCCCACCCCATGTGCCAGATGCTAAATTGCTTCCACTTGGAGAAAATACTTCTACTTGGAGAAAATGAAGATATCAGGGATAATAGACAAAGGAAAAGTAAGATCCTTTGTTTGTTTGTTTCAGAATGTTGAGTTATTTGGGTGAAAAACAGTAAATAGTTAGGCCCCAAATAGAGAGGCATTAATATTTATCTATTTTAAATAGATATCATTTTTAGGGGGAAATGAAAAGGATTACACACTCTGTTCATTCAAAACTGTGAAGTGGCTCAAGTTATGTATTTTCAGTATCACTATGGTCTGTCACTTAATCTGATTTTGTATTCTCTGCCAAAAATGTTTTTAAATTTTCTGTTTTGTCCTGGGTCATATAAAAGTGGGTCTGGAGCAAAGAACGGAAGGACTGAACTATTTTTGAAAGAACGTGACCACCTTTGAAAGCAGGTGTTATTGAATATATGTGTGTTATGTGGTTTTCCATGTTTATTAATTCATTGACTTGTGTAGCAAATGTTTTATGTTTTCATAGAAAGTGCTTTATCCATGCAAATTCATTTTATTCTCCTAATGACTTTTTTCATTAGAAAAGGAATTGCAGGGCCGGGCACGGTGGCTCACACCTGTAATCCCAGCACTTTGGGAGGCCGAGGCGGGCGGATCACGAGGTCAGGGGTTCGAGACCAGCCTGGCTAACACGGTGAAACCCCGTCTCTACTAAAAATTCAAAAAATTAGCCAGGCTTGGTGGGGGGTCGCCTGTAGTCCCAGCTACTCAGGAGGCTGAGGCAGGAGAATCACTTGAACCCGGGAAGCGGACGTTGCAGTGAACCGATATCGCACCACAGCACTCCAGCCTGAGGGACAGAGTGAGACTCCGTCTCAGTCAGTCAATCAATCAATCAATCAAAGCTGTTGAAATCAGAACACAGAAGGGTCAAGACTTGTTGAGTGCTCCCCGCGTTGGAGCCAGCTGTTGGTGTGTCTGAATCTGTTGATGTGACTGATTCCCACAAGGGGGCGCTCTCTCCTAGGGTGTGTGTAGCTTGCGGCATTCACAGGTTCGGTACTGCTTTTTGTGTTTGGTAGAAGACCACCATAAAAAGTATTTTGCATTGCATCCAAAATTATATGAACACATTCTTGGGGAACACAGTCATTTTTAACGGATAGCATCTTCTAGTAGCACAAAATAAAGATGAGATGGCACTGTGTTTTTTATTGCCTCAAGAAGAAGCGGTTAGAAATGCAGTTTACTTTGAAAAGATGATTTGATGCTGAAACGAGTGAACCATTTCATTACTCCGTAACACGTGTAGTAAAACTCTTCTAGTGGCCGGGCGCGGTGGCTCACGCCCATAATCCCAGCACTTTGGGAGGCCGAGGTGGGCGGATCACCTGAGGTCAGGAGATGGAGACCAGCCTGGCCAACATGGCAAAACCCTGTCTCTACTAAAAATACAAAAATTAGCCGGGCGTGGTGGCGGGCACCTGTAATCCCAGCTACTCAGGAGGATGAGGCAGGAGAATCGTTTGAACCCGGGAGGCGGAGGTTGCAGTGAGCTGAGATCACGCTACTGCATTCCACCCTGAGCAACAGAGCGAGACTCCATCTCAAAAAACAAAAACAAAAACAAAAAACAATCGTTTCCCCAAAAGTGGCAAGTTTTTACTAAATGAATATGGCAGTTTGTGTTTTTCACCCTGGAACACGCCCTTGCGTCCTCTCTGTTTCCTGTTCTATCCTCTGTTGCGTGCTCTACTGGCTGGGGCCCCGTTGTTTTCAACCTGACTCCATGGCAGCCACCTCTGAGCCAGTGCCCTGCCTCTCATGTAACCCCTCTCAACCTACCCTGCACAGAGCTGCCTCCTTATCTTCCTCAGCAGCTTACAACTTGTCATCACTCTCTTCAAGGACACGGTGCAGCTCCCTGTTGTTTGTGACCGTGTGTGGTGGTACCCATGAGATGTCTGACCAGCCCTTTGCTTCATACGTTAGACCCAAAACACACAACAGCATGGTGGCTCACACCTGTTTTTGTTTGTTTGTTTGTTTGTTTTTGAGACAGAGTCTTGCTCTGTCGCCCAGGCTGGAGTGCAGTGGCGCGATCTCAGCTCACTGCAAGCTCTGCCTCCCAGGTTCACGCGATTTTCCTGCCTCAGCCTCCCGAATAGTTGGGACTACAGGTGCCTGCCACCACGCCCAGCTAATTTTTGTATTTTTAGTAGAGACGGGGTTTCACCGTGTCAGCCAGGATGGTCTCGATCTCCTGACCTTGTGATCTGCCTGCTTCAGCCTCCCAAAGTGCTGGGATTACAGGCCTGAGCCACCGCACCCGGCCTGGAGTTTTGCTCTTGTTGCCCAGGCTGGAGTTCAATGGCATGATCTCAGCTCACTGCAACCTCCACCTCCCGGGTTCAAGCGATTCTCCTGCCTCAGCCTCCCGAGTAGCTGGGATTACAGGCATGCACCACCACGCCCAGCTAATTTTGTATTTTTAGTAGAGACAGGGTTTCACCATGTTGGCCAGGCTGGTCTTGAACTCCTGACTTCAGGTGGTCCTCCTGCCTTGGCCTCCCAAAGTGCTGGGATTACAGGCATGAGCCACTGCACCCGGCCGGCTCATATCTGTTATTCCAGCACTTTGGGAGGCCAAGGCAGAGGGGTTACTTGAGCCCAGGAGTTCAAGACCAGCCTGGCCAACATAGCAAGACCCTGTCTCTTAAAACACACACACTAACCAAATACTTGGAGACATGGCAGGGAACGGCATACACTGGGGCCCGTCGGGGAGAGGGGCAGGGGAGGGAGAGCATCCGGAAGAATAACTAATAGATCCTGGGCTTAATACCCAGGGGATGGATTGATCTATGCAGCAAACCACCATGGCACATGTTTACCCATGTAACAAACCTGCACCTCCTGCACAGGTACCCCAGAACTTACACACACACACACACACACACACACACACACACACCCCAATACAATTGTGTTCACTTACTGAGGTAATGGTACTTGCTTTTTTTTTGGTTTGAGACAGAGTCTCACTCTGTCATCCAGGCTGGAGTGCATTGGTGCGATCTCGGCTCACTGCATGCAACCTCCGCCTCCCGGGTTTAAGCGATTCCCCCTGCCTCAGCCTCCCGAGTAGCTGGGATTACAGGTGCCTGCCACCACACCAGGCTCACTTTTATATTTTTAGTAGAGAGGGGGTTTCGCCATGTTGGCCAGGCTGGTCTCGAACTCCTGAGCTCAGGTGATGTGTCTGCCTTGGCCTCCCAAAGTGCCGGGATTACAGCTGTGAGCCACTTTGCCCAGCTGAATCGGATACTATTAGGCTATAAGAAAGTCACTAAATTACTCGAGTTTCGTTTTTTTATCTGCACAATGGGCTGTAGCAACTTTGCGAACTTGTAGAGACAACATCAAATAAAGGATCACCAGGGTACAAAATTCCTCAGAATGTTCTCAAGAAATAATGTGGGGGCCCGGGCAGTTTTCCACTAGACTGCCAGTCCCCGGAGAGCTGGGGGGCATGTGCTGTTCATCTCTGTATCATGTGCATGAACTTTATGCAGAAACTGTCATGTCACTCCTGAATTAGGCTCAACCCATCTCGGAGCCCCTATCCTACTGGGCTACCAAAAGTGAAATCAATCTTAGTCATACTGAGTCTCCTTCCCTTTGCCTCTTGCGTTATGCAGAGTTCCCAAGAGTCTTTCACCGTCCGGGCATTTGAGGAAAACACTCAAATCCACACTGGACCCCCCTGAGATGCTGCCAACTGAGCCACGTAATCCCTTGAAGCTGCCAGTGTCTGAGAGAGGTCTCTGCTAAGGATGCCCTGGGTTTTTGGTGGGCCGCATCCCACCGGTCAAGGGGCTGGCACTCCCAGGGGAACTGTGAGGGAGGGGACATAGGCGGGAGCAGTCACAGGTTGGCACCAGTGGCCTGTCCTCCCCACCACTCCCTAGTCTCCGGGGAAGCTCTATGGAGTTCCCTCTGCCTCCCAACGTCCTGCCCTCCCACCCCATGCCGGAGTTGCTTCTCCTCTCTCGGTGGGGATGGGAAGGCAAAGGAAGGAGAGGCTGACCCCCTCATAACTCACCCCGGGGCAGTGGCCTCAGCATCTGGCACACTGTCTGCATTAAGTGGTTGCTGAGTGACTGGGGAAAGGAATACAAGCAAACGCTGTCGGGTTTTAACACCAATTTGCTTGTGTGCATGAGCTCAGGACCCAAAGCCCATCTTCAGAGGTGGTCCTGAGTCACCTCCTGCTGACCCCATAGAGCCGGAGCGGGCACCTCTGCAGCTCCGTGGACTAACCCTCTTCCTTAGAACTGTGGGGTACTGGGTCAGAGTCCTTCCAGCTGTCTCTGTGGGGTACTGGGTCAGAGTCCTTCCAGTGGTCTCTGTGGGGTACTGGGTCAGAGTCCTTCTAGCAATCTCTGTGGAGTACCGAGTCAGAGTCCTTCTAGCGGTCTCTGTGGGGTACTGGCTTAGAGTCCTTCCAGTGGGCCCTCTGAGGTACTGGGTCAGAGTCCTTCCAGCAGTCTCTGTGGTGTACTTGGTCAGGGTCCTTCCAGTGGTCTCTGTCGGGTACTGGGTCAGAGTCCTTCCAGTGGGCCCTCTGGAGTACTGGGTCAGAGTCCTTCCCATGGTTTCTGTGGGGTACTGGGTCAGAGTCCTTCCAGCAGTCTCTGTGGGGTACCGGGCCAGAGTCCTTCCAGTGGTCCCTGTGGGGTACTGGGTCAGAGTCCTTCCAGTGGTCTCTGTGGGGTACTGGGTCAGAGTCCTTCCAGTGTTTCTCTGTGGGATACTGGATCAGAGTCCTTCCAGCGGTCTCTGTGGGGTACTGGGTCAGAGTCCTTCTGGCTGTCTCTGTGGGGTACTGGCTCAGAGTCCTTCCAGCTATCTCTGTGGGGTACAGGGTCAGAGTCCTTCTGGCTATCTCTGTGGGGTACTGGGTCAGAGTCCTTCCAGGGTTTCTCTGTGGGGTACTGGATCAGAGTCCTTCCAGCGGTCTCTGTGGGGTACTGGCTCAGAGTCCTTCCGGCTATCTATGTGGGGTACAGGGTCAGAGTCCTTCCGGCTATCTCTGTGGGATACCGGGTCAGAGTCCTTCCAGTGTTTCTCTGTGGGGTACTGGATCAGAGTCCTTCCAGCAGTCTCTGTGGGGTACTGGCTCAGAGTCCTTCCGGCTGTCTCTGTGGGGTACTGGCTCAGAGTCCTTCCGGCTGTCTCTGTGGGGTACTGGGTCAGAGACCCGTGCCAGGCCACTTCCTCCTTGTTTTAAAACCTATGGGAGGGACTGCATAACGGGTATGGTGATTTCTTTTGGAATCATGAGGTGTTTTCAAACCACGTAGAAGTGGTAGTTACACAAATGGGAATGTACTCAATGCCACTGAATTGTGCCATTTATTTATTTACTTTTTGAGACGGATTCTTACTCCGTCGTCCAGGCTGGAGGGCAATGGTGTGATCTCGGCTCACTGCAACCTCCGCCTCCCAGGTTCAAGGGATTCTCCTGCCTCACCCTCCCTAGTAGTTGGGACTACAGGCACCCACCACCACGCCCAGCTAATTTTTGTATTTTTAGTAGAGACGGGGTTTTGCCACGTTGGCCAGGCTGGTCTCGAACTCCTGACCTCAGGTGATCCACCCTCCTCGGCCTCTTGGCCTCCCAAAGTACTGGGATTACAGGCGTGAGCCACCGCACCCAGCCAGAATTGTACACTTTAAAAAGAAAACAAAGACAAAAACTATCTTTCTTAGTTTAAGCTACTATAACAAATTACCATAGACTGGGTAGTTTGAACAACCTATATTTCCCACCGTTCTGGAGGCTGGGAAGTCTGAGGTGAAGGTGCAGGCAGACCCAGCGTCGGCCGAGGGTCCTGGTTTGCAGATGGACACTCCGTCCCCACCTGGCAGACAGCAGAGACAGAGAGACAGAGCAAGCCTCGTGTCTCTGTTTTTTGAGACGGAGTCTTGCTCTATCCCCCAGGCTGGAGTGCAGTGGCGTGATCTCGGCTCACTGCAAGCTCCGTCTCCCGGGTTCAGGCCATTCTCCTGTCTCAGCCTCCCAAGTAGCTGGGACTATGGGCTCCCACCCCACACCCGGCTAATTTTTTGGTATTTTTAGTAGAGACGGGGTTTCACCGTGTTAGTCGGGATGGTCTCGATCTCCTGACCTCATGATCCACCCACCTTGGCCTCCCAAAGTGCTGGGATTACAGGCGTGAGCCACCGCGCCAGGCCCCCTATATCTCTTCTTAAAAGGTCACTAAGCTTGGCCAGGTGCGGTGGCTCACGCCTATAATCCCAGCACTTTGGGAGCCCGAGGTGGGTGGATCACCTGAGTTTGGGAGTTTGAGACCAACCTGACCAACATGGAGAAACCCTGTCTCTACTAAAAATACAAAATTAGCCGGGTGTGGTGGCGGGCGCCTGTAATCCCAGCTACTCGGGGGGCTGAGGCAGAAGAATCGCTTGAACCCAGGAGGCAGAAGTTGTGGTGAGCCAAGATCACACCACTGCACTCCAGCCTGGGCAACAAGAGCAAAACTCCATCTCCAGAAAGAAAAAACAAAAACAGCCACTAATGTCATTCATGAAGGCTCTGCCTGCCTGACCGAATCATCTCTCAAAGCCCCACATCCTAATACCATCACATTGGAGGTTCAGATGTCCACATATGAATTTTTTTTTTTTTGAGACGGAGTCTTGCTCTGTTGCCCAGGCTGGAGTGCAGTGGTACGATCTCTGCTCACTGCAAGCTCCGTCTCCCGGGTTCACGCCATTCTCCTGCCTCAGCCTCCCAAGTAGCTGGGACTACAGGTGCCCATCACGACGCCCGGCTAATTTTTTGTATTTTTAGTAGAGACAGGGTTTCACCGTGTTAGCCAGGATGGTCTTGATCTCCTGACCTCGTGATCCGCCCTCCTCGGCCTCCCAAAGTGCTGGGATTACAGGCGTGAGCCACCGCGCCCAGCCGTCCACATATGAATTTTAGAGGGACACAAATATTCAGTCCATAACACTACCTAAATGGTCCTTCCTGTTTTCTTTTTTGTTTTTGAGATGGAGTCTCACTCTTTTGCCCAGGCTGGAGTACAGTAGCACAATCTCGGCTCATTGCAACCTCTGCCTCCCAGGTTCAAGTGATTCTCTTGCCTCAGCCTCCTGAGTAGCTGGGACTACAGGCGGGCGCCACCATGCCAGGCTAATTTTTATATTTTTAGGAGAGATGGGGTTTTCCCATGTTGGCCAGGCTGGTCTCGAACTCCTGACCTCAAGTGATCCTCCTGCCTCGGCCTCCCAAAGTGCTGGGATTTCAAGTGTGAGCCACTGTGCCCGGCCCAGACTGCATTTTTAAATTATTTGAATTATGTTTTTAACAAGAGAAATAGGTTGCTTTGAAAACATCAGTATTGAAAACATGTTTCTTAATGGATGGATGGAGACTGTTCTGTTTAGCCAAGAGCACTTCAGAAGCTCCACTCTGGTAGGAGATTGGAGCACTGAACCATTAATGGAGCCGTGAGCCCTGTGCATCGGATCATATCCGATCATTTATGGTGGTGCACAGTTGGCGACTATGGCGTCTGGGCCGTGGCTCCTCTGGAACCCCATCAAGCACGACTTGATATTTATATTTAACTGAACATGGTTCCAGCTTTTAAACTTCCTGCTGAAGGTGACCTATGCAAAGAGAACCCAAGAGTGGCTCTCCCAGCTCGCCTCGGATAAGGGTCTTGCTAATTTCCCTTCTCACAGCCGCTTTCCGCTTCCAGCACGGCTTCCCACCCGGGACACTGTCTAGGCGTGTAGGTGCTATGCTGTAGACGCTAGGTAGGTAAGTGCCTCATCCAAGTTGATACCCTTTTAAGAAAGCAATGGAGAATTCACAGTAAATGCTTGATCTTGTAACACCTCTTTGTGACTCTATTCTGGTCCTGCTGTTTGATCCAGCCCATTTATTAGTTCATAAAAATTTCACATAAACTAAATTTCATCTCCTAGGCTGAGTTCTATCAGATTAATATTTAACTCCAAGGAAATGTGGACATTTGCCTTAAAGAAGTTGTTTATTCCAGGAAAGAATCTATATTGTTATTATTTGAATGTCTTTGATTATGGTATGAAATTTTATTTTAGCCCAAAGCTCCCAGCAATCTTCTGTTGAAAATGGCAAATTTTCATGGATCAATCCACTGGTCTAGCATCTAAGCATTTTTATTACATTTTTTTCTGACAAAATCAATATGTGTTTATTATAGAAAATATGGATCAAGGCCGGGTGCAGTAGCGCACGCCTTTAATCCCAGAACTTTGGGAGGCCGAGGTGGGTGGATCACCTGAGGTCAGGAGTTTGAGACCAGCCTGGCCAACATGGTGAAACCCCGTCTCTACTAAAAATACAAAAATTAGCCGGGCTTGGTGGCAGGCACCTGTGATCCCACCTACTTGGGAGGCTGAGGCAGAAGAATTGCTCAAATGCGGGAGGCAGAGATTGCAGTGAGCCGAGATCGCGCCATTGCACTCCAGCCAACAAGAACGAGACTCTGTCTCAAAAAAAAAAAAAAAAAAAAAAGGATCAGATAGAAAAATAAAAATACAAGGAAAATAAAAATTATCTGTTTCCCCAACATTCTATGATAATAGCTGTTAACACTGCATATTTTTGTTTTAAATGTCTAAAAACTTCCAAGCATTTTTTTTTTACAAAATTGGGATCATATGGTACATCCATTTTTCATGTAACAGCATGCATAGCTTCTCGTGTCATTAAACTTTCATATGAAGCATACTTTGTAATGGCTGCATTGAATTTTATTATGCAGATGCCCAACCCCTGATTAATTAACTTTTCAAATATAACCAACATCCTATGTTTAACTTTAAAGTGGTTTCCAATTTTTATTCCATTAAAATAACCAAGCAACACTTGATTTTCCTTTTGAAAAATCTTGAAAGCAGGATACATTCTCCAACTGCCAGACTGCCGTTATATCTACAGCCCTGTGGTTTCTGAGTGTGTGAGTGTGTGTGAGTGTGTGTGTGTGTGTGTGTGTGTGTGTTTTATGAACTGGGCTCCGTCGAGTGCTCCAATTGGCTGAGAGGAATGTCTGGGCTATTTCTTGACCTTGTGGATATAAAAAGTAGAGAGGCCAAGCGAGATGACCCTGGAGTGGAGGGTAGCACTGATCTCTTTAGAGAGCGCCAGGAATAGTTTTCATGGAGGTAGGGTAGAGGAGGTGGATGACCCCGGAAACAGGGCGGAGGAGGCAGATGACCCCGGAAACAGGGCGGAGGAGGCAGATGACCCCGGAAGCAGGGCGGAGGAGGCGATGACCCCGGAAGCAGGGCGGAGGAGGCGATGACCCCGGAAGCAGGAGGCGATGACCCCGGAAGCAGGGCGGAGGAGGCAGATGACCCCGGAAACAGGGCGGAGGAGGCGGATGACCCCGGAAGCAGGGCGGAGGAGGCGATGACCGGGAAGCAGGGCGGAGGAGGCAAATGACCATGGAAGCAGGGCGGAGGAGGCAGATGACCTCCTTTGCAAGGTTCCTTTTAGACTCAAAGTCTTATGGTTTCCATAGTGCTACCTATTCTTTGGAACACTCCACCTCCTGTTTGTCCATTCATTACTGCAGGCATGCTCAATCCTTTTTACATGTTAGCATCACCAGCAAAAGCGGGGTTTTAAAAACAGCAGTAGCAATGCCAGAATCTACTTCTCCAGTGCTGTTGATCCAATTTTGATCCAATTAGACTAAGGTGGAGCCCAGACACTGTGTGTGTGTGTGTGTGTGTGTGTGTGTGTGTGTGTGTGTGTGTTTAAGCTCTTCCAATCTGCAGCCAGGGTTGAGAACTTCTGCTTTATGGCTTTTTTTTTTTTTTTTGACGGAGTTTCGCTCTTGTCGCCCAGGCTGGAGTGCAGTGGTGCGATCTCGGCTCACTGCAACCTCCGCCTCCCGGGTTCAAGCGATTCTCCTGCCTCAGCCTCCCGAGTAGCTGGGATTACAGGCGCCCGCCACCACGCCTGGCTAATTTTGTATTTTTAGTAGAGACGAGTTTCGCCATGTTGGTCAGGCTGGTTCCGAACTCCTGACCTCAGGTGATCCGCCCGCCTCGGCCTCGCAATGTACTGGGATTACAGGCGTGAGCCACCTTGCCCGGCCATGGCTTCTTAACTTCCTTGGGGTTTGGGTCACTGGCCTTGGTGCTGAATATCTTCAAGCCACCGGCACTGCTCTCAAAGAATCTATACATCCCATCTGGTTCCTCCAAAGTCATAAGCAGGTGTTTCAAAAATGCTGATGCGGCCGGGTGCGGTGGCTCACACCTGTGATCCCCGCACTTTGGCAGGCTGAGGCGGGTGGATTAACTGAAGTCAGGAGTTTGAGCCTGACCAACATGGTGTCTACTAAAAATAAAATAAAAATAAAAAATAATAAAAAATGGCCGGGCGCGGTGGCTCACGCCTGTAATCCCAGCACTTTGGGAGGCCGAGGCAGGCGGAACACAAGGTCAGGAGATCGAGACCATCCTGGCTAACACGGTGAAACCCTGTCTCTACAAAAAATACAAAAAATTAGCCGGGTGTGGTGTCGGGCGCCTGTAGTCCCAGCTGCTGGGGAGGCTGAGGCAGGAGAATGGCGTGAACCTGGGAGACAGAGCTTGCAGTGAGCTGAGATCGCGCCACTGCACTCCAGCCTGGGTGACAGAGCGAGACTCCGTCTCAAAACAAAAAACAAACAACAACAACATCAACAACAAAAAAAACCCCAAAAATTAGCTGGGTGTGGTGGCGGGCGCCTGTAGTCCCAGCTACTCCGGAGGCTGATGTAGGAGAATCACTTGAACCCGGGAGGCAGAGCTTGCAGTGAGCGAGATCGCACCATTGCACTTCAGCCTGGGCGAAAGAGCAAGACTCCATCTCAAAGAAAAAAAAAAAAGCTGATTCATGGAGGAACGGGGTATCCCGGCTCTTTCTAAGTGGCTTGGCTGAAAGATCAGTATTTTATTACTGCTGCTGCTGCTGCATGTACCTCCCCAGACAGCCAATTAGCCACAGAAACAGTTGATGCCTAAAGGAGTCCGTTCAGAGCTGAGCTTTTAACATCCAGAAGCACATCACGTAGCTAAACAATAGAATATTCACATCAGGCAAAAACATCTAGCTTTGGGTGACAATATTTGCTTCCTGGAGAAAGGGGCCCTCGGACGTCTACTATAGTTATACTGGGATTACAGGCATCTGTCACCACGCCTGGCAATTTTTTTGGTATTTTTAGTAGAGACGGGGTTTTGCTGTGTTGGTCAGGCTGGTCTTGGACCTGGAGTTTGGTAGCTCCTGGATGGGTAGAGAGGAGGGAACAGCACGCCTGACATTGTGGGAGGCAGCTGGCTATGGAGGAGGGAGCATCAGACCCAGAGTCAGAGATGAGGGCTTGAACGTCATTTCTGCTTTAGCACAGCAGCGTGACTTTGCAATTAATCCAGCTGGTGGTCAATTCCTCCTCTGTAAAGTGGCGATAAGGATGGTCACCATGATTATGCTCTAATTATATTGTCAGGGTTATGTGAGGAAATGCTCGTAAGTATATCAGCAAAGTCAGGGTGCAGCTGACCTGACATAAGAGAGATCCTTGGGTTTGTCCTAATAGCCAGAAACTGGGCCTCTTTTGTTCCCCCTCGCTGATGTGGGAGAGGAGAGAACATTCCAGAGGTCTTTCACATCTTTAACTATGATAAAAGAAGCTAAGTGGGGGACATGTAAGCTATGTTCTGTGTGGACACACAGGTGGAACCCTGGAACCCAGCCATCATTTTAACCAGCCTCCCAGCGGTTCTGATGCACGCCAAATGTGGAGAACCACTATTCTGTTCTCTGTTGGCCATTCTTGCTCTCTCTCTCTCTCTCTCTTTTTTGAGACGGAGTCTCGCTCTGTCACCCAGGCTGGAGCGCAGTGGCACAATCTCAGCTCCGTGCAACCTCCGCCTCCTGGGTTCAAGCGATTCTCCTGCCTCAGCCTCCTGAGCAGCTGGGATTACAGGCACCCACCACCAAGCCCAGCTAATTTTTGTATTTTAGTAGAGACAGGGTTTCACCATGTTGGCCAGGCTGGTCTCAAATTCCTGACCTCAGGTGATCTGCCCGCCTTGGCCTCCCAAAGTGCTGGGATTACAGGCGTGAGCCACCGCAACCGGCCTTTATCATTCTACTTTCTTAATGGTGGTTTTGATAAATAGAGGTTATGAATTTTAATGTAACCCAATGTATCCATGTTTTTCCTTTGTGGGTAGTGTTTTGTATCCTGTTAAGGAAACTTTGCCTGCGCCCAGTGCCATGAAGATAGTCTCCGGCGTTTTTTTTCTAGAAGCTGTATTATTTTGCTTTTCAATTTAGAACTATAAATATTCTGCAACTAATTATGATGTATAATTTGAGGCAGGGGTCAAGATTCATTTTTCCATATGGATATGCAATTGATCCAGCACCATATGAGAAGGTCATCCTTTTTTTTTTTTTTTTTTTTTTTTTTTAGACAAAGTCTCGCTCTTGTCCCCCCAGGCTGGAGAGCAATGGTGTAATCTTGGCTCACTGCAACCTCCGCCTCCCAGGTTCAAGCGATTCTCCTGCCTCAGCCTCCCTAGTGGCTGGGACTACAGACGTGTGCCATCATGCCCAGCTAATTTTTGTATTTTTAGTAGAGACACGGTTTCACTATGTTGGCCAGGCTGGTCTCAAACCCCTGACCTCAGCCGATCCGCCCGCCTCAGCCTCCCAAAGTGCTGGGATTACAGGCGTGAGCCACTGCGCCTAGCCTCATCCTTTCTTTACTGTACTGACGCACCAATTTTGTCATGAACGAAGCAGTTGTCCCGAGTCTCCTTCTGGATTTCTCATTCTTTTCCATTGGTCTATTTTTCTTTTCTTTTTTTTTTTGAGACGGAGTCTCGCTCTGTCGCCCAGGCTGGAGTGCAGTGGTGTGATCTCGGCTCACTGCAAGCTCCGTCTCCCGGGTTTACACCATTCTCCTGCGTCAGCCTCCCAAGTAGCTGGGATTACAGGCGTGAGCCACTGCCCCCAGCCCTCCATTGGTCTATTTTTCTGTCCTGGAGAAAACACCACTCTGTTTTAATTACTATAACTTTACAATAAGTCCTGATATCTGGTAATAGGTCCTGCGGATTTGTTCTTTATCCTCAAAGTTATCTTGGCTATTCTTGATCCTTTGCATTTTTTTTTTCTTTTCCGAGACAGAGTCTCGCTCTGTCACCCAGGCTGGAGTGCAGTGGTGTGATCTCGGCTCACTGCAACCTCCACCTCCCGGGTTCAAGCAATTCTCCTGCCTCAGCCTCCTGAGTAGCTGGGATTAGGGGCATGCACCACCATGTCTGGCTAATTTTTGTGTTTTCAGTAGAGTCGGGGATTCACCATCTTGGCCAGGCTGGTCTGGAACTCCTGACCTCAGGTGATCCTCCCACCTCTGCCTTCCAAAGTGCTGGGCTTACAGGAGTGAGCCACTGAGCCTGGCTGGTCCTTTGCATTTTTATATAAATTGTGGAATCACTTTGTCAGCTTCCAAGAAAAACTTGCTGGATTTTGATTGGCGTTACACTAAATATATAGATCAACTGGAGGAGAATGAACATCTTTACAATATTGAATCTTGAGTTCATGTCTTGATATTTCTCTCCATTTATTTTGGTCTTGCCAATATTTCAGTGTCTTTTACTGGCAGGTCCTGATGCCTGTCTGATCAGTGTCCGTATGTTCATTCCATTTTTATCCTCCCTGTTATTGGGGACAATCAGGAGGATATAAAACTGTAGGCTTATAACTCATACCCGTTAGAATGGCTACCATCAAAAAACAAAACAGAGGCCAGGTGCGGTGGCTCACACCTGTAATCCCAGCACTTTGAGAGGCCGAGGTGGGTGGATCACGAGGTCAGGAAATTGAGACCTCCCTGGCTAACATGGTGAAACCCTGTCTCTACTAAAACTACAAAAAATTAGCTGGGCATGGTGGTGGGCACCTGTAGCCTAGCTACTCGGGAGGCTGAGGCAGGAGAATGGCGTGAACCTGGGAGGCGGAGTTGCAGTGAGCCAAGATAGCGCCACTGCACTCCAGCCTGGGCAACAGAGCGAGATTCCATCTCAAAAAACAAACAACAAACCAGAGGCCAGGCATGGTGGCTCACACCTGTAATCCTGGCACTTTGAGAGGCCAATGTGGGCAGATCATTTGAGCCCAGGAACTTGAGCCTGGGAAACAGAAGGCTCTACATCTCTACAAATAATAAAAAATTAGTCAGGTGTGGTGGCATGTGCCTGTGGTCCCAGCGACTCAGAGGGCTGAGGTGGGAGGATTGCTTGAGCCCAGGAGGTCGAGGCTGCAGTGACCCGTGATCACGCCACTGCCCTCCAGCCCAAGAAACAGAGCAAGATCGTGTCTCCAAAAAAAAAAAGTATTGGCTGGGCGCGGTGGCTCACGCCTATAATCCCAGCACTTTGGGAGGCCAAAGCAGGCGGATCACTAGAGGTCAGGAGTTCAAGACCAGCCTGGCCAACATGGTGAGACCCCGTCTCTACTAAAGGTACAAAAATCAGCCAGGCGTCGTGGCGGACGGCTGTAATGCCAACTACTCGGGAGGCTGAGGCAGGGGAATCACTTGAATCTGGGGAGGAGGAGGTTGCAGTGAGCTGAGATTGCACCACTGCACTCCAGCCTGGGCGACAGAGTGGGACTCCATCTCAATAAATAAATAAATAAATAAATAAATAAATAAATAAATAAATAAGTGCTGGTGAGGATGCTGAGGCACTAGAACCCCTGTGCACCGTCGGTTGGAATGCACAATAGTGCAGTCACTATGGAAAACAGTAAGGCAAGTCCTCAAAAAGTTAAAAATAGAATTACCATGTGATCCAGCAGTTCCGCTTCTGGGTATATGCCCAGAAGAATTGAAAGCGGGATCTCAAAAAGATCTTTGCAAGCCCATGTTCACAGCAGTATTATATTTACAATAGCCAAAAGGTGGGCTGGGCGAGGCGGCTCATGCCTATAATCCCAGCACTTTGGGAGGCCGAGGCGGGCCAATCAGCTGAGGTCGGGAGTTCGAGACCAGCCTGACCAACCTGGCGAAACCCCGTCTATACTAAAAATACAAGAAATTAGCGGGGCGTGGTGGCTCATGCCTGTAATCCCAGCTACTTGGGAGGCTGAGGCAGGAGAATCACTTGACTCTGGGAGGTGGGGGTTGCAGTGAGCCTAGATCGACCCGTGGCACTCCAGCCTGGCCAAGAAAAGCGAAACTCCATTTCAATAAATAAATACATAAATAAAATAGGTTGTCATGGGTCAAATGAAATGTATGTGAAAGTAAGTGGCACATAGTAGATGTTCAATAAATGTGAGCTGAGGCCAGGCGCAGTGGCTCATGCCTGTAATCCCAGCACTTTGGGAGGCCAAGGGAGGTGGATCACCTGAGGTCAAGAGGAGTTCGAGACCAGCTTGTACAATATGGTGAAACCCTGTCTCTACTAAAAATACAAAAATTAGCTGGGTGTGGTGGTGGGCACCTGTAATCCCAGCTACTTGGGAGGCTGAGACAGGAGAATCGCTTGAACCCGGGAGGCGGAGGTTGCAGTGAGCAGTGATCGCGCCACTGCACTGCAGCCTGGGCAACAGAGTGAGAATCTGTCTCAAAAAAAAAAAAAAAAAAAAAAGAGAAAGAGCTGAATGTGAGCAAAATGGAGCTTCTGAGAGTAGAACAGCGTAGCTCGTGGTTTTCCCCCAGAAAATTAGCACTGAGGATAAGATTGACATTTTTGGTGAAAATAAAAATACAGTACTTACTGTGGATTTAATTCATCTGTGCCTAGCCTGTCTGAACTTTATTTTTTATTCTTTTAATGTTTTTATGTATTTTTTGAGACAGGGTCTTGCTCTGTCACCCAGGCTGGAGTGCAGTGGCGCAATCACGGCTCACTGCAGCCTCCAACTCCTGGACTCAAATGAATCTCCCTCCTCAGACTCCTAAGTAGCTGGGACTACGGTATGCACCACTATGCTTGGCTCATATTTTTTTGCATTTTTTTGTAGAGAAGGGATCTCCCTGGGTTCCCCAGGCTGGTCTCAAACTCTGAGGCTCAAGTGATCCTCCTGCCTCGGCCTCCCAAAGTTCTGGGATTACAGGTGTGAGCCACTGTGCCTGGCCCAGTTTATCTGAAGTGATGGAGAGATTGGTGAACTATTACTACATTTTTCTTTTTTCTTTCTTTCTTTCTTTTTTTTTTAATGGAGTTTCACTCTTTTTGCCCAGGCTGGAGTGCAGTGGGGCGATCTCGGCTCATTGCAACCTCCGCCTCCCGGGTTCCAGCGATTTTCCTGCCTCAGCCTCCTGAGTAACTGGAATTACAGGTGCCCACCACCATGCCTGGCTAATTTTATATTTTTAGTAGAGACAGGGTTTCACTATGTTGGCCAGGGTGGTCTCGAACTCCTGACCTCATGATCCACCCTTTTTGGCCTCCCAAAGTGTTGGGATTACAGGCATGAGCCACCAAGCCCGGCTTCCTATGTGTTTTCATAGGGTCTTTAAACTCCTGACTTTGAACTCCCAGGAGACCTGTGACTCACCTAATTAATCAGCTAGCCAAAGCTTTTTGTTAGATTCAATCTTGTGAAATCCATTTTCTTATCAGCACAAACTAGGGCTTTTGATAAAACAATATCCAAATGAAAAGGACTTTTAGGCCTCCCAAGATGTGCTTCACAGCCTCTTTTTAATTGAAAGCCTTTTACAAATGTAACCCATATTTCTGATTTGATCTTTTTCTAAAAGATGAAGCTTTTATTATTATATCTGGTTCCCATTCTAATTCCACTCTTACCAGCTGCAAGCTCCTGAGCAGGTTCTCGCTTCTGCACAAACCAACCCCAGGGGCCGGGCGCGGCGGCTCACGCCTGTAATCCCAGCACTTTGGGAGGCCGAGGAGGGTGGATCACTTGAGGCCAGGAGTTCGAGACCAGCCTGGCCAACATGGTGAAACCCCATCTCTACTAAAAATATAAACATTAGCCGGGCCCAGTGGTGAGTGCCTGTAATTCCAGCTACTTGGGAGGCTAAGGCAGGAGAATCACTTGAACCCGGGAGGTGGAGGTTGCAGTGAGCCAGGATCGCGCCACTGCGCTCCAGCCTGGGTGACAGAGCCAGACTCCGTCTCAAAAAAAAAAAAAAAACCCACTTAGAGAAATTGTTGTTTTCTTCTTCAGGCTTTTCGCATTTTCCAAGTTTGCTGCAATGACGTTGTATTAATTTTGCAATTGGAATGAAATTAAGAAAGGAAAAAACCCACTCCACACCCCTGGGCAAAGTCACCCAGGAGGGAGAAGGTTCACAGCCAGGCAGTGGGAATGTGGAGGCTGTGGGCTGGTGAGAGGTTTTCCCTGCCATTTCCCCCCCTTTCTGTCCTGTCGCTATTATGTTGCTCTTATAATTAAACCCGCTGTGCAGGGAGCCGCTGATCTTGGTCGCCTGGGGTGTGTGTTTACCTCCTGCCTGTTTAAGCAGCCCATGAGTGGCTCCCACGGGCCATGATGAAAACATGAGTTCCTCCAGCTCGGTTCCCCTGGGAGGGCAGCCGGGCCCTGCCTGGAACCTCGTGTTCCCCTCTCCAGGGAGCGTCTGTAGACCCTGGAATGTCTGCACGGGCTAACAACCAGAGGGAGCCAAGCCTGGGACCTCTGTACCCTGAGACCTCAGTGCCCTGGGACTTCCCAAAGACCCAACAGGTGGATGAGTTCTGGGAAGACTGT
This sequence comes from Homo sapiens, assembly GCF_000001405.40. Classification (NCBI taxonomy): domain Eukaryota; kingdom Metazoa; phylum Chordata; class Mammalia; order Primates; family Hominidae; genus Homo; species Homo sapiens. Next base: position 257,925 of record NT_187613.1, on the reverse strand, counting down.
GGGGTCTGGTTTTAAGGGTGAGAGCAAATCACACTGGCCCGTTCTTAGATCCGGGTTCAATCCCATTACCTGGATTTTCCAGCATCCGTGGTGCCTGTTCACTGGATATCCTGTACAGCCACGGGCCCCCTGAGTGGCTTAGGAGGTCGGAAAGGGCCTCTGACCTCAGCAGGGAACCAGGAGGTAGACGCATCCATTTTCCCCACTGGCCAGGCTGGAGCTGGCAGCCCTGCCTCCAACTGGGGCAATGGGAGGGCAGGCTGATAGCAAAGGAGACGCTGGAGGCAAGAGCCCGACCAAAGCATCCAGCTCCAGGGCGAGGGCCAAGAGCAAGAACCAGATCCAAAGCAAAGGTCAGGAAGACGGGAGCCTGGGGAGGGCAGCGGGGGAGAGGCTTTTCTGGAGAGCTCTGTCCTGGAGGGAGAGGAAGCTTTTTTTTTTTGAGATGGAGTCTCACTCTGTCACCAGGCTGGAGTGCAATGGCGCGATCTCGGCTCACTGCAACCTCCACCTCCCGGGTTCAAGCGATCCCCCTGTCTCAGCCTCCCGAATAGCTGGGACTACAGGCGTGTGCCACCACACCCAGCTAATATTTATATTTTTAGTAGAGACGGGGTTTCACCATGTTGGCCAGGATGGTCTTGATTTCTTGACCTCATGATCCGCCCGCCTCGGCCTCTCAAAGTGCTGGGATTACAGGCGTGAGCCACCGTGCCCGGCCGGGGAGAGGGAGCTTCTCAGGGCTTCCAGCCCCTCCAGCAGCTCAGGCCGCCTGGTGTTTTGGTGTCATTTCAGTCAGGTGAGGCTGATGCATCTTAAGGAGGCAGGTTTGTGGGAGATAGAAGGGATCTGCTACTTAAAAGCCCCTCGAAGTCCAGCTACCATGCAAAGGCCACTTACTAGAGCCCTTTTATTATAAAGCGACTATAGCTGTATGTCACAAATTTCTTTTTAAAAGCCCGGAAGAAAAATGTTCAGCTCTTCACATTGATTGCTTCAGCTAATGGATTACAGGGAATCATCTGTTCTCCCTCAGACATTCCTATTTTTTCAATTAAATTATAAATGATAAAGGTAATACATCTATAAATGCTTGGTGTAAGGTTCCAACGAAACAAGGTATATGGGATAAAAACTGGAGACTGCCTTTCTCACCTCCAGTCCCATAGCGACTCCCCCAGCCATGAGCGACGGCTGGTATCAGTTTGGTGCAGAGAACTTAGATGGGGTTTCTGTTTTGTTTTAAATAAGTTTAAAGAGTGAATCTCTTCACGCCTGTATCCAGCACTTTGGGAGGCTGAGGCTGGTGGATCACGACATCAGGAGATCAGACCATCCTGGCTAACACAGTGAAACCCCGTCTCTACTAAAAATACAAAAAATTAGCCGAGCATAGTGGTGGGTGCCTGTAGTCCCAGCTATTCGGGAGGCTGAGGCAGGAGAATGGCATGAACCCGGGAGGCGGAGTTTGCAGTGAGCCAAGATCGTGCCACTGCACTCCAGCCTGGGTGACAGAGCGAGACTCCATCTCAAAAAAAAAAAAAAAAAAAAAAGAGTGAATCTCACATGGGCTGGGGAGCACAGAAAATTCTTGCGGAGGATGGTTGCCCGAGAGAGTCAGGGCAAGCATAATGTTTTGTTTTAAATAAGTTTAAAGAGTGAACCTCGGCCGGGCACGGTAGCTCATGCCTGTAATCCCAGCACTTTGGGAGGCCGAGGTGGGCAGACCATGAGGTCAGGAGTTCGAGACCATCCTGGCCAACATGGTGAAACCCCGTCTCTACTAAAAATACAAAAATTAGCCGGGCGTGGTGGAAGATGCCTGTTATCCCAGCTACTCAGGAGGCTGAGGCAGGAGAATTGCTTGAACCCGGGAGGCGGAGGTTGCAATGAGCCAAGATCGCACCACTGCACCCCAGCGTAGGCAACAGAGCTAGACTCCATCTTGGAGGAAGGAAAAAAAAAACAAAGTGAATCTGACATGGGCCAGGGAGCACAGAAAGTTCTTGCGGATGATGGTTGCCCTAGAGAGTCAGGGCAAGCGTTGCAACATCAGACAGGGGCCTCTGGGACCTGGTCCTTGCACCATAGTCTTGCTCCTGCATTCCTGGAAATGTCCCAAGAAGACCAGGCTCTCCTCTCACCCAGAAACACCTTCCCCTGACAGTCAACTGTGTACAAGGGCACCCTCTTGCCACTTCCTTGAGGAACATAAAATTCAAACCAAATTGAGAAATTTGTGGAAGAAAAGCCTCTATCCAGTGAAAAACAAGTGGGGAAACTTTGAAAACACCAGCACATACGAAGGCAGGAACGAGGGCTCATCTGCTTCTGGCGACCCAGCCTCCAATCTGCCCTTTGCACTAGGGAACATTCCCACTGCGGAGGTGAGAGCATTCCCACTGGGGAGATGAGAACATTCCCACTGGGGAGGTGAGAGCATTCCCACTGGGGAGGTGAACATTCCCACTGGGGAGGTGAGAACATTCCCACTGGGGAGGTGAGAGCATTCCCACTGGGGAGGGGAACATTCCCACTGGGGAGGGAGCATTCCCACTAGGGAGGTGAACATTCCCACTGGGGAGGTGAGAACATTCCCACTGGGGAGGTGAGAACATTCCCACTGGGGAGGTGAACATTCCCACTGGGGAGGTGAGAACATTCCCACTGGGGAGGTGAGAACATTCCCACTGGGGAGGTGAGAGCATTCCCACTGGGGAGGGGAACATTCCCACTGGGGAGGTGAGAGCATTCCCACTGGGGAGGGGAACATTCCCACTGGGGAGGTGAGAGCATTCCCACTGGAGAGGTGAGAGCATTCCCACTGGAGAGGTGAGAGCATTCCCACTGGGGAGGGAGCATTCCCACTAGGGAGGTGAACATTCCCACTGGGGAGGTGAGAGCATTCCCACTGGGGAGGGGAGAGCATTCCCACTGGCGAGGTGAGAGCATTCCCACTGGGGAGGTGAGAGCATTCCCACTGGGGAGGTGAGAGCATTCCTACTGGGGCAGAGAGCAGATTGGAGGCTGGGACTTCCCAAAGCCCCCAACAGATGGATGAGTTCTGGGAAGACTGTGGGGGTCTGGTTTTACAGGTGAGAGCAAATCACACTTGCTTATTATTAGATCCAGGTTCAATCCCATTACCCAGATTTTCCAGCATCCGTGGTGCCTCTTCACCGGATATCTCGCTACAGCCACCGGTCCTCCAAATGGCTTACCACGAAGGAAAGGGGCTCTGTCTGAGGCTTCTGGCTGAGACCTGTGTTCATCTGGCACTTTCCAAAGGCAGTTTAGCCCCCCATTCCCAGGGGGTCCCCCAGCCATCTGGTCTGGTCAGCCCCAGTGTCCCAGGCTCCCAGCCACCTGGCCCTGGGGCTTCCACGTCTAGCCCCATCCCAGGAGCACCCTCCCTCTTCCAGGCCTGTGTGGTTGCCATGGCGACCCAGTCAGCTGACCCAGTGAGGAGGCAAAGCCCAGGCTGCCTTCTTCTCCCTGGCTCAGGAGTGGGTGGACCCAGTGGGGCCTCCACAGCAAGGGCTGCTTTTGAAGCACCTTCAGAATTCACTCCCCCAGTGCCTAAACCCTGTGTTTAAATTATAGGTAGGGAGCGGGCACAGTGGCTCACGCCTGTAATCCCAGCACTTTGGGAGGCCGAGGCGGGCGGACCATCTGAGGTCAGGAGTTCAAGACCAGCCTGGACAACGTGGTGAAACCCCGTCTCTACTAAAAATACAAAAATTAGCCGGGCGTGGTGGTGCATGCCTGTAGTCCCACCTACTTGGGAGGCTGAGGCAGGAGAATCGCTCGAACCCGGGAGGCGGAGGCTATGGTGAGCCAAGATCTCGCCATTGCACTCCAGCCTGGGCAAGGGTGAAACTCTATCTCAAAACAACAACATCAAAAATTATAGGCAGGAAAAAAATGGGAGAGAGAGAAACTGGACACCTTAATGCCTCACAATGGGAGAAAGGATAAGTAAATAAATAAGTTATCATGTATATGCATTATCCAGCCGTCTTAAAAGGATGTTTACAGATAATTTTTTGTATACAGAGTTTTTAATAACGGAAATACTTGGGTTTGCAAATCTAAAACTTAGCTTTACAAGAAAATATTTCTCAAAGAAGGGGCTTGGCAACCCATCGAATTTAGGAAATACTGCATAATCCACCCTTTCTTGGAGGTACATGGTGCACGTGGGTGTATGAAGGTCTCTGAGAAATCTTACTGTCATGCTCCGTTTAGCTCGACGTAATTCACGGTTTTCCTGACTGTCTGATGACAGCGTGTAGCTCGATGTCATTCCGTTTTCCTGATCTGTCTGATGACAGCGTGTAGCTCGATGTCATTCCGTTTTCCTGATCTGTCTGATGACAGCGTGTAGCTCGATGTCATTCCGTTTTCCTGATCTGTCTGATGACAGCGTGTAGCTCGATGTCATTCCGTTTTCCTGATCTGTCTGATGACAGCGTGTAGCTCGATGTCATTCCGTTTTCCTGATCTGTCTGATGACAGCGTGTAGCTCGATGTCATTCCGTTTTCCTGATCTGTCTGATGACAGCGTGTAGCTCGATGTCATTCCGTTTTCCTGATCTGTCTGATGACAGCGTGTAGCTCGATGTCATTCCGTTTTCCTGATCTGTCTGATGACAGCGTGTAGCTCGATGTCATTCCGTTTTCCTGATCTGTCTGATGACAGCGTGTAGCTCGATGTCATTCCGTTTTCCTGATCTGTCTGATGACAGCGTGTAGCTCGATGTCATTCCGTTTTCCTGATCTGTCTGATGACAGCGTGTAGCTCGATGTCATTCCGTTTTCCTGATCTGTCTGATGACAGCGTGTAGCTCGATGTCATTCCGTTTTCCTGATCTGTCTGATGACAGCGTGTAGCTCGATGTCATTCCGTTTCCCTGATCTGTCTGATGACAGCGTGTAGCTCGATGTCATTCCGTTTTCCTGATCTGTCTGATGACAGCGTGTAGCTCGATGTCATTCCGTTTTCCTGATCTGTCTGATGACAGCGTGTAGCTCGATGTCATTCCGTTTTCCTGATCTGTCTGATGACAGCGTGTAGCTCGATGTCATTCCGTTTCCCTGATCTGTCTGATGACAGCGTGTAGCTCGATGTCATTCCGTTTTCCTGATCTGTCTGATGACAGCGTGTAGCTCGATGTCATTCCGTTTTCCTGATCTGTCTGATGACAGCGTGTAGCTCGATGTCATTCCGTTTTCCTGATCTGTCTGATGACAGCGTGTAGCTCGATGTCATTCCGTTTTCCTGATCTGTCTGATGACAGCGTGTAGCTCGATGTCATTCCGTTTTCCTGATCTGTCTGATGACAGCGTGTAGCTCGATGTCATTCCGTTTTCCTGATCTGTCTGATGACAGCGTGTAGCTCGATGTCATTCCGTTTCCCTGATCTGTCTGATGACAGCGTGTAGCTCGATGTCATTCCGTTTTCCTGATCTGTCTGATGACAGCGTGTAGCTCGATGTCATTCCGTTTTCCTGATCTGTCTGATGACAGCGTGTAGCTCGATGTCATTCCGTTTCCCTGATCTGTCTGATGACAGCGTGTAGCTCGATGTCATTCCGTTTTCCTGATCTGTCTGATGACAGCGTGTAGCTCGATGTCATTCCGTTTTCCTGATCTGTCTGATGACAGCGTGTAGCTCGATGTCATTCCGTTTTCCTGATCTGTCTGATGACAGCGTGTAGCTCGATGTCATTCCGTTTTCCTGATCTGTCTGATGACAGCGTGTAGCTCGATGTCATTCCGTTTCCCTGATCTGTCTGATGACAGCGTGTAGCTCGATGTCATTCCGTTTTCCTGATCTGTCTGATGACAGCGTGTAGCTCGATGTCATTCCGTTTCCCTGATCTGTCTGATGACAGCGTGTAGCTCGATGTCATTCCGTTTTCCTGATCTGTCTGATGACAGCGTGTAGCTCGATGTCATTCCGTTTTCCTGATCTGTCTGATGACAGCGTGTAGCTCGATGTCATTCCGTTTTCCTGATCTGTCTGATGACAGCGTGTAGCTCGATGTCATTCCGTTTTCCTGATCTGTCTGATGACAGCGTGTAGCTCGATGTCATTCCGTTTTCCTGATCTGTCTGATGACAGCGTGTAGCTCGATGTCATTCCGTTTTCCTGATCTGTCTGATGACAGCGTGTAGCTCGATGTCATTCCGTTTTCCTGATCTGTCTGATGACAGCGTGTAGCTCGATGTCATTCCGTTTTCCTGATCTGTCTGATGACAGCGTGTAGCTCGATGTCATTCCGTTTTCCTGATCTGTCTGATGACAGCGTGTAGCTCGATGTCATTCCGTTTTCCTGATCTGTCTGATGACAGCGTGTAGCTCGATGTCATTCCGTTTTCCTGATCTGTCTGATGACAGCGTGTAGCTCGATGTCATTCCGTTTTCCTGATCTGTCTGATGACAGCGTGTAGCTCGATGTCATTCCGTTTTCCTGATCTGTCTGATGACAGCGTGTAGCTCGATGTCATTCCGTTTTCCTGATCTGTCTGATGACAGCGTGTAGCTCGATGTCATTCCGTTTTCCTGATCTGTCTGATGACAGCGTGTAGCTCGATGTCATTCCGTTTTCCTGATCTGTCTGATGACAGCGTGTAGCTCGATGTCATTCCGTTTTCCTGATCTGTCTGATGACAGCGTGTAGCTCGATGTCATTCCGTTTTCCTGATCTGTCTGATGACAGCGTGTAGCTCGATGTCATTCCGTTTTCCTGATCTGTCTGATGACAGCGTGTAGCTCGATGTCATTCCGTTTCCCTGATCTGTCTGATGACAGCGTGTAGCTCGATGTCATTCCGTTTTCCTGATCTGTCTGATGACAGCGTGTAGCTCGATGTCATTCCGTTTCCCTGATCTGTCTGATGACAGCGTGTAGCTCGATGTCATTCCGTTTTCCTGATCTGTCTGATGACAGCGTGTAGCTCGATGTCATTCCGTTTTCCTGATCTGTCTGATGACAGCGTGTAGCTCGATGTCATTCCGTTTTCCTGATCTGTCTGATGACAGCGTGTAGCTCGATGTCATTCCGTTTCCCTGATCTGTCTGATGACAGCGTGTAGCTCGATGTCATTCCGTTTTCCTGATCTGTCTGATGACAGCGTGTAGCTCGATGTCATTCCGTTTTCCTGATCTGTCTGATGACAGCGTGTAGCTCGATGTCATTCCGTTTCCCTGATCTGTCTGATGACAGCGTGTAGCTCGATGTCATTCCGTTTTCCTGATCTGTCTGATGACAGCGTGTAGCTCGATGTCATTCCGTTTTCCTGATCTGTCTGATGACAGCGTGTAGCTCGATGTCATTCCGTTTTCCTGATCTGTCTGATGACAGCGTGTAGCTCGATGTCATTCCGTTTTCCTGATCTGTCTGATGACAGCGTGTAGCTCGATGTCATTCCGTTTTCCTGATCTGTCTGATGACAGCGTGTAGCTCGATGTCATTCCGTTTTCCTGATCTGTCTGATGACAGCGTGTAGCTCGATGTCATTCCGTTTCCCTGATCTGTCTGATGACAGCGTGTAGCTCGATGTCATTCCGTTTTCCTGATCTGTCTGATGACAGCGTGTAGCTCGATGTCATTCCGTTTTCCTGATCTGTCTGATGACAGCGTGTAGCTCGATGTCATTCCGTTTTCCTGATCTGTCTGATGACAGCGTGTAGCTCGATGTCATTCCGTTTTCCTGATCTGTCTGATGACAGCGTGTAGCTCGATGTCATTCCGTTTTCCTGATCTGTCTGATGACAGCGTGTAGCTCGATGTCATTCCGTTTTCCTGATCTGTCTGATGACACAGCCCTTCTCCAGAGAACCCCTTTTGGCATCTCCAGGGCTGAGACGTGTCACTCTGCCTCCTTGTCCCCTGTAGAGGTGGCCACTGTGCGTCCAGCTGACGGTTGCCACCCACACCTTCCTGGAGGCTGCAGGAGATCCTTTTCCTGCCTGCCGTGCCCGCCCCTGATGCCCGCTCTGTCGTGAGAGTTTTCAGTAACAGCTTGGATGACTGGACTGAATTGGAGTCCATGCTTGTTTCTAAGTTAGATACTAATTATTTGACTTTTCTCCCCTTCTTTTTCTTTTTTTTCTTTTCTTTTTTTGGGACAGGGTCTTGCTCCATTGCCCAGGCTGGAGTGCAGTGGTGCAATCATGGCTCACTGCAACCTCCTCCTCCCAGGCCCAAGCGATCCTCCCTCCTCAGCCTCCAAAAGCACTGGGATTACAGGCATGAGCCACCATTCCTGGCCTCCTCCTCCTCCTTCTTCTTTTTTTTTTTTTTTAGACGGAGTCTCGCTCTGTCGCCCAGGCTGGAGTGCAGTGGCGAGATCTCAGCTCACTGCAAGCCCCGCCTCCCGGGTTCACGCCATTCTCCTGCCTCAGCCTCCCGAGTAGCTGTGACTACAGGCGCCCAGCACTACGCCCCACTAATGTTTTGTATTTTTAGTAGAGATGGGGTTTCACCGTGTTAGCCAGGATGATCTTGAAGTCCTGGCCTCTGGATCTGCCCACCTCGGCCTCCCAAAGTGCTGGGATTACAGGCGTGAGCCACCGGGCCCGGCCTCCTTCTTTTAATGGTGTTTATCATAGGAAATGAGAAATAAATCAACCCCACCACTGTCATTAATCTACCTGCTGGAAGGGATTAATCACCGAATGGTCCCAAGTCGGTGCCTCCCTGACCCTGTGCATGATGAGCCCAGCGCTTGCCCTCCTGACCCTGCCCCACGCCTGCCATCGGCCTGGCTCCAGCTGGACACCTTCACCCCTTCCACACCTGGACCACTCCGGCAGAACTCCGTGGAGATGTCACTTCCTCAGGCAGAGCTTCCCTGATTCCCTCCATCACATACTTTCAGGACAATTCCTAATCAGTATCACATATTGTAAGGATGTATCCATTTTTTATTCTCTCCAGGCACTAAACTAAAAGTTCCCAAAACACAGCACAGTGTCTGCTACATAGTAGGCATTCAACGACTGTTCATTCAGTAAACAAACTATAACTTGACACTTTTTTTTTTTTGAGACAGAGTCTTGCTCTGTCGCCCAGGTTGGAGTGCAGTGGTGCAATCTCGGCTCACTGCAAGCTCTGCCTCCCGGGTTCATGCCATTCTCCTGCCTCAGCCTCCTGGATACCTTATTCTTAATTTGCTGATACCTTGATAGTGCACATCTAGTTGAAACACTGGCTGCTCCGCAGTATCCATTCTTTTCCTAACAGAACCGCGGTTTGCCTTGGGGCATCCGTGTGCTCCGCTGAAAGGAAGGAATTTCCCAGCCTCCTCTGCAGCTAGTGGTGGTTGTATGGCACAGTCGTGGTCCAAGAATATAAAGCAAAGTCACTGGACAGGAACTCCTGGAAAGCTCTTTAAAGGGGACCTGTTGGTCCGAGTGCAATGGTGTTTACAATGAATTGGTCACAACCAGTCACATTTTTCTTTCTTTCTTTTCTTTTCTTTTTTTTTTTTTAATTGAGACAGAGCCCTGCTCTGTTGCCCAGGCTGGAGTGCAGTGGTGCAATCTCTGATCTCTGCTCACTGCAACCTCTGCCTCCCAGATTCAAGTGATTCTCCTGCCTCAGCCTCCCGAGTAGCTGGGATTACAGGCACGCGCCACCATGCCTGGCTAATTTTGTATTTTTAGTAGAGACGGCATTTCACCATGTTGGCCAGGCTGGTCTCCATCTCTTCACCTTCTGATCTGCCCACCTTGGCCTCCCAAAGTGCTGGGATGACAGGTGTGAGCCACCGTGCCCAGTAATTCTGGATAATTGTTTTGATTATCTTCCTACCTCCACTCCTACCCCTCCCTGGCGGCCCCACCCAGAGATACCCCAGATAGGGCATCACCCACCCTGGCCCGCACCCTCTCCCCTGAAGTTCTGACCACCTCCACCCTAAGCAGGCCCGTCAGTTACCCACCAATCTCCCCTTCCCAAGACCTTGGCAGCAGTGAAAGAAGCCATTTACTATAAACAATATCAGCGACAGCATCAACTTGTGTTTATGGAACTCATGCTGCAGTCAGGACCAGGCCGGCTTCTTCTCACCATAAACACGATCCACCTGATACACTGTTTCCATTCGACCCATGAAGAGGTGGAGGCGCAAAGAAGTTCAAGGGCCGGACACCCTGGCTCAGGCCTGTAATCCCAGCACTTAGGGAGGCTGAGGCGGGTGGATCACTTGAGGTTAGGAGTTTGAGACCAGCCTGGCCAACATGGTGAAACCCCGTCTCTAGTAAAAATACAAAAAAAAAAAATTAGCCGGGTGTGGTGCAGAAGCCTGTAGTCCCAGCTACTCGGGAGGTTGAAGCAGGGGAATCGCTTGAACCTGGGAGGCAGAGGTTGCAGTGAGCTGAGATCATACCGCTGCACTCCAGCCTGGCGATAGAGTGAGACTCTTTCTCAAAAAGAAAAAAAAAAGATGTTTAAGGATTCAGCATTTGAACTCCGGCTGCCTGACTCTGAGTCCCAGATGGCCAGGAGCACAGTGAGGATGGCCAGCCTGGTCCAGGGGCTGCAGGCAGCTCCATCCTGATGACATGGGTCGTTGCAATTCCAAAGCTGTGGGGCCTTTCCTGGGCCTGCCTTGTGGGCAGGAGGAGAAGCTTGAGATTCCGTACAGCCTCCCCCACAGAAGCACAGTAAGCAAAGAGGAGCCAACCCTGAGGGGCGAGGCGGGGAGGAGCTGGGCTGCACCTCGGCTCGCAATCTTCTGTGCTTCCTCGCTCTGATTAATTATTCATACCCACGACCAGGCAGCAGATCAATAATGCAGGAGCAGAAGCCCTGGCTGCCCCGCTTCCAGCTGACCGGCTGTGCTGCCACCTCCGGGAAAGGACCCCAACAAGGCGTAGCGGGCAGGTCTGCCCAGGACGGCCTCGCAGACTGTGCCCTGCTCAGGCAGTGCCCAGGACCTCTGAAATCCAACTACCCTCAGCACACCAGGCTGGGCGTCCAGCCGCAAACATCCCAGGAAGGGGAGGCGTTTGCAGTTTTCATGTTTTTGTCTGTATAGGAGGGCCCACTTTGCAGTCAGCACAAAGGCAGCATATGAACCTGGGCCAACTCCGGGAGCAGGAATTCCTGCCCCAGGACAGGGGTGCAAGAGGCCTCACAGCTTCCCAGGGTCCCTGCCCCCTCCTGCTTCCTCCAGGCCTAGAGTCTGGGGATGGAGACCAGGGAGAACCCAGGGTGTTGATTTTGGTTGTGAGTAGAAGTTTCCATCCAAGCAGCTCTGAGACACCCACTTGGCTCTCCTTCAACCCTGGGAAGGTTCTAGAAGGTCCAACATCCCCCAGAATTGCACTTTTGGGCCACGCCCACCCTGCCCTTCCAACTTCCTCCCCCCCACACAAAGGTGGTCTTCTCCACCTGGGCCACAGCCTCACTGTGACCACGCTGGATGTGGGTGCCGGCCTCTTCTGCTGTGAGACCCCCTTCCACACTTATCTGGGGTTTCTCTTATCCTTCTCTTGGTTTCTCAGTATTGCCTAGATGTTCTCAGTTTGTTACAATAAATTCTAGGATGAAGAAAGAAAGGAAGAGAGGGAGGGAGACAGAGGGATGGAGGATTATTCTTTTAGAGGTGAGATAAAGGCCCCACTGGCAGGTTTCAAGCCTGTAAGTGCCTCTCAGCTCCGTGGCTCTGCCTTTCTGGGACTGCAGGAAAGCCGGCCGGCCCCAAGGAACGCTGAGAGTGGAAGCTGCCTCAGGCATCTGATCAGAGCTGGTCCAACTTTCTTTCCTTCTTTCTTTCTTTCATTTTTGAGACAGACTCTTGCTCTGTCACCCAGGCTGGAGTGCAATGGTGCGATCTCAGCTCACTGCAACCTCTGCCTCCCGGGTTCAAGTGATTCTCCTGCCTCAGCCTCCTGAGTAGCTGGGATTACAGGCGCCTGCCACCATGCCTGGCTAATTTTTGTATTTTTAGTAGAGATGGGGTTTCACCATATTGGCCAGGCTGGTTTCGAACTCCTGACCTCGTGATCTGCCCGCCTCAGCCTCCCAAAGTGCTGGGATTACAGGGCTAGCGACTCTTCTGGCCTGGTCCAACTTTAAATTGCATACAAAGCACCTGAGGATCCTGTTAAAGGGCTGATTCTGATTGATAAGGCTAGGGTATGGCCTGAGCTTTCTGACAGCTCCAGGTGATGCCCATGCTGATGGTCCGGGGACCACACTTTGAGTAGCAAAAGCCTCTAGAGTCCAGACCGGTGGGGCCCAGGCTTGAGTGTCCATTGGGATCACCTGGAAGGCTTTTAAAACTCTGGTGTGCAAGCTGCACCCAGACCAATTAAGCCAGATTCACTAGCAGTGGCACCCAGGTAGTAGAATATTTTTTTTTTTTGAGACAGAGTCTCACTGTGTCGCTCAGGCTGGAGTATAATGGTGCGATCTCAGCTCACTGCAACCTCCACCTCCTGAATTCAAGTGATTCTCCTGCCTCAGCCTCCCAAGTAGCTGGGATTACAGGTACCCTCCACCATGCCCGGCTAATTTTTGTATTTTTAGTAGAAGACGGGGTTTTGCCATGTTGGCCAGGCTAATCTCGAACCCCTGACCATCCGCTCGCCTCGGCCTCCCAAAGTGCTGGCATTGCAGGTGTGAGCCACTGTGCCTGGCCGGTAGTAGGATTTTTTAAACATCTCAGGTGATTCCAGTGTGGCCAGGCCTGAAAAGCCTGCTCCAGACTGAGTCCCTCCTTTACACAGGGAGACTGAGGTTCAGAGGGAGGCCGTGGGCTGCCGGAGGTCACACAGCCAATGCCTGAAAGGCCTGGGACGGGGCCAGGTGCTCCTGGTTCCTGGACACAGGGGGCCGTCTCCTCTTTTGCATCAAGGAACGGGAAGGAGGCGAGGTAGGCCTGGGGCTGGAGGAGATCAGAATGTCGCGGTCAGCCTGGGGTGCCCAGAGCCTCCCAGATTGTGGGATGGGAGGAGCTGCCTGCTGAGCCCCAGGACGCGGCCTTCTGTGTGTCCAGCTCTCTGTCGGGCCTCCCACAGCCCATGGGCCTGCAGAGATCATGGACCTGTTTACCGACAGGGCGCCAGAGCCCCGGGTCCCAGAAGCACGTCTGTCATCGAAGCCTCCGCACGGTGAGACCCCCCTTTCCTCTTTTACTGATTGCAAAACACGTGCCCTCCTCCCAACCTGCTTTTAAACTTCTGAAATTGGTGTCCGACAAATGATCCCAAAGAAACTTCCAGGCCCCGATGCCAGGCCCCGATGCCTGCTGTGAAGGGGCGTGGACTTTCAGGCCCCCGATGCCTGCTGTAAAGGGGCCTGGCTGTCGCTGACAGAGGGTGTGTAGAAGGGTCCGGCTCACCTGAGTGTGGCTGTTGCTGACGTTACACTGGTGGCATTTCACCTTAATAATCACCTCCAGGTGGCTGGGCGCCGTGGCTCATGCCTGTAATCCCAGCACTTTGGGAGGCCGAGGCAGGTGGACCACCTGAGGTCAGGAGTTTGAGACCAGCCTGGCCAATATGGTGAAACCCCATCTCTAAAATGACAAAAATTAGCCAGGTGTGGTGGCGGGCACCTATAATCCCAGCTACTTGGGAGGCTGAGGCAGGAGAATCGCTTGAACCTGGGAAGGCAGAGGTTGCAGTGAGCCGAGATCACGCCACTGCACTCCAGCCTGGACAACGAGAGCGAAACTCTGTCTCAAAAAACAAAACAAAACAAAAGTGTGTAAGGACACATGTACATCATATTTTTCAGTTCAATCAATGTTCGTTTTGAAGCTTGTCAGCTTCAACATATTGGTCAGGCTGGTCTCAAACTGGTGGCCTCAGGTGATCCGCCCGCCTCAGCCTCCCAAAGTGCTGGGAGCAGTTACAGGGTGTGGAAACAGTCAGCTCCCTTGGCAGAGCCCGCAGGCTTTTATGGTCTGGAGAGGCCCCTGTCACCGAGGCACGCTTCTCAAGGACTGTCCTGCTCTACTGGCTCCTGACTGTATGACCTTGGCTAAGCCCCTGGATCGCCTGAGTTTTATTTCTTCCCAGGAAAATGGGAGGATCCCTCGTGGAAGTGTTGTGAGGATTAAATGAGGTAATTCCAGCGGAGCAGGGAGCCCCGCGCCTGGCACACAGGAAGCGGCGCCGTGGCCTCCAGTCTGGATGGAAGGAGCTTCCGCTCACAGGGATCCTGCAACCTGGGAGGCTCCTGGTTGCTGGGGCCCCTCCCTCCCTCCTTCTACAGACTTGTCCTCAGCACCTGCTACGTGCCAGGCTCTGTACTGAACCCTGGGGACGCAGACACTTAGGGCAGGCTTCCTGGACCATGTGACTCCGACCTAAAGAAAACGCTCTAGGAAGGCAGAGAGTTGGTTGTTGGGGGTGGCAGTGAGTGTCCCAGTAGTGAGGCCAGCAGGGTGGGGAACCTGGTGGTCTAGGGACTGTCCCAGGAGGTCTGGGAGCCAGGAGCAGGAACATGGCTCAGCTCACTGCAGCTCCAACTTCTCTGACTCAAGTGATCTTCCCACCTCAGCTTCCTGAGTAGCTGGGACCTCAGGCGTGCAGCACCACGCCTGGCTGATTTTTAAATGTTTTCTAGAGACAGAGTCTCCTCATGTTGCAGGCTGGTCTCGAACTCTTGCCTGCCCTCTTCTCTCCAGGCCTGAGATCTATGCAGAAAGGACTGAAGGGAGATGAGACTGGCATTACCACTTATTTTACAGTTGGACAAACTGAGTCCCGGAGTGGACAAGTGACTTGCCCAGAGGAACGCCTTGAGTTGGCCACGGAGCCCCGATGTGCCAGGTTCCCAGTGCGCAGCCTCAGCCTGACCCTGGGGCCACAGGCGGAGTGGACTGCTCACCCCCGGATTGTTTGGAACCCCCTTGACCCCAGCAGCACAAACACATAGGCCAGAGGCGAGCACGTACATTCAGGTTTATTTATTTCCATGCTAAGACACACAGCGGCGTCACTGGTGTAGATGGTGAAGGCAGTGTGGGGTGGGTCTTGCTACTCCCTGTGGGACACAGGGAGAGGCTGGGTTAGTGCGTTAAGCCGGGCCACTGTGTTCATGCAGGTGGCGGCTAGAACCAAGATGGAGCCGGGACAGCAGGGCCACTGACCCCTCTGGCCTCCAGGCGGCGTGGGGCACGGGCTGTGGGGACCCTCCGTCCAGGTCCCCTGGTGTCCAGAATGGCTTTCTCCTCCAGGGCCCAAGCCCTTCTCCTGCTCTGTGCTCTGCGGGCCTCCGCCTCCTACACACACCTCGGGGGCCTCTGAGCTCTGTCCCTGGTGCCCTAGGAAACTCTCAAGTTATCCTCGCCTGCCTGGAAGAGCGCCCTGGCTGTGCTGTGCCCATTCCAGGGGCATCTGCAGTGGCTTCCCCTAAGCGGTGGCTGTGGCTGTCCTGGGTTCTGAGTGTGAACAAGCGTGTGTGTGTGTGTGTGTGTGTGTAGGAGTGCACGGCAGAGCCTATTTGTGTGGGTGTGAGAAGGTCTGGGCATGTGTGGCACTCCGAGGGCACCTAGAGTCCCTTCGGGTGTCATGTTCCTCCCGTGACAATCCCTCAACCATCGGTTCGTTTCTGTCCTCTCCCTGGGTTGCTGAGGCTGAGGACCCCGGGGGCCTGCCGGGAAAACGCCCACTCATCATCCCTCCTTCCAGAGCCAGAGCCTGTGCGTGGCCAGTTCCATCGACCTCGCCTCTCCCCTGTGTGACGTGACTTCACGAGGGACAGAAATACTCCGTGCTCACACCCTCCCCCAGCAAACAGGAGCATCTGTTTTGGTCTCAAAGATCCCATAAAGCAAACCCAACCAGTCCCTTCTGTATGAGCAGGAGAGGCTGGAGTTTATTCCCCAGGTGGGGACTGACGTAGGAACACCAGCCCCAAAGGACCAGCCCGGGCCCCCTGAGCCCTGCACCCCTGCCCTCTAGCAGTCACACGGGCTGTGGAAGGCTCAGAGCTCCAGCTGTGCATAGACCCAGGGCCCCTCCCTGTAGACAGAACCTCTGTACTGACCTGCTCTTCCCTTCCCCGGGCCTCTGAGGAGGGTGGGGAGGCGAACAAGGGCCTGGAGAGGAGGCAGGAGGGTCCTGATGGGACAAAGGATGCTGACTTCAACAGCTTTGGGCCACTCTGGGTGTGGCTGGGAGCCCTTCCCATGAAGGCATTGACTCTGGCTGTGAGGTGGGGCTGCCCAGGGCAGGAAAGCCTGGAGGTCTCCAGGGCCTGGGAGCTGCGGTCAGGAGGGTGGGCGGGGGCAGGAGAGGTGCCTGTGGCTGGAGCCTGGGCCAGGGAGAAGTGTAGGGAAAATCATGGGCCTGGAACGAAGGAAGAGGCCGAGGGCCCCACTTGGCTCCTTTCGGGGGTCCCATTAGGTCCTAAGATGAGAGGCCGTGGCGTCCAGGCCCCAGGCTCTGTACATGCAAGTGTATTCCCAAACCTGGTCCCCCGACTCTCCTGCAGACGGGGTCCTTCAGCTGAGCCCTTCCCTCGGTCTCAGGACGGTCAAACAACAGACCCCCATAAAAACTCTCTGACCCACGCCCTTGCAGGTGGCGCAAACGCCCCTGACAGCCTGGGACCCTTTGGGAAGTCCCCCCAGGGGTGGTCCCAAAGCCTCCTCCAGGGAAGGCCTCTGCTGTTTGTGGATGGCCAGGGGCCCAGGGCCAAGCACAGAGCATAGGGCTGGGCTGGAAGCCTGAAACTACCTAAGCAGCACCAGACGGAGCCCCAAGCTTGCACCCCAGGCCATCGCGGGGGCCACGGCAGGACGAGAGCTCAGACCTCGGCCCTCCCCGCTGGCTGACCTTGGCCAGGTCTGGTCCCAGGCTACAGCAGAAGTAGGAGGAAGAGGCAGACTGGCTTGTCCTGGGAGACATCCTGGGACCAGAGTCCTCGAGAGATGCTTCCGAAGCTGACAGGTGTGGGAAGAGGCGTGCGGGTCCTGCCATCCTGGTACCTGTCTTCACAGACACGCCTCTCGGCGCCACCACCTTGCAGCGGAGGATGTTAAGTGAGGCAGTTGCCTCCTTCCCGGGAGCTGCACCCCCCACAGGTGCCTGCCGGGGGAGGTCCCAGGCCTGTGCTGAGCACAGCTCCGCCTCTGCGCTCGGGGCCCTGGCTGGGATCACCGCGGGCGTGTGGCACGAAGCATGCAAACAGTCCATTCTTTCCCCGCTTGAGGAAAACACAAAAGATGGGGCCCCACGTCTTTGCTCCGAGTCCACAGACAGGAAGGAGCTCTGCTGCGTCTCTCCCCGCCAGCGTGTGTCTCGTTTGTGGGGCTGGGTTTTTTCCTCATTCATCCTGGCAGTTTTCGCTGCTTGGTGGAACCCAGGAAATTGTGGGAATGAGAAACAAGCCAGACTGCTGGGGTTGAGATCCCAGGACGCGTCCGGGAGAGTAAACCACGTTACCCATTGGGTTCGCTGTGCTTTCCTTCCTCGCTCCAGGCTTTCTTGTCAGATGGGAGCTGACAGTGGGTGACTGGGGGGTTTCCCTTTGAGTCTGTGCTTTTGGAACTTGGGGACAGGGGATGCTTGACAGTCAGCACCCTGGCCTCCCGCGGTGTGCAGGTCAGAGCTCTCCCGATGGCCAGGGCCGGCCTCTGCTAGCCCAGCTCCCTGCTTAAGTTTATTTCTTCTGAACTGTAAAGAAAAAAAACAGATATGGCAGAACAGGGCTCAGAACACTGGCTCTTCAAGTCCCTGACTGGAGGATTTGGGTTTCTGGTTCCCAGTGGGAAGTGGTAATAGGGATAAGGGGAGAAGGCTAAGGCTTGGGAACCTCTTTGGTTTGGAGCTCTTGGAGTAACTGAACTCCTGCCAGTAAGAGGACTGTGGCCTCAGTGACTGGCTCAGGTGGCACTGGGTCAGAGGTGGGCATGCAACCCTAGCTGAGCCAATCTGAATCAGTCCTGAGACTTTTGCTATCTAACTGTTGAGACTTCTTTCCCTGCTTAGTTACTGGACTGATTAAAATGTGCACCACTCTGGTCGGCTGCGGCAGCTCACGCCTGTCATCCCAGCACTTTGGGAGGCAGAGGCGGGCAGATCACCTGAGGTCAGGAGTTCGAGGCCAGCCTGACCAACGTGGTGAAACCCTATCGCTACTACAAATAACAAAAATTAACCGGGCGTGGTGGCACGTGCCTGTATTCCCAGCTACTCAGGAGGCTGAGGCAGGAGATTCGCTTGAACCTGGGAGACAGAGGTTGCAGTGAGCCGAGATTGTGCCATTGCACTCTAGCCTGGGCGACAGAGCAAGACTCTGTCTGGGGAAAAAAAAAAAAAAAAAAAAAAAAAAGTCCTGGCTAAAATAACAAGCAGCAGCAGGATGGAGACCAAGGCGTCATTTGGTGAGACGGAGGCTAATGTCCTGGGCTGGTGGGCTCCTGCCTTGCACGTACCTGCATGTCAATCAGACTCACTCATGGAGGAAACTGTCACACACGCTCCAATTCACACAGTGAGAAAGTGTGGGACCTGGATTCTGAAGCCGGGCACGCTGATTCCAAACCCGAACGCTTCCCTCTCCTAAGTGGCCAAGGTTGCTGGCGGCCCCACAGCTGAACCCCAGGCTTTCGGTCCCAAGCTCAAGTTGGGCACCCCACACTCTAGACCAGTGCCTCCCAACGTTGACGGTTGGGCTGGGAGTCTTATTAAAGTCCAGATTCCAATCCGGTTCAGGGATGGAGCCTGGAGTTCTGCGTTTCTGACACATTCCTCGATAATCCCGTCACAGGTCCAGGGAGCACAGTTTGAGCAGCGAGGTCTTTAGGGGAAAAGCTTAGGGTTCATTGAAATGGGCAGAGATCCTTGGGGACTTCCTGATGTACGTGTATGAAAGGAAGAAAATCGGCAGTTCAGACCCGGATGACCCCCCAAAGTCACCTCACCAAGCTGCATGGGTTTCTTGAACAGCAGAGAGTCACCTTTGAAAATGGTTCCCCTGGGCCAGGCGCGGTGGCTCATGCCTGTCATCCCAGCACTTTAGGAGGCCGAGGCTGGTGGATCACCTGAGGTCGGGAGTTCGAGACCAGCCTGGCCAACGTGATGCAACCCCATCTCTACTAAAAATACAAAACAAAACAAAAAAATAGCTGGGCGTGGTGGCGTGTACCTGTAATCTTAGCTACTTGGGAGGCTGAGGCAAGAGAATTACTTGAACCCGGGAGGCGGAGGTTGCAGTGAGCCAAGATCGTGCCATTGCACTCCAGCCTGGGCGACAGAGAGAGACTCTGTCTCAATCAATCAATCAAAATATAAATAAATAAAAAAAAACAAAGGAAACACCCTTGCCACCAGAGATCCTCCAGGTACAAACCTCATGTTCAAGGAGAAATCAAAAGACCCAGGAGCTCGTCAGATTTCAGTAGAGGAGAAAGAGGATGGAAATTCATCTTTGTGTCTTCCTTCCTCTGCCACTTCCCCTGGAGAGTAAGCTTTAAGAGCTGCAGTGGCCAGGCGCGGGGCTCACGCCTGTTATCCCAGCACTTTGAGAGGCCAAGGTGGGCAGATCACGAGGTCAGGAGATCGAGACCATCCTGGCTAACACGGTGAAACCCCGTCTCTATTAAAAATACAAAAAAAAAATTAGCTGGGCGTGGTGGCGGGTGCCTGTAGTCCCAGTTATTCAGGAGGCTGAGGCAGGTGAATCGCTTCAACCTGGGAGGCGGAGGATGCAGTGAGCCGAGATTGTGCCACTGCACTCCACACTCCAGCCTGGGGGACAGAGGGAGACTCTATCTCAAACATAAAAACACACAAACAAAAAGGGCTGCACTGATGTGCTTGAATTAGCGTCAGTTGCCAGTGCTCCCTGGCGTGCTGGAAACCGAGCTCTTCCTGAGTGAATGTCGGGCGGCATCTGGTCAGGATGCTTTCCTGAAGCTTCAGGACTGGTGGCCAGGTACAATTGCTCTGGACCGAGCCAGACCCGAGTGAGAACTTGGCTCTGTCACTCACTAGCAGTGTGAACTTGAGCCTCTTCTGTAAAGCGGGCGTGGTGACTGTGGCTTCCACATAGAGAGGCTGCTTGCGAAGAGTGAAGGTTACGTGCTTAACAGGGTGCCTAGAACGTAAATACTGGCGATGCTCGGGACACGTCGGCCGAAGGGCGTTCAGCAAACTCGCCGGGAGAGCGGGGGAGTCCTGAATCCTTGTGGGTATTGAGGGGGAGGGGGTGTCCCAGAAAGGCTTCTCTATAAGGTGGATCTAAGAAAAGCTGCTAATTCTGTTGTTTTCCTGAATTCATGCTGAGGCCACACGTTAGATTAGTAGCAGTTTCTATATTCGCCCCCAGTTCCCAAAAGAACCTTCTCCACAGTCATCCATTCTAGCTCTTCGCTCCATTTCCACGTCTGCCTCTGTGCAAGTTTTTGTTTTGTTTTGTTTTTTGTTTTGAGATAGAGTTTCGCTCTTTTTGCTCAGGCTGGAGTGCAATGGCGCAATCTCGGCTCACTACAGCCTCCGCCTCCTGGGTTCAAGGGATTCTCCTGCCTCAGCCTCCCCAGTAGCTGGGATTACAGGCGCCCGCCACCACACCCCACTAATTTTCTATTTTTAGTAGAGAGGGGGTTTCACCATATTGGTCAGGCTGCTCTCAAACTCCCAACCTCAGGTGATCCACCTGCCTCAGCCTCCCAAAGTGCTGGGATTATAGGTGCCTTCCACCACGCCCAGCTATTTTTTTGTATTTTTAGTAGAGACGGGGTTTCACCATGTTGGCCAGGCTGGTCTTGAACTCGTGGCCTCGGGTGATCCTCCTGCCTCGGCCTCCCAAAGTGCTGGAATTACAGGTGCCTTCCACCATGCCCAGCTAATTTTTTGTATTTTTAGCAGAGACGGGATTTCACCATGTTGGCCAGGCTGGTCTTGAACTCGTGGCCTCAGGTGATCCGCCCACCTCGGCCTCCCAGAATGCTGGGATTACAGGTGTGAGCCCCCGTGCCCAGCTCACATTCTTTCTAGAAGCTTTTAGTCATCAGCTCAGTTTGAAGTGGTACCTCCCTCCTGCCCCCTCCATAACTCACTGTCCAGACCACTGTCTGTCTTTCCCTCTCTGTGATTTCTGGGCATGTCTGAAGTCTATTATCATAAGCAGCCTGGGAAAAGGAACTCTGGTTTATACAGTAGGGCTCAGGGAATATTCAGTGAAATAATAAGTAACTTTTCTGCAGGGCGCCGTGGCTCATGCCTGTAATCCCAGCACTTTGGGAGGATGAGGCAGGAGGATTGCTTGAGCCTACGAGTTCGAGACCAGCCTGGGTAACATAGTGAGACTCTGGCTCTACAAAATAATAATAATAATAACTTTTCTAGCCCTGAAAACCCATTAAACTTCCTGGAATATAGGAACTGAAGGGCGGGAAACAGGAAAGTTTCCCCCTTCCTTTATCAGCTACTGCCTGGGACTTACATCTCTTCGTGTCGAGGTGAGAACATCAAGGGACAGACAGGGAAAGGCAGTTCTTCAGAGTCACACAGCAAGTTAGTGGCAGAACCAGCAGCTGGATTCAGGCTGTGCTCGGTCGAGCGCTCTTTCCCTCCTGTTGGAGAAAGGCAGCAGAGTGTTGAGGGGCTCATGTGTGGCTCCTGGAGCGGTCGTGTGGCACGGTGACAATGAAGTGATTTAATACATGCAGAGTCCTGACGGCAGCCTGGGCGCAGGTAGCAGGTGCAAGTGTTTGCTGCCTCGTTTCTATGTTACCCTCTGTTCTTCTTCCACACCCCTACTGCTTTCAACAGGCCCCTCATTTCAGGAGACAGAAGAACCCTGACACTATTGAATATGTCAGAACAGGCCAGGTGCTCACGCCTGGAGTCCCAGCACTTTGGGAGGCCAAGGCAGGTGGATCACCTGAGGTCAGGAGTTCGAGACCAGCCTGACCAACATGGAGAAACCCCGTTTCTACTAAAAATACAAAATTGCTGGGCATGGTGGCGGGCGCCTGTAGTCCCAGCTACTCGGGAGGCTGAGACAGGAGAATCGCTTGAACCCGGGAGGTGGAGGTTGCAGTGAGCTGAGATTGCGCCACTGCACTCCAGCCTGGGCAACAGAGGGAGACTCTGTCTCAAAAAAAAAAAAAAAAAAAAGAAAAGAAAAATGCTGGAACATCCAGAACATCGTTACTAGGCGGGGGTGAGAAGCTGGTGAGAAGCTGGCAGGAAGCTTGGCGGGAGGCTGGCGGGAAGCTGGCAGACCAACCGCCGTCTGCTGGGGTGGCTTTCTGGATCTTTACAAACTCGAGGCCCGAGAACCGGATCTTGATTTGACATTGGTTGTTTTGTTTATTTCTTTGTTTTGGTGACGGGAACATGGAAAGGAGCCTCTCCCCTGGGCACAGGCCCCCAGCAGACCTGGAGTCTGGTGTCGCACTGTATAGCGCCCTCGGGCCGGCGTGGTGGTTACCATGGCCCAGCGCAATCTGCAGCCGCAGAAGTCGTGCCCAAGCCCTGTCTGTCAGGCCCTGCAGACTCGCTCAGGCCAGCCCCTTGGGAGCGTGAGGGCCCAGAATCCATTTCTATCATATTTCTCCCATCATTGAACTGAAAGCCAGATTTTCCATCTGTCTGGTTGGAGGTTCATCAAAGTCATTCCTGGGAGCTGGTGACTCACAGCTTCGCCTGCAGCGCCGTGGGGCAGAGGGGTTGAGCATACCGTGAGCAACCAGCATCTTCTTTCTCGGAATCCCAGCAGACGGCGAGAGCAGACGGGACGGGCACCCACCTAGAAACTGCTTTCTTCCCAGGGAAGAGCTACTGTTTACCTCCCTCCCCGAAACATAAGTTTTTTTGTGTGTGTTTTTTTGAGATGGAGCCTCACTCTCTTGCCCAGGCTGGAGTGCAGTGGCACGATCTCAGCTCACTGCAACCTCCACTTCCGCCTTCTGGGTTCAAGCGATTCTCCTGCCTCAGTCTCCTGAGTAGGTGGGATTACAGGCACCCACCACCACGCCTGGCTAATTTTTGTAATTTTAGTAGAGACGGGGTTTCACCTTGTTGGCCAGGCTGGTCTCGAACTCCTGACCTCAGGTGATCCACCCGCCTCGGCCTCCCAAAGTGCTGGGATTACAGGCGTGAGCCACCGTGCCTGGCCTAAAAACAAGTTTTATTGCAAATTTGGGACAGGCCTCGGAGAAGGACTCTGAGAACTGAGACCGAAGTTCCCTTAGTGGGCTGAACCATTTCTGGGTTTCTATGCCGTTTCCATGTTGGAGCCTGATTGGATAGAAAGGAGTACAGCCTCCAATACTGGCTGCTGAACAAGGGAACCCTGTGCACTGGGGAATTTTCAGTTAGGGTTTTTTGTGAGCAGTTAGAGAATTAATTGGAACAGCAATTCTCCCACCCCAAATCCCATCCTAGGGGCCATTTGTTCTTTCTTTGCATCTTTCCAGAGAGGGTGGTCATTCTCGACGCGACGTCTCAACCAGCCAAACAGTTCTTTTCCAGCTGGTGGAGGTGGGCTGGGTGGAACACCTGTACTGCCTCATTCCAGGCTCTTTGTGACCAGGAATATGCTTGGTCATTCATTCATTCACACTTGCTCATTCATTCACTGAAACTATTTGTGCAAGGTCCTGGGGTTACAGTGAATAACAGATGTGGTTCCTATCCTCCAAGAGACCTCAGTCTAGCAGGAGAGACAGGCATTGAACGTTTACAAGAGTCCTGAGCATTCAGAAGCAGGGAACGACGCAGGCCTTCCTGGTCTGGTGGGTCGGGAAAGCTCCCTGGAAGACAAGATACTTAAGTTAAGACCAGAAGGGAGAGTAGGAGTTACCCAGGCAGAGTGGGGGTAGAGCGTTTTTGCCAGCGATGTCAACCTATGCAAAAGTTCCAAGGCAGGAAAAAGTAGAAGAGAGCAAGGAGCAGAATGTGCCAGATGAAGCTGAAAGGGGTGCAGAGGCCCGGCCACAGGTTCCTTAGGCCACCAAAAGGATGTGCGGGTCTCTATCCCGACAGCAGTGACTCGGGAGACTGAGGCGGGAGAATCACTTGAACTCGGAGGCGGAGGTTTCAGTGAGCCGAGATTGCACCATTGCACTCCAGCCTGGGGGACAAGAACGAGACTCTGTCTAAAAAAAAAAAAAAAAAGGAAGCCATAGACAGGTCTTAGTAAGAGAGGAATGACATGCTACATGTGTTTTAGGATGTCTTAGAGCAAGCCTTCAGTTGCTGTTAGACACTGGGAAACTCTTTCCTCTAATTGATCTTCATATCTTTGATGTCAGTCTCGTGAGCCTGGGACTGCTCCAACCAACGGACCCAGCCAAAACGTGGCCACTGTGGCCGGAGTCTCACCCTTCTTCACTCTCCTTTCGGGAGAACACGAGTCATGTGTGCTAGTTTCTCGTGCCAGCTCCTGGCACCGGACTGTGTGTTCATGAGACTGAGCTGACCAGCTCAGGACAAGGTGCCAAGAGCTTGGGGAAGAGGAAATTAGGAGTCACGAGGTTTCACGATCAGAACCCGAAAGTGCTTTATGGAAAATTTGCATGTCCTGGGTGCAGCTCAGCCTAAGAGAAGCTGGTGCAGTGATTTCAGGGGTGTGTGTGCCTGGCTTCTGGGAGGGGCAGCCAGAGGCACCGGCTTCCCTTGTGAAGGCAGCTGGGTCAGACTGCCCCCTCCATCCACCCCTACGTTTATGAAGGCGAAATTTAGTAGGAAGGACATCCAAAGCAGTGTGATGGGGAAAGAGGACCAGCTGGGGGTGAGATGGGAACTCGCCATCCGCCATCCTGTTTTCCCCAACCAGGTAGAGTTCTCAACGCTCTTGGCACTTACAACAGATGTTCTGTAGGGCAAGTCCTGTAGGACATTTTAAGATTTCTGGCTTCTGCCTACTGAAGGCTAGTAGCGACCCCTAGTTATTGTGACCTCTTTTTTTTTTTTTTTGAGACGGAGTCTCCCTCTGTCACCCAGGCTGGAGTACAGTGGTGCGATCTTGGTTCACTGCAAGCTCCGCCTCCCAGGTTCAAGCGATTCTCCTGCCTCAGCCTCCTGAGTAGCTGGGACTACAGGCGCCCGCCACCATGCCCAGATGATTTTTTGTATTTTTAGTAGAGACGGAGTTTCACCGTGTTAGCCAGGATGGTCTCAAATTCCTGACCTAGTGATCTGCCCGCCTCGGCCTCCCAAAGTGCTGGGATTACAGGCATAAGCCACTGCAGCTGGCCTATTGTGACCTCTTTAAATGCTCCCACACATTGTTATTTTTATTTACTTATTTGTTTTTTTGAGACAGGGTCTCGCTCTGTCTCCCAGGCTGGGGTGTTAGTGGTACGATCTCAGTTCACTGCAGCCTCGATCTCAAGTGATTTTCCGGCTTCAGCCTCTTGAGTAGCTGGGACTACAGATGCCCGCCACCATGTCCGGCTAATTTTGTGTTTTTAATAGAGACAGGGTTTCACCACATGAGCCAGGCTGGTCTGGAACTCCTGACCTCAAGTGATCCGCCTGCCTTGGCCTCCCAAAGTGCTGGGATTACAGGTGTGAGCCTCTGTGCCCGGCCCAATTTGATAATATTTTATTTATTTATTTATTTATTTTGAGAGGGAGCCTCACTCTGTCGCACCCAGATTGGAGTGCGGTGGCATGATCTCGGCTCACTGCAACCTCCGCCACCCAGGTTCAAGTGATTCTCCTGCCTCAGCCTCCCGAGTAGCTGGGATTACAGGCACCCACCACCATGCCCGGCTACTTTTTGTATTTTTTTAAAGTAGAGATGGGGTTACACCATATTGGCCAGGCTGGTCTCGAACTCCTGACCTCAGCTGATCCGCCCACACTGGCCTCCCAAAGTGCTGGGATTACAGGTGTGAGCTGCCACACCCGGCCCATTTGAGGATATTTTAGTGAAGGTTTTGTCCGGCGGGATGATCATTCTCCCCATGTCACTCCTGGGGGCTTCTGCTCTCTCCTTCCCAGACGGAGCTCCTCCTGACTCCCCCAGCTGTGTTCCCAACAGCAGCCTGCAGCCCTGTGTCCAAGCTGGAGATTTTTGTCCAGGCACTTGCGGGCCGCTTGGCTGGAAGCCTCTGGTGGCCGAGGTGCTGCTGTGCGGCCGCCAGATGGCGCTGGGGAGCCCCCACTCTCTGCCGCAGGACGGGCAGAGGCAGGACTGGACTGCAGAGGGAACTTGCCTTGAAGAGGCCTGGTCCTTAAAGAGACACAGCACACACGGCCCGACCGGCAGCCCCAGAGCAGAGGCTCCACTGATGGCAGGCGCCCCTGGCTAGGCTCTGAGGTTCCTTTGCCCTCGCCTTGCTGAATGGTGAGCCGCTGCCTCTCGGAGCCCGTCTCCTTGACAGCCTGCCCTCGGCTCCTGCAGCCACTCCTGGGCCTGATGGGGACAGGGCCAGCCTGGTGGGTGGTGTCAGAGGTCCTGGCAGAGCAGCGTAGGCCTGGGATGCGTCTGCAGAATTCTGGCTGAACGAGCGAGGAGCACGGCCAGCTTCGGGGCCGTCGTGACCACAGGAGGGCAGAGGGCCAGCCCGTGAGCTCTGACCCCAGCTGGACGTGCTCTTGTTTCCCTTGGGGCTAAGGAGATTGGAGCCACTGAACTGAATCTCTGGGTTTTGGAGACTTAGAGAATCCATTGGACTCTTCTGCTGGCGTCTTTCTGAATGCTGATGGGGACTTGGTGGTAAGTAAATGAGTAGGGGGCTCCAGGCCCTGCTGTCGAGCCCTCGGACGGACCCTTTGGGAAAACTCTGCTGTTGACCTGTGGGTGGTGTCATCTGAGCCATGTCAGGTGAGGGCCACGTGAGCTGGGGCTTGGCGAGAGACCCTCCTAAAACGGTGGCTCGGGGAGTGCATAATCTAAGCCAGCGGCTCTGCCCAGGATGCTGCCCTTGCTGTGGCCCCTGGCCATGGGAACGGGGCTTCAACTCGGCCCCTGGGAAGTGTGTGGGGGCGTGTGGGGAGTGTCACAGCTGCAAGGACCTGATGTCACTGTGCTTTATCCTGCAGTGATGCCTAGGGAGGCAGTGAGGGGGTGAATGCAGCTCCCCGGGGAGCAGGTCCACATCTTGCCAGGGCAGCAGGTCTTCCCATGACTCAAGCTGACACAAAAGTTTGGTGCAGAAATGACTAACTGGGAAGGGCTTCCAGTTCACCTCTGTTGCCTGTAGATCTCACTGGCTGCTGGAAAAGCCGGGAGGCTGAGCAGAGGGCAGGTGAGAAGAGGGCAAAAGACAGACTCATAGGCTGAGACTTCACCCTTACAGGTGACACTGTGGAGGCCTGGGGAATTTTCTTCTTTCCCCAGACTGGAGGGCTGAGGATGAATCTTAGAATAGTAAATGCTGGCCGCACATGGTGGCTCACGCCTGTAATCCCAGCACTTTGGGAGGTGGAGGCGGGCGGATCACCTGAGGTTGGGAGTTCGAGACCAGCCTGGCCAACATGGCGAAACCCCATTTCTACTAAAAATACAAAAAATTGGCCAGGTGTGGTGGCGGGCTCCTGTAATCCTAGCTACTCGGGAGGCTGAGGCAGGAGAATCGCTTGAACCCAGGAGGCAGAGGTTGCAGTGAGCCGAGATCCTGCCACTGCACTCCAGCCAGGCAATAAGAGTGAAACTCCATCTCAAAAGAAAGAAAAAAAAGAATAGTAAATGCTGCTTTACTGTACCAAGGAAATGGGAATAGAGCAAAGCACGGAAAACAGGCCACCCCAGGATCTGACAGGAGAGTTTGTATTCTGCTAGTGCTCATAGGAGGCCTGGAGGTCGTCTTCTTGATCCACCTGGGCACATACCTTCTTTTTTTTTTTTTTTTTTTTTTTTTTATTTCTTTCTGAGACGGAGTCTCACTCTGTCACCCAGGCTGGAGTGCAGTGGCACGATCTCGGCTCACTGCAACCTCCACCTCCCAGGTTCAAGCGATTCTCCTGCCTCAGTCTCCCGAGTAGCTGGGATTACAGGTGCCCGCCACCACGCCCAGCTAATTTTTGTATTTTTAGTAGAGACGGGGTTTCACCATGTTGGCCAGGCTGGTCTCGAACTCCTGACCTCAGGTGACCCGCTGGCCTCGGCCTCCCAAAGTGCTGGGATTACAGGCGTGAGCCACTGTGCCTGGCCCTGGGCGCATACTGTCTACAGATGTGAACACTGAGGCTGGAAACTCTTGAGATTGGCCGGAGGCATTGAAGAAGTGGGGTTTGGCCGGGACTGGCATTTGGGAGATTGTCACTGGACTTTGTTCAGCTTGTCTCCAGGGTCATCTGGCCTGCTGTAGTAGATATGGTTTTCTTGGGATACCAGTTCTCTTTCTACTTTATCATCAGTGGCCCTGGGAGGGTTCTGAAATAACGCTGCCTGCCTCCCTCGTGTAGCTCCGATTTCTTCCTCCCTGAGTTTAACTTCATTCTGTTTATTCATTCATTCACTAATTGCCGCTCAATGCAGAGATTACACACGGGAACCCTGGATTCAGACTTGGTTCATTTCCAAGCATCGCCATCTGCTAGTTAGCCAATGGCTTAGCCTCTCTGCACCTCAATTTCTTCTTCTGTGAAATGGAGATAATAGTAAATTGGCTTATTGTAAGGATTACGTGAAATAACCTACGTAAAGCAGATAGAGCAGTGCCTGACACTTAAGAAGCACTCAGTAGACCAGGCACGGTGGCTCACATCTATAATCCCAGCACTTTGGGAGGGTGAGGCAGGAGGATCAGCTTGAACCCAGGAGTTCAAGGCTGCAGTGAGCTGTGAGAATGCCCACTGCACTCCAGACTGGGTGACAGAGCAAGACTCTGTCTCAAAAAAAAAAAAGCACTCAATAACTGTTAGCTGTCATTAATTTTATTTGTTCAATGTGCATTATTGAATGCCGATCTGCTGGGCGCTCGGCAGAAAGCTGATCTGGAGGCACCATGTGGTCATAGCTGTGCTGGGAGTCTACCTGAGCCTTGTTCACCCACTGCGCTGAGCACTGGGTCTGCCCAGTGAGGAAGATGCAGTCCTGGTTTTTTTATTTTTTATTTTTGAGACGGAGTCTTGCTCTGTCCCCAGGCTGGAGTGCAGTGGCGTGATCTCAGCTCACTGCAAGCTCCACCTCCCAGGTTCACACCATTCTCTCGCCTCAGCCTCCCGAGTAGCTGGGACTACAGGCGCCCGCCACCATGCCCAGCTAATGTTTTGTATATTTAGTAGGGACGGGGTTTCCCCGTGTTAGCCAGGATCGTCTCGATCTCCTGACTTCGTGATCCACCCACCTCGGCCTCCCAGAGTACTGGGATTACAGGCGTGAGCAACTGTGCCCGGCTCTGGCTTTTTTTTTTTTGAGAGGGAGTCTCACTCTGTTGCCCAGGCTGGAGTGCAGTGACAGGATCTCGGCTCACTGCTGGGATTACAGGCACATGCACCACGCCTGGCTAATTTTTGTGTTTTTAGTAGAGACGGGGTTTCACCATGCTGGCCAGGATGGTCTCGAACTCCCAGACTCAGGCTATCTGCCCATCTCGGCCTCCCAAAGTGCTGGGATTACAGGCATGAGCCACCGCGCCTGGCCAGTCCCAGCTTTTAAGGACCTGATGGGCCAGTGAGGGTGCAAACTCTCGGTTTTTTGGTCATCACAGTCTATTTTTGGTTTTGGTTTTTCATTTGAATGTAGAGGGCCCCACTCCCTCCCACCCACTGTGTATTCAGCCTCTGCACGCACCGGGGCTCCCTGCCTGGCCCCCGCATGGGAACATATTTTTGTCATCAGCGGTGACCTCTGGGTGATCAAGGAAGCAGAGACTCCTGGGGCCTTCCTGTCGTGTGCAGTGGAGCTGAGCTGCTAACATGAGAAGGGAGGAAATGTGGAGATACCCAGTTTTGGTTCTAGGGCCCGTCCCCTTTTTTCTGTCCTGGCCAAGAACCAAGGCTTCTACCTTGATTGGTAGAAGCAAGAGTTGGTCGTTGGAGAGGCCGTGAGTAGCACGTGCTTGGGAATTAGGAGCAGGGCAAATAGCCTTGAAAATGGGATGTACCTTCTTCCCACTCAGCCCCTCGTCATTAACCCAGTGCTCCTGGCGGTGCACCCAACCATGAAATCCCCTTTAAGTCCAGTGATGAGGCAGGAGCAGGCAGGTCACCCTGGGGTTGGAGAGCCGCAGACAGTCTGAGTGCACAGGCTGGAGGGAGGGCTGGGAGGGTGGAGAGCACTGGCCCCAGGGACTGTCTGGGGAATGCTTAGAAGGGGCCTGGAGGAGGCAGCGTGATAGATGGGGGTTCAGTGCCTTGGGGAGCACTGGCTGGTCCCCACCCGGTCCACATTTAGCTGAATCAGGAAGGTCTGTCTGCCACAGCTCCCCGCTCCTCTGACAGATTGGGGTTGATCGCTGGGGTTAGAGCACTTCAGGGTAGCATCACCTTTGGCAAAGCCCGGAGGAGAAGGACTCTTTAACTCCTTCCTTCCCAGCGCGTGACGTTGGATCTCCCCAACTCCTCAGTGCCAGGGATGCGGAGGTTTCTGTTCCCACCCAAATCACTGTGGTGCTCAAAGGCTCACACACTTGTCTCTGTGGCCAAGGTTAGCATCTGGCCGTGGTGTTAACATCTACTGGAAGCCATCCAACAAAGGCATCAAGGGAATCTCGAAGTGACTGCCCTTTCCTGAGACACGTTGTCTGAGACAGACGTCTGGAGATGGAAGAGGGTTGACAGGGTTTCCCAGAGGGTGGTCTCTAACCCCATGGACCCGCAGAGATTTCTCAGGACCTTCAGCACCCGGTGATCACCAGTTAGCTGGCCGTGGAGGCAGTATGCGTGGTGTTTAAGAGCATGAACAGGCCGGGCGCGGTGGCTCACGCCTGTAATCCCAGCACTTTGGGAGGCCGAGGCGGGCGGATCACGAGGTCAGGAGATCAAGATCATCCTGGCTAACAAGGTGAAACCCCGTCTCTACTAAAAATACAAAAATTAGCCAGGCGTGGTGGCACGTGCCTGTAGTCCCAGCTACTCGGGAGGCTGAGGCAAGAGAATGGCGTGAACCCGGGAGGCGGAGCTTGCAGTGAGCCGAGATTGTGCCACTGCACTCCAGCCTGGGCGACAGAGCGAGACTCTGTCTCAAAAACAAACAAACAAACAAACAGAAAAAGAGCATGAACAGAGTGCCAGGGTTCAAGTCCCAGCCCTCACTTACCCTCTGAGTGGGTTACTCAGCTGCTCAGGGCCTCGGTTTTCTGACCTGGAAAATGGAGAAAACAGAGATAACAGTGACATTCACGGTGAGATCACGCTAGTGAACGAAACGCTAAGCCGGGCACACAGTCGGTGTTCTGTGTTCGTTATCAGAAGTTTCCTCTGTAGAGCCCTCAAGATTTGTCTCTCCCTCTACCCTCTATCGTGTTGTGGAGTGGAGGGTCCGAGAGTGCCAGGATTGGACAGAATGTAGACAGAAAAAAGCAAACTATGGCAACGCGAAGGAAAGCAACTGCCACATTTTAGCTTGGAGGATGCTGAAAATAGCTTGTTCAAGCCTTTGTAGATAAAAATGTAAAATGTACGCAAATGTATGTGACTCACGCAGAAGCATACATCCATAGCTCCCTCACAGTCAGCGCCGGATGTGGCCATCAGGAAAACCCCACAGTGTGGGGAGAGGGCCCGAGCGTTCTTGCTTGTTGTTGTTTTGAGGAGGGGACGGTGCTGCTGCCTCCTGGGCTGGTGGCTCCTGGTGGCGGCAGCTCACGCCCGTTTCCACCTTTCCCCTGGGCTGTCTTCCGAGAGTTCCAGGTGGGAAGAAGAGATGCCCTTGGCCCCTCATGGCTCCTCCGGCCTCGCGGTCCTCCGAGAGCCTGCTCGTTCCCTTCCCATGCCGAAGCTCTATTTCTGGAGCGTCTCATTGGAGATGCACGCCCCCTCCCTGCCAAGCTCCAGGTGCCTGCTTGGCCCTCCCAATCCTGTGTGCTAGTCAGGGACGGTGGGAGGGTGACAGCTGCAGGGAGGGGCGGCAAGAGACAGCGCTGGTGCCTGAGCCAGGAGGATTGGGGCGGAGGGAGCCCTGGGGACGCAGGGACGGGCTAATAATATTGAAAACCACTTCTGCTGCAGCCACCTGTAGAGGCTTCCCCACCCAGAGCATCATCCTGTGCGTCTCCCAGGGGCTCCCCAGCCTGTGATGAGTGGGTGACCCCCATCTCCCCTGGGGCAGCTGCAGAGGCCTCTGCCCAAGCAGCTTATGGGGCTTCCTCTCAGCATCCTGGGGGAGGAGCTGCTTCTCCCCTTAAGAACTAGATGTGTGTGTGTCTGTTTGGAGTGATGAGGACCGACCCCCACACCCCTCCAGCGTTCTGCGGGTGCCGACCACACTGCCCCCGGCAAAGGCCAGGCTGACTTAACCTTCCTGGTAGGCCTCTGTAGGGCTGGGCTCCCAGAAGTTTTCCCCTTAAGCTGCCTGGGGATGGGGTGGGGTGGAGACAGCTCCGGTATCTGAAATGTCACTATCTGGGGTACCGGGCCCCCTGGGTGGGCCCCACTGCTTCCCTTTCCCTGGGTTCAGGAAGGGGCTTCAGCCCCACTGCCCTGGACCCCCCTGGCCTGACTCCCCTCCTGTCCTTCCCTGCTCCAGGGTCGCTTGGCCCAAAGAGGTCTGTGGGGAAGCTGCCATGGCTCCCACAGAATCAGCCCACAGGAGACAGGCATGGGGCCCCCAATCTCTTCACTGCCCTTGGGCGAGGGGGTCTTCCTTAGAGGGAATTTCGTCTCTAAACGGTCATTTCTCAGGCCTCTTGACCCGACTTCCCACCATTTCTAGGTGATGATGCAAACACGATGGGCTTTCCAGGCCGCGGCTCGGGGTCCCCAGGAGGGGTCCTGGAGGGGAACGCGTGGAGCCCTTGGGGCTTCTCCTGGCTCCAGTTTGTCCTCCGCCCAGGAGGGGCACATGTGGGACTGTCCTGGCCCCACAGCCCCCGTGACTTCGGTCCTCCCGGGTCTCCACCCGCCCCCCTCCATGTGTGGCGGGAACGGCCGCGCTCAGAGGTCAGGGGTGTGGAAAGGGACGAGCGGGGGAAGGTTCGGGAGGAGAGAGGCGCGTCCCGCGGCGCGCAGGACGTTCACCCCGTGGGTCCCGCAGCGGGTCTGGCTGGGGAGGGGCCCGGCCGCCGCTCCCGCCCGCGAAGCCGCGCTTGGAGATCCCGGGCGGGAGGTGATGTCACCCCTGTGGGCTCCCGGGCCCCCCACGGCACCTGGTTTGCGGATCGCCAGGATCCTGCTGAGCCCGGCGCGGGGGGGACGAGGGGGACCTGGGTCTGCGCCGCCGCCTGGAGACCCCCCGAGACCCCCGCGGCCCCTCCTCGCCCAGCGCCGGAGCCCCGCTGCCCCCTTAGCCCGGCCGGGGGCGTCCTGCGGAGGGCGGAGCCTCGAGCCGATTGGTCCCTCCCCGCCCCGCCCCCGCACCAAAGCCCCGCCCCCGCACCAAAGCCCCGCCCCACCACGAAGCCCCACCCCCGCCCCGCCCCCCGCGAAGTTGCTCATCGGTTCCGGGATCCGCAGCTGGGCTCGGCGCGGCCGCTGGGGCCGGGAGGGTTCGGGAGGGTTTTGGGGGCTCCCGCCCCGCCCTCGCCCCTGCCCCGGCCGCCCCGCGCTCCTCCCGGGGACCTGGTTCCCGGCCTCCTCGCCCCTCCGCGCTCGCAACTTCGGCCTCCCCCGGCTCCCGCCCGCTCTCCCTCCTTTGTTGCGCGATGAGGGTCGGGTTTCGGATCTGACCGAGCCGCCGCCGCGGGATGGAGCCGCTCAGCCACCGGGGCCTGCCGCGCCTGTCCTGGATCGACACCCTCTACAGCAGTACGTGTGCCGGGCGGGGGCGGGACCCCAGGATCGGGATCGGGACCCCAGGATGGAGATCGGGACCCCAGGATCGGGATCGGGACCCCAAGATCGGGATCGGGACCCAGGCACCGGGCTGGTCCGGGGAGCGCGGGCGGGGGCGAGATCGGGGTCCGGATCGGGGTCGGGTTGGGAATCGGGATCGGGGTCGGGACCCAGGAGCCGGGCTGGTCTGGGGGGCGCGGGCGGGGGGTCCCCAGAGAGGATTCCTGCGGTCCGGGGGCGGGGACCGTGGGCGGACCGAGCCGAGAGCTGCGTCCCCCCTCCCACCTGTTGTGAACCCGGCCTCCGCGAGCCTCAGGGGAGGGAGGCCCTTCTGGGTGCTGCCCCCGCCCCTGGACCGGCAGCTTCTCTGTCCAGGCTGAAGCCGAAAGGCCGTTTTGGGAGCAGTCGTTGGCACCCGAGTTTGCCACCCCAGGGGCACCGGGTCATGTGTGGTTCAGGGCCCAGGGGTTCGGTGCTGGGGTGGGATCGGGTGGGAGGGGAGACGGGGGGTGCAGATATCCGCGGGGGCCGTTTGGATGCGGGAGCTGAAAATCCCGGGCTCAGCAATCTTTCCTGCCAGCCTCATCACCACCCCCACCCTCATCATCACCACCACCCTCAGAAGAAAAAAAAAACAAACCTTCTCGAGTTCTCCACCCCCTCGCTCCCAAATCTCTCTGGATCATGTGATTGCTCTTGCATGGCCCCGGGGGATGCGTAACTGATCACGGGTAATGGTGTGGGGGGGCTTGGGGCGAACCGAGAGCCGCCCCCCGCCCCCACCACCGCACCTTGCTCCTGCTCCGTTGCTAGAAAGGCACCGCCCCTTCTCCCCACCCTTCCCTGAGACACCTTTCCCGAAAGCTCTCAGGGATTAGGAAGAGGGTCCTCCTGGGCTTACATAGTGGATTTCGCCCTTCCTGGCCCACGTGAGTGGGACCCTCCCACTCTCTCAGCACATCTCCCAGGCAGGAGTTGGGGGAGGCACGTGGGGCCACGTGGAGCCTGGTTCAGCCTGATTCTAGGCACTGGATGCCATGGAACAGGAGCGTTTTCTTTCTTTTTTTTTTTTTTTGAGACGGAGTCTCGGCTCTGTCGCCCAGGCTGGAGTGCAGTGGCGCAATCTCCGCTCATTGCAACCTCTGCCTCCCGGGTTCAAGTGATTCTCCCGCCTCAGCCTCCTGAGTAGCTGGGATTACAGGTACCCACCACCACTCTCGGCTAATTTTTTGTATTTTTAGTAGAGATGGGGTTTCACCATGAGGCCAGGCTGGTCTCAAACTCCTGACCTCAGGTGATCCACCTGCCTCAGCCTCCCAAAGTGCTGGGATTACAGGCGTGAGCCAACAAGGGCATTTGTAAGGGTCATCCCAGCTAGAGTTCCTTGATAAGTCATATGGGGGGGGTGGGGGGAGTAGAGAAGGGTGATGCCTTGAGCCCCAAAGCCTTACTCTGGAGGCTGTGTGGTACCCAACATTCAACCTCTGACCTCAGCATCCCCTTGGGTCCAGGTCATTCCCTGTATCTTCTTCTCCACCCGCCTCCTCCTCCATCCATGTTCCTTCCTCTCCTCCCCCCAGGAGCTGTCCTTGTGATGGTTCATTCTGCTTTGGTTTCTCAACATCAAAGGGGCAAAGCCGGATCCCCTGGGCATAGGTCCTGTGCCAGGTGCCGCCGCTCCATCTGCTCCTTCCCCTGCAGAGGCCAGCGTCGTTGGGTGAAGGTCAGGGCCCATGGCTGTGTGGCATGTGCGTGCACGTGCGTCTGCATGAATGGGGGCACACATCTGTTCGGAGCGCAGATGCAGATCAGCTCCTGACCCGGAGGCAGGATTAGTGGCCCTCTCTTAGCTGTGTGCTTGCAAACAGCCGTCATAACAATGCCTCAGATTCACGCGTGCTTATGTTCCTGAGTGTTTCTGGCTCTTTGCAAAACCCAGTTCTTGTTTCCCTATTTCCCGAAGCCTGGAATCGTATGGAACCCTGTCTCTAGCTTTCTCTGCAGCAGAAGACTCCTCTGAGCTGATCATTTCCAAGTCTTCCATACCCCACCCTCTTCCTCCCACGCCTGGAGCAAAAAAGCAAAATTGCCTGAGGCCACCTTGAAAATTCCTGACCAGAGGAATGCCAGAAAAGGGAATTAGGCCAAGGCCTCTTAGGGGGTTCTGTTGGGCAGCCCTGATTCAGGCAGATTGGCACCTGAGCTGTCTACCCTCCTGCTGCTGCCCTGGCCTCTGGGCGGCTCCTGGGGTGGCCTGGATGGTGGGTGGGAGGGGGCACTGATGTGGCCGCAGTGTGAGGAGTCCCTGCCTCCCTCTTCGGAACAGCTTAGTGGAGAGCTGTAGCAGGAGGCTTCCCGGGGAGGTGCTGTGCAGTCATGTTTGGGCTGTTAGCCATCAACTTTCCTCTTGACAAGAGCCTAAATTAAAACAAATACCCGAGCTGTCATTTGCCTGGCAGCAAGGTTTTGTGGCTCCCAGAGGAAGTTCCTCTGCTTCTCAGGAAGCTGTTTGCTTACAAGGCTCACAGTCCTGGGGTGACAAATCTCCACAAATGCCAGATCCATCGGGAACTGTAAAGGGGGTATACCCAGGGCACAGGGTGGCAGTGTGACTTAGAGATGGGAATGACTCGGTGTTAGAGGTTCCCTGCCTTCCTCTCTCTGAGCATTGTTCCTGGTAACAATGATAATAGCGTCTCCTGAGCACCTACTGTATGGCAGGCACTGGGATAGTCACTTTCTCTTTCTTTCTTTTTTCTTTTTTTTTTTTGTTTTTTGTTTTTTGTTTTGTTTTGAGACGGGGTCTCCGTCTTTGCCCAGGCTGGAGTGCAGTGGTGCGATCTTGGCTCACTGCAACCTCCACCTCCTGGATTCAAGCAGTTCCCCTGCCTCAGCCTCCTGAGTAGCTGGGATTATGGGCGCCTGCCACCACAACCCAGCTAAGTTTTGTATTTTTAGTAGAGATGGGGTTTCACCATATTGGTCAGGCTGGTCTCGAACTCCTGACCTCAGGTGATCTTCCCACCTTGGCCTCCCAAAGTGCTGGGATTACTGGCGTGAGCCACTGCGCCCGGCCTGTGCTAGGCACTTTCTATCCATTCTCTCCAAATCTCACAACTCTGCAACTCTTACAGAGTAGGAAAGTGAGGCTCAGTTAGCATAAATCATAGACCTAAGATCACATAAGTAACAAATGGCTGAGCTGGAATTCAGGTTGTACCCTAGAATAATGAGGAGGATCCCGAGTACCACCTGGGTATGTCTGAGTTTATTCAAGGTCTTGGGATGTCACGGAATGGGGGACGCCATTCTCTATGGTCCTCTGTTGCAGAGTTCTCCCTGAAACGGTCCAGCAGGGTAAATGGCTTCAATGGCTCTGACCCCAACCTGGCCCTGTGCCTCTTGCAGGACCTGGGGGCTGGGCCTGGAGCCCAGGCAGGGACAGCTGAGGCTGTCTGAACCCACTGAGGCTGGTGGCTCTCTGCTCCTAAGGTGCCAGCCTGCCAGCCAGCCCCTCCCCTCACACACTTCTTTTTTTTTTTTGACACGGAGTCTCGCTCTTTCACCCAGGCTGGAGCTGGAGTGCAGTGGCACTATCTCAGCTCGCTGCAAGCTCCACCTCCCAGGTTCACGCCATTCTCCTGCCTCAGCCTCCCGAGTAGCTGGGACTGCAGGCGCCCGCCACCACGCCCGGCTAATTTTTTGTGTTTTTAGTAGAGACGGGGTTTCACCGTGTTGGCCAGGATGGTCTCGATCTCCTGACCTCGTGATCCACCCGCCTCGGCCTCCCAAAGTGCTGGGATTACAGGCGTGAGCCACCGCGCCCGGCCCTGAACACACTTCCTGCCTTTGGGGTTGGCAGTTCATTCTTTCTGGTTTTGACAGGAGGAGTGTGCCCACTTCCATCACAGGTTTGGTGGTCATTTGATGAGGGTTGGGCAGCAAACCCTCCATCTCTCCTATGGTAGAAGTCCTGAAGGGCTGCGGTAAGTGTGATTTGTCTGCCTCAAGGAGAAGAGTTGGATCCCAGCTGCCAGGGGCCCTGGGGCTGATGGGAGCAGAGTCCTTTCCCTGTGGAGTGACAGATGGTTTCAGACATCCCCCAGTTCTTGTGTCTGCGCCACTCATTTGCCTGTATTAATGTAGCAATGTCAGTTTCACCCCTCAGTACCTTACCTTTCTCTCCCTGGGGTTGCTATGATGCTCTCTCTGAGGCTCTCTTTTTTTTGAGACAGAGTCTCGCTCTCTCGCCCAGGCTGGAGTGCGGCGGTGCGATCTCGGCTCACTGCAACCTCCGCCTCCCCGGTTCAAGCGATTCTCCTGCCTCAGCCTCCTGAGTAGCTGGGATTACAGGTGCCCGCCACCACACCCGGCTAATTTTTATATTTTTAGTAGAGACGGGGTTTCACCATGTTGGCCAGGCTGGCCTCCAACTCCTGACCTCAGGTGATCCACCCGCCTCGGCTTCCCAAAGTGCTGGGATGACAGGCGTGAGCCCCTGCGCCCGGCCATGTTTTCTTGGTCATAATGCCTCTAGGTCTTTAATCACCCTTTCTGCTAAACACGTATCATCTTCTCTTTGTTATTTTTTTATTTTATTTTTTTATTTTTATTTTCCCAATCCCATGGGATTAGATTGGATTAAATGGGAGCGGAGTAGCCCAAAATGGGGGTGGAGGTGTGCTCTGACACTTTCTTGGTCCCTGGGATTCTCCAAGCAGATCTGGATCAAGACATACGTGTGCCCCAGGCAGGTTGATCATCTGGCACCTCTTCAACTGGAAAATCTTTATATGTGTGTTTAGGACTTACTTAGAGGAGAGGCAGAGGCTGTATTTAAAGCCTCTCCCTTTGCCACTTCGGCCTCCATTTGGTCCCAAGTAATTTAGTCCTGGTGTCAAACATACCTTCCCTGCTGAGCCAAGCAAGAGCCTGCAGTGGCTTGGCCGTCATGGAAGGCAGAACGTGACCATCTGTTGTTACTAGAGCCTGCTTTTTGGAGCTCACTTCTCTTACCCCAAGCAACATTTCCAAGGGCGATTTCATTCTCTTGTGATATTTTCATGCCCTTTATAGATTCAGTGCCCCATCTATGGGCCAGGAAAGTATTTGGAGCAGTGGAGATGTAAGCCTGTCTCCAGGTGAGCATGAGCCTACCTCAGTTTCTCATCTGAGCCCCACATTCTCTACACCAGGGACCAAGCCACTGGTCTGACAGCCTGTGTGCGTTTGATCAGAGCAGTTCAGTTCTCGGGGCCGCATCAGACCCCTCCGTGTGTGCTAGTGAGCGCCTGCTGGCAGATGCTTGCTTGTTTTCGGAATAGCCCAGTAATTTATTCCTTTTTGTCAACACCGGCCCATAATCTTCATGGCTGCTGGAGTCTCAGAGGTGGGGCTGGCAGAAGAATTAAGTCATCTACTCAGAGAAACTTAGGTTTCTGTGGTTGTGATTGTTGGCTACTGTTGTTCTTCGGGAAAAGGAAGGAAATTTGTGGGGAATTGGCTGGAAGATGCTGTTAGGAGGATGGAAGATGGGGAATGGCGGGGAGGCTCTGCCTCACTCTTGCGAGTAGGATGGAAGACTTGTTCTCTGTCTGAGGTATGATCTGCTTT
This sequence comes from Homo sapiens, assembly GCF_000001405.40. Classification (NCBI taxonomy): domain Eukaryota; kingdom Metazoa; phylum Chordata; class Mammalia; order Primates; family Hominidae; genus Homo; species Homo sapiens. Next base: position 218,498 of record NT_187613.1, on the reverse strand, counting down.
CTGGGACAATTCCGGTACCTTCCTTCGTAGAGGGAGGGCATGATGGCTCTCGTGGGTGTTGTGTGGATTAATTCATATTTATAAAGTGCTTTGAAGGTGAGGAGAGCTATTGAGCAGCTCAGCTGTCCAGCTCATTGCGCTCCTCATCCGGGAAAGCCTCGAGGGACTGGGAGAGGCCGGCACAGGACTTAGGAAGGGGCAGGGAATGTGGCAGGAGGACCGGCAGGAACAGGGTATCAGACCAGCTCTGAGGCAGCGCCTCCCACAGCGGCTCCCGCACAGGCCCTCCATAGGTGTTGGTTGTCTGAGTACGGGTGGGAAAAAGAAAACTCGAGTTCTTGGCTCCTTGAGCTCCTCCCCGCAGCAGAAACCCCTGTTAGCTGAAACCTGTCAGCTGGCCCGTCCATGCGTTTCCGGCTGTGTGGATTTGGTCATTGTACTCGCTCGTAGTGGAGTCAGAGACCCCCAAAGGGAGTCTCGCGCTTTTGCCAGGGTTTATGATTGGAGGACTTCACTGCCAGCGTTGGCGGCAGCTGTTTGGCTGAGCTTGAGCCCTTTGGGCGCAAACCTAGGGCAGGCGGCTTCAAGACAACCCTGCGCCCACTGCCCCTGCCAGGCCCTTGGTGGTGGCGGGTGTTGGTGATGTGTGGGGGGTGGGCTGAGGTGATGTGTTGAGTGGACTGAGGTGATGTGTTGGGTGGGCTGAGGTGATGGGGGGGGTGGACTGAGGTGATGTGTTGAGTGGACTGAGGTGATGTGTTGGGTGGGCTGAGGTGATGGGGGGGGTGGACTGAGGTGATGTGTTGGGTGGGCTGAGGTGATGTGTTGGGTGGGCTGAGGTGATGGGGGGGGTGGGCTGAGGTGATGTGTTGAGTGGACTGAGGTGATGTGTTGGGTGGGCTGAGGTGATGGGGGGGGTGGACTGAGGTGATGCGTGTGGGGGGTGGACTGAGGTGATGTGTGGGGGGTGGACTGAGGTGATGTGTGGGGGGTGGACTGAGGTGATGTGTTGGGTGGGCTGAGGTGATGTGTTGGGTGGGCTGAGGTGATGTGTTGGGTGGGCTGAGGTGATGTGTTGAGTGGACTGAGGTGATGTGTTGCGTTGACTGAGGTGATGTGTTGGGTGGACTGAGGTGATGTGTGGGGGGTAGACTGAGGTGATGTGTGGGGGGTGGACTGAGGTGATGTGTTGGGTGGGCTGAGGTGATGGGGGGGGGTGGACTGAGGTGATGTGTTGGGTGGACTGAGGTGATGTGTTGGGTGGGCTGAGGTGATGTGTTGGGTGGACTGAGGTGATGTGTTGGGTGGACTGAGGTGATGTGTTGGGTGGGCTGAGGTGATGGGGGGGGTGGATTACCTGCTCTGTTCTATATTCTTGGCACTTTTCTCCAAGTGACTGTTTGTACCAGGGGGAGAGTTCTGCAGCTCACCCATCTCTGGGGCTGTGATAGGGGAGGCTGTTTGTGACATGTGACCTTGGCTTGTCCCCACATGTGAGAAAGTCCATTGCTGCTGTGGGGAGTAGCTTGCTTTTCTTTTCTTTTTTTTTTGAGATGGAGTCTTGCTCTGTCACCCAGGCTGGAGTGCAGTGGGGCAATCTCGGCTCCACTGCAACCTCCACCTCCTGGGTTCAAGCGATTCTCCTGCCTCAGCCTCCTGAGTAGCTGGGATTACAGGCATGTGCCACCACACCCAGCTAATTTTTGTATTTTTAGTAGAGACGGGGTTTCACCATGTTGGCCAGGATGGTCTCGATCTCGTGACCTCGTGATCCACCCATCTCGGCCTCCCAAAGTGCTGGGATGACAGGTGTGAGCCACCGTGCCCGGCCCAGGAGTAGCTTGCATTTCTTAGGGCAAGATATGGTCAGTTGGGGACATGACGCTGCTGGGAGCAGCGGGAATGTTCCACTGGTCCCTGAAGCTTGAGGAGAACCTGACCCAGAGACCTTGTGAAGGGGGAAGGAGAAAGAAATCAGGCCAATAGGCAGGCTACGGAAGGCACCCCCGTATGGAGGCTGAAGATAATGCCCAATCCCACCCCTGCCTGGGCATTTGGCAAAGAGCCCTTTGAGGCGGGACCATCTGAGGCCGTGGCCACTTGTGGATGGAGCAGCGGGTTCTCTGTCCCCGGGTCGAGACCTGACTGGGGCCTCTCGCCCAGTTTTTTGTCCAGGCTTTATCCTGTGTCCTCCTCCTGCCCTTCCTTCCTCCCCACACACACTAGACCGAAAGATGAATCTGGGTTTACTGGCTGTATGGAAAATGTCAGAGTCAGCCTGGGCTTCAGTAGATAGAGCCAGATGTGGTCGGCTCTGTGGTGACCTGATTGATTAATCGGGTGCCACTCCCCTCTTTCTTCATTTTTTTGAGACAGATTTTCACTCTCGTTGCCCAGGCTGGAGTGCAGTGGTGCGATCTCGGCTCACTGCAACCTCCGCCTCCCGGGTTCAAGCAGTTCTCCTGCCTCAGCCTCCCGAGTAGCTGGGATTACAGGTGCTGCCACCACGCCCGGCTAATTTTGTATTTTTAGTAGAGAAGGGATTTCTCCATGTTGATCAGGCTGGTCTCGAACTCCTGACCTCAGGTGATCCGCCCACCTCGGCCTCCCAAAGTGCTGGGATTACAGGCGTGAGCCACCGTGCCTGGCCTCACTCACCTCCTTCTTGTCCCTGCCCTCACCTCTGATGCCTTGGTGTGCCTCTAGGTCACAGGTGGACATGGCACACGTGATTGGGCATCTTGCCTAAGGCTAGCAGGGTCTCCAGGAAGTCTTGGGTGGCTGGGAGGCCTCAGGTAAACCAGAGCCAAGGAAGCTCAGAGTCCTTGTCACTCCGGGCAGCTTGGCTGCTGGACTCCCCGGGGCATCGGTGGAGCTGGTGCTGCCTAGAGAAGCCTGGTATTGAGCAGGGATCTGTGGGCTTACTCGGGGCTGTTGGGGAAGGATGTGGCCATCATTACCTTCGTGGGATTGAAGGGCTGCTTCTGTGAGTGTTCTGGGCTAACCCCTTCCTCCTGGGCAGCGGCTCCTGGTCAGCAGCAAAGGTTTAATGGATCGAGATTACGGGGACCAAAGACGCCGTGTAATTAAGCCAGTTATTTCTCTGGCTGGGAACATCTACTCCTCACAGCCGCAATTGACTTCGTCACTTGTGGTTACCCCGTTCGCGTTACCTCGGGCCTAAACAGCCCATACGTCATCTTTTTGAGGGAGTCTCTCCCTTGGAGGCAAAGTTTTAGGAGAAAGATCCCTCTGGGAGTTGTAGAGTCGGCGTGGCAGTGTGTGCTATTGAAGGTGAAGTTTTAGGAGAGAGACCCCTCTGGGAGTTGTGGGGTCAGCGTGGCAGTGTGTGCTATGCAAGAGTGCCCCCTGCAGTTGTTCTGTGCAATGGCGCCCACGGGAGCCTCTTTGGGAACTGTGTCTGGGTTCTGTAGAGGGACATAGATAGAAACCTCATCCTTGGGTCTCCCAGGATCCTGGGGTCCCGTGAAAAGAAAGTCCATCAGTCCTGATGGATTCATAGAAACTAGTTTTTAATTTGGTTTAGAAAGAATGGAAGAGACAGGCCAGGCACGGTGGCTCACGCCTGTAATCCCAGCACTTTGGGAGGCCGAGGTGGGTGGATCACCTGAGGTCAGGAGTTGGAGACCAGCCTGACCAACATGATGAAACCCCGTTTCTACTAAAATACAAAAATTAGCCAGGCATGGTGGCAGGCACCTAGAATCCCAGCTACTCGGGAGGCTGAGGTAGGAGAATTGCTTGAATCCGGGAGGCGGAGGTTGTAGTGACCTGAGATCACGCTGTTGCACTCCAGCCTGGGCGACAGAATGAGACTCCATCTCAAAATAAATAAATAAATACATAAACAAACTAAATTAATTAATTCAAGGTCGCAGACTACAAGCCAGGGACTGTGCGCTCGGTTGGCCCTGCTGTAAACTGTGTTCTTTCTCCCGCACTCTTACCCTTCACAGCGGTGCTGGTGGGGGCTCCTTGACGCTGGTATTTCACTGAGGTTGATGGATCTGGGTTCATTTCTCTAGCTAGAAAGACAGTTGTGAAGACTGCGTCTTGCCCCCAAGCCCCCGTGATATGAGGAGACAGCCCTCTGCCCCAGGCATCCTGGAAGCACTGGGAGCATCCACCAACTGGGCTGCCTCTTCCTAGGGGCATGAGCCTAAGGAGGTCTCCTCATGGGCACTTGGAGCCCACGTGCCTGCATTGCTGTGTTCCTGGAATTATTGGCAAGAAGTGCTGATTGTTAACATACACAAACACACCCCCCCCCCACACACACACACACAAACACAAACACAAACACACCCCCCCATACAAACACAAACACAGAGAAAGGGAGAGTGAGAATAGACTTTGGCGGTTGGGATGGAGCAGGGCCAGTGCCCAGTTTCTAGAGCGAGGCCAGGGGCGAGGACGCGGGGATTTGGCAGAGCCCAAGCGTGCTGGCCCTGCTCTCCAGCCTTTTAAAATCCACCTCCACATTTCAAAAGGAAAATAAAGAGAGCCCTCAGCCATAAATCAGGCCACTGAGCATCGAGGTCCTTTGCCGAGGCCCAGGGCCTGCTGGGCTGCAGAGCCAGCTGCTGTGTTTGAACTCTCCCGCGCGCAGCATGTTAATGACGGGGCAGACCCTCCAGACCCAGGCTCACACCCACGACGGCCCTCGAGCCCAGAGAGTCCCCCACGGAGAGGTCAGCCCCTGGGGAAGGCCTGTGTCTGGGGGGCTTACACCTTAGCGGAGCCCCCTTTGGCTGGGACTTCAAATCAAGCCAGACCCTTCTGTAGCTCTGGATTCTGGCCAGATGAAAGGTAACCCCTGACACAGATCTTTTGAGCCCATTTCCCAATAGGAATAAAAGTAACAAAGCAATTGATTGGACACCTCACGGGTGCAAGAGTAGAGCGAGCGTTCTCACATTCGTGATCTCATTTCATCTTCACAGTAAACCTATGAAAGGTTGTTACCCTGATTTTAAGGATAAGAAGGGGGATTGGCCATTGTTCTTGGCCTCTGCTGGTGACTTCTGCCATGGGGGGCACCCTGAGGGGGACGCACCAGGTCTTCTCTGCCCTCCTCTGCTCACCCTCTTCCTGCGTGGCGGAAGCTCAGGCATCATCTGGCTTTGTGAGTGCCTCTGTCTAGACAAAACCCACGTCCTCCCTCCCTCCTCTTTCCCCTGCAGGGCCAGCTTTGGTGTTAATGGAGCAGAAAGCCTTGGTAGTTACTTTGCGAGTGCGTCACGGGGAGGGTCATGAGAGACCAGCTGGCGTCCACCCAGCCGCGTGGAACAGCCACCTTGACTTGGTCGAGGCCAGCAAGCGTCTTGCAGACCCCGTGGCAGCTCCTGACCCACGTTCCCCCTTGGGAGGCCTGGATGAGCTGGGGCACCAAGTGCCATCTTTGGGTGTAGAATCTTCAGAAACCAAAGGCAGGAGCTGATTCGGTCTCCTGCTCCCTGGGAAGAAAGGATGGAACGCACATTGGCTGTCAGGAGAGCTGCTGCTTCTAGCCGGAGGACCTTGCTGCAGCTGGTCAGCTGCCAGCACAGCCAGGCCCTTGTTGTGGGTGCCTGCCGTGTCTGTCCTCAAGCCCCTCCCTGAGTGAAGGACACTGTTCCCTTTCCAACTGCCTGTGGCTGTGCTAGACCATTTTCTCTCCTTTGCCCAGAAACCTTCAGTGGGTTCAGTGGGGCATTGCCTTTCCCACCACATTCAGTCCAGACTGGGGGAACCTCTTGTTATCCATTCCAGTTTCCCAGCACACTGCCCATTCTCTAGCCAGTAAGGCCTCTCACCATCCTGCAAAGCTCTGTGCTCCAAGGATCTAACCAGCTTCAAGCCTCAGCTCAGCTACCACCATCTCCAGGAAGTCCTCCAGGCCTGATTCGAGCACTGGCCTTAGTGAGATCCCTGGCTCAGAGTCCCTAATGCTGATTGCTCCGGCTCACATCGCTTAGCACTTTCTTATCTTTTTTTTTGAGACAGAGTCTCGCTCTTGTCGCCCAGGCTGGAGTGCAATGGTGCAATCTCCACAACCTCTGCAGTGCTCACTGCAACTTCCACCTCCGGGTTCCAGTGATTCTCCTGCCTCAGCCTCCCGAGTAGCTGGGATTACAGGTGTGCGCCACCATGCCCGGCTAAATTTGTATTTTTAGTAGAGACGGGATTTCTCTATATTGGTCAGGCTGGTCTCGAACTCCCGACCTCAGGTTATCTGCCCACCTCGGCCTCCCAAAGTGCTGGGATTACAGGCGTGCGCCACCACGCCCGGCTAATTTTTGTATTTTTAGTAGAGACGGGGTTTCACCATGTTGGCCAGGCTGCTTTGAACTCCTGACCTCAAGTGATCTGTCCGCCTCGGCCTCCCAAAGTGCTGGGATTACAGGCGTGAGCGACCCGCCCGGCCGATATCGTGTTGTTTTATAGTGTTTACCTGCACAGTGTTTCATGCCAGTTGTCATTTCTTCTCTGCCAGACTCTCAACTCCTTAGAGGCACGAGGGAGAATAACAAAGGCTTCCGTGATAGGATGCCAGACATTGTCCTCTCTGCTTTGCTAACAGTATCTCATTTAGCCTCCGGCAACCTGCTGAGTTCTTAGCCATTTTTATCCTGTTTCATGCTTCCCCAAGACTTCCCAGAGGTCACACAACACATCTGTCTTGACGCCTCAGCCTGTGTTCTTTGCCAGAAGCGCCCAATGCCAGGGCCTGGGGCATGAGACCTCAGGTTGGGGCCCAGGCCTCTGCATGTCTGAAAAGCTCCTCGGCTTACTCCCTCCGCTCGGGGGACCAGCCTTTCACCATGGTGGTTCTCCCTTCCCCGCAACACCCAGCTAGGCACCGAGCAGGTGGAACCCTGGGAAATGCTGCTTTGTGATTGGTTGGAGTCAGGGGTGGCTATGAAGATGCTGCTTTGTGATTGGTTGGAGTTGGGGGTGGCTATGAAGAGACGAAGTGCTCTAGGGCTCTGGGTGTCTGGATCCAGCACTGGGGATGCCCCGGAGAGTCCTGGAGCAGGGAGGATCCAAGCAGGAGGTGGAGCTGGGTGTTAGGAGGGCAGAAGGGCCATCAGAAGGGGATACTGGAGACATCCAACTGGTGGCCTCTCTCTCCGCCCAGCCAGAGCTCAAGGCTTTGCCTCACCCCGAGAAGATAAATCACTGGGGTATCACGGGGTCCCCCAGCCCCCGTGCCATGATGGACATGCACATTTTGATTTGGCAGGTCCGGAGCTCAGATTCTGCATTTCCTTTGTTTGCTTGTTTGTTGTTTTTGAGACAGAGTCTGGCTCTGTCACCCAGGCTGGAGTGCAGTGGCGCGATCTCAGCTCTCACTGCAGCCTCTGCCTCCCAGTTCAAGCGATTCTCCTGCCTCAGCCTCCCAAGTAGCTGGGACTACAGGCGCGTGCCACCATGCCCAGCTAATGTTTCTGTATTTTTAGTAGAGACAGGGTTACACCATGTTGGCCAGGCTGGTCTCAAACTCCTGACCTCAGGTGATCCGCCCGCCTCGGCCTCCCAAAGTGCTGGGATTACAGGCGTGAGCCCCTGCGCCCGGCCTGGATTCTGCATTTCTAGCAAGTCCCAGGTGAGGCCCGCGCTGCCCACACTGGATGGGAAGGACCAGGCGCCTGCAGCATCTGCCCTCCAAGCCTTCGTAGCTCCCTCCTTCCTGCAGGATAAACTCTAAACTCCTTAGCACAACGTGGGAGCCTTCTCAGAGACTGGGTCCAACCCATCTCCAGCCGCAGCCTCCCCTCCTGGCCCCACTGCCACACCCCCGGGCCTCTGGCCACACTGAGCCTCTCCCGGTTTCCCAGGATACAACACTCGCCCATTCATAGTGTGGTGCCTTTTGCACGTGCTGTTCCTCTGCTTGGGGATGCTGTTGGTCTTTCTCAGCCAGGTGAAGAGGACGCTGAATGTCACCTGCTTGAGTATCAGGACCGGGGACTGGGCACTGGACCTAGACTCTTGGCCCTGGAGAGAAGCCCTGCATGGGGCCGCAGCCTGCCCCCGTCCCTGCTCACAGAAAAGCTCAGCCTTGCAGCCGCGTGGAGTCAGACGACTTGCCTGTCCTGCTTTGAACGTGTGGTGTTCCTACCACCTTTGAGTAAAAATAGAGCTGAGAATGACCGAAGTGAAACTCCACCTTGGGCTCTGGGAGAGCAGAGGTGGGACCGCGCTGGGGAGGGTGGGTGCGGACACTCCGGGGGCGGGGGCTGAGGCCATCTGCGTGGGCTCTGGGAGAGCGGAGGTGGGGACCGCGCTGGGGAGGGTGGGTGCGGACACTCCGGGGGGTGGGAGCTGAGGTCATCTGCGTGGGCTCTGGGGAGGGGGCCCTGTGAGCCGGGCCAAGCTGCCAGGCACTGGGGGTCTACGCCCTGGACTCAGAGAGACCATGGCACCCTCAAGGCTGCTCTCACTTGAAAATTTTCGTTTTGGGGCTGGACATGGTGGCCCACGCCTGTAATCCCAGTACTTTGGGAGGCTGAGGCAGGAGGATCACCTGAGGTCATGAGTTCGAGACCAGCTTGCCTAACATGGTGAAACCCCGTCTCTACTAAAATATACAAAAATTAGCTGGGCGTGGTGGTGGATGCCTGTAATCCCAGCTACTCGGGAGGCTGAGGCAGGAGAATCACTTGAACCCGGGAGGCGGAGGTTGCAGTGAGCTGAGATCACACCATTGCACTCCAGCCTGGGCAACAAGAGCACAACTTCGTCTCAGAAAAAAGAAAAAAAGAAAGTTTTCACTCTGGGCTGTGGAACTATTTCAGGACTTCCTGAGGGGTTTCCTCTGGAGCTTCCTGAGTTTCCTCCTGGACATTTTGTCTCCAGGTCCCAGCGCCAGGCAGGGGTGGCTCCCGGAAGGGCTGTGGGTGCCACCCTGGCTGACTGCAGCCCTCTCTTGCACCTCCTCCCGGCCATCCACCCGCAGGAGGTCTTCCCCCAGCACTGGCTTGTGAGGAGCTCCCTCTGCCCGGGAGAAAATGGCTCCTCCGGGTCACAGGCTCCCCTCCAGCGACTGAGGGGCATTTTTGGATTGTGGGAAGGCGCTCCAGGGCCCGGTTCTGTGGCCCCAGGCCTGTTGCTCGGCTGGGTGGAGGCACCTCTGCAGGCCGGGAGCTTGGTCTTTGAACACCTGCTTAGCCTATGACCTCCAGCAAGTTATTTATGCTCTAGTGAGCTGTGTTTTTCTCACCTTTAGAATGGGAACAATCTTACCAACCACACTGAAAGCACTGCTGAGTTTTTCAGCAAATAAAAATAAGGATGCCCCGTTAAATTAGAATTTTAGATGAACAATGAATAATTTTTAAATATAAGTATATCCCATATGGCTGGGCATATTGGGAGGCCAGGAGGATCACTTGAGGCCAGGAGCTCGAGACCAGCCTGGGCAACATAGAGAGAACTTGTCTGTAATAAAAATACAAAAAATTAGCTGGGAGTGGTGGCAGACACCTGTAGTCCCAGCTCCTACGGAGGCTGAGGTGGGAGGATGGCTTGAGCTGGGGAAGTCGAGGCTTCAGTGAGCTGAGATCATGCCTCTGCACTCCAGCCTGGGCAACAGAGTGAGACCCTGTCTCAAAAAAAGAAAAGTAAGTATATCCCATACAAAACTTAGGACATAGTAGACTGAAAGCTAGTCTGTTGCTCACCCGACGTTCATGTTCACTGGGCGTCTTGCATTTTATCTGTAGACCGAAAGCTTGTCTGTTGCTCACCTGACGTTCATGTTCACTGGGAGTCTTGCAGTTTATCTGGGGTCCCTGAGTCTGGATTCAGTGCTGTGTGTGACACTTTGCCAGGGTCCCACCTAGATGCTCCGACATCCATGTTCACTGGGCGTCTTGCAGTTTATCTGGGGTCCCTGCGTCTGGATTCAGTGCTGTGTGTGACACTTTGCCAGGGTCCCACCTAGATGCTCCGACATCCATGTTCACTGGGCGTCTTGCAGTTTATCTGGGGTCCCTGCGTCTGGATTCAGTGCTGTGTGTGACACTTTGCCAGGGTCCCACCTAGATGCTCCGACATCCATGTTCACTGGGCGTCTTGCAGTTTATCTGGGGTCCCTGCGTCTGGATTCAGTGCTGTGTGTGACACTTTGCCAGGGTCCCACCTGGATGCTCCGACATCCATGTTCACTGGGCGTCTTGCAGTTTATCTGGGGTCCCTGCGTCTGGATTCAGTGCTGTGTGTGACACTTTGCCAGGGTCCGTCCTACCTAGATGCTCCGACATCCATGTTCACTGGGCGTCTTGCAGTTTATCTGGGGTCCCTGCGTCTGGATTCAGTGCTGTGTGTGACACTTTGCCAGGGTCCGTCCTACCTAGATCCTCCGACATCCATGTTCACTGGGCGTCTTGCAGTTTATCTGGGGCCCCTGCGTCTGGATTCAGTGCTGTGTGTGACACTTTGCCAGGGTCCCACCTGGATGCTCCGACATCCATGTTCACTGGGCGTCTTGCAGTTTATCTGGGGCCCCTGCGTCTGGATTCAGTGCTGTGTGTGACACTTTGCCAGGGTCCCACCTGGATGCTCCGACATCCATGTTCACTGGGCGTCTTGCAGTTTATCTGGGGTCCCTGCGTCTGGATTCAGTGCTGTGTGTGACACTTTGCCAGGGTCCCACCTAGATGCTCCGACATCCATGTTCACTGGGCGTCTTGCAGTTTATCTGGGGCCCCTGCGTCTGGATTCAGTGCTGTGTGTGACACTTCGCCAGGGTCCCACCTAGATGCTCCGACATCCATGTTCACTGGGCGTCTTGCAGTTTATCTGGGGTCCCTGCGTTTGGATTCAGTGCTGTGTGTGACACTTTGCCAGGGTCCCACCTAGATGCTCCGACATCCATGTTCACTGGGCGTCTTGCAGTTTATCTGGGGCCCCTGCGTCTGGATTCAGTGCTGTGTGTGACACTTTGCCAGGGTCCCACCTAGATGCTCCGACATCCATGTTCACTGGGCGTCTTGCAGTTTATCTGGGGTCCCTGCGTCTGGATTCAGTGCTGTGTGTGACACTTTGCCAGGGTCCCACCTGGATGCTCCGACATCCATGTTCACTGGGCGTCTTGCAGTTTATCTGGGGTCCCTGCGTCTGGATTCAGTGCTGTGTGTGACACTTTGCCAGGGTCCCACCTGGATGCTCCGACATCCATGTTCACTGGGCGTCTTGCAGTTTATCTGGGGCCCCTGCGTCTGGATTCAGTGCTGTGTGTGACACTTCGCCAGGGTCCCACCTGGATGCGTCTTGCTCATCTTGTGACTTGCTTCTCTCTTTTGTGCCACCCCCTGGCTCCTAGAGGCCAAGCTGAAGAAAAGTTTCTATGGAATTGTCACAGAAACATTGAGATTTTGCTTTTACAGGGTCGATACAGAGTCGACACAAAAAATCACGATGCGATTGATGCAGAGTGGCCAGTGATAATAGCTAACGTTAGCCTAGCGCTTGCTGTGTGTCCTACACTGTTGCAGGCACTTTGTCTGTATTAACTCCCTTATTCTTCACAAAGTCTATGAAGAAGATACTTATCATCTCCAGTTTACAGGAGAGAACAGAGAGGCACAAATTAATGGAGCAAAAGATTAATGTTCATGTTCTTTTTTTTGAGATTGAGTCTCGCTCTGTCGCCCAGGCTGGAGTGCAATGGCAGGATCTCGGCTCACTGCAACCTCCACCTTCTGGGTTCAAGGGATTCTTTTGCCTCAGCCTCCTGAGTAGCTGGGACTACAGGCACCCAGCACCAAGCCCAGCTAATTTTTGTATTTTTATTAGAGACGGGGTTTCACCATGTTGGCCAGGCTGGCCTCAAACTCCTGACCTCGTGATCCACCTGCCTCAGCCTCCCAAAGTGCTGGGATGACAGGTGTGAGCCACTGTGCTTGGCCTAGCCTTTCAAAGTGCTGGGATGACAGGTGTGAGCCGGGGTGCTTGGCCTAGCCTTTCAAAGTGCTGGGATGACAGGTGTGAGCCACTGTGCTTGGCCTAGCCTTTCAAAGTGCTGGGATGACAGGTGTGAGCCACATCCATTAGGGCCCGTCAGGAAGCAGATGCCACACTCAGGCTGAGGAGTGCGGGGAGAGCTATGACGGAAATGTGGGCAGGGTGAGGGCAGGGTCTGTGTCCTAGACCTGGAGGCAGAGGCCATGTGGTGAGGGCTTCTGGGCAGGAGCGTGCACAGCCCGGGTGGCCCACAGTGGGGAGCTGGGGGTACCACATCCCAGCCTCATGCCCTTGTCTTCCTCTCATCTCCTGCTGGGGTGGAAGAGAGGATGGAGAAGCAGGGAGAGGGGATCCGGAGGGGCCCACGCCAGGAAACCAGGCTGTGTCTAGGTGCAGCTGTTCTTGCCGAGTCTCTCCTGTCTGCAAAGTGAGGGTGATAAACGCCTGTCCCACGTATGTCCTGGGGCTGTTGTAAAAATCAGCTGAGAAGCTGGATGCTGGCGACGTGTGTTCACGGCGCTGTTCTCTGCCAGAGTAAGGGATAATTGTTGCTGTTGATAAACACTCACTGGGTCCTCACCACGAACTGAGTCTTTTCACATCCTCAGTTCTGCTGGGAGTCTCTAACCTCTGGAGGATGTGTCGGCAAAGGAAAGAGAAATTGCAACATTGCAGAGCCTGGATTCGAACCCAGCGTCCCCATGTAAAGTCCGTGCAGCACTGGGAGAGTCACTTAATGAGCCTCCGCAGTGAAATGCATCTCCCGGGCTGGTTTGGGGCTCCCAGGGGAATGGGTGCTATGATTACCATTAGCTAGTGGTGTAGCGGGTGGGAGAGGACCTAACAGGTGCCTTCGGCCCAGCTGTAAAAGGAGTGACTTCTGGCCGGGCGCTGTGGCTCACACCTGTCATCCCAGCACTGTGGGAGGCCGAGGCGGGTGGATCACCTGAGGTCAGGAGTTTGAGACCAGCCTGGCCAACATGGTGAAACCCTGTCTCTACTAAAAATACAAAAATTAGCTGGGTGTGGTGGTACACGCCTGTAATCCTAGCTACTAGAGAAGTTGAGGCAGGAGAATTGTTTGAACCCTGGAGGCGGAGATTGCAATGAGCCAAGATCATGCCAGTGCACTCCAGCCTGGGCTACAGAGTGAGACCTCATCTCAAAAAAAAAAAAAAAAATAGTGACTTTGACCGGGCACGGTGGCTCACACCTGTTATCCTAGCACTTTGGGAGGCAGAGATGGGAGGATTGCTCGAGACTAAGAGTTCAAGACCAGTCCGGGCAACATATCAAGACCCTGTCTCTACAAAAAAATTTTAAAAAATTAGCCAGGTGTGGTGGAATGCCCCTAGAGTCTAAGCTACTTGGGAGGCTGAGGTGGGAGGATCATGTGAGCCCAGGAGTTTGAGCTTACAGTGAGCTGTGATCACATTCTGCACTCTGGCCTGGGCAAAGGAATGAGACCTTGTCTTAAAAAAAAAAAAGACTGGACTTGTGGGTGACGGGGATTTCCAACAAAACCTTCCCAGGATAGGTGCTGGGAAGGAGATGAGACTCAGAAAAAAAAAAAAGACTGGACTTGTGGGTGACGGGGATTTCCGACAAAACCTTCCCAGGATAGGTGCTGGGAAGGAGATGAGACTCAGACACCCCAGCCTTGTATCCCTGAGAAGGGATGGTGTCCTTGGAACGGGAATCCACATAGATATTTAGCAGGCAGGGCGGTCCAGCGACACCTGCCCGCTTCCCTCAGAAGGCACCGTCTGCAGCACTCGTACAGGTGGCGGGGCCAGAGAGCAAGGCTCGATGGAGTGACGTTGCCTCCACCGCACGGGCGTCCCACCTTGGGAGATTTCCGTATCGCTGAAGTTCCCTTTGTGGAGCGTGGCCTCTGTGAAAAGTGTTAATAATTCACGGTAGAATAGGTTCTCAGATGCGCCACGTCTGTCCTCCCCCACTTCTTCAACAGAGAATGGCAACACCTCCATTAACCTGAATGTGAGCTCCTCGGGGGTGGCCCTGGCTGAGTCATCTGCGCCGCCTCCCTCCCCAGAGCCTCGTACGCGCTCGGCGTCTGGCTGTCGTGTGAACTCAGCTCCACAGGGCAGACATTTGGTCTGTTTGCTGCTCCGTCGTACCCCTGGCACCTGGAACAGTGCCTGAACCATGAGAAGTGTTTGGTGAGTGAATGAATGAATGAAAAATGAATGAACGGACATTCACTGGGATTCAGTTCTCCTTAGAGTCAGAGAGACGTAGGTGTCAATGCTGGTTGCATGAAGCTGTTACATCTTTGAGCCTGTTTCCTCATCTGAATTTGGGGTGTAATTCCTACTGACTGTACAGTTGCAGAGCTGACATTTCATGAACTTTGCTTAAATAATGTGTGAGTGCCTGGCCCATAAGAGGCTGTGTTAGTCCTTTTGTGTGTGTGTGTGTGTGTGTGGTTTTTTTTTGTTATTGTTTTTTGTTTTTGAGACAGAGTCTTGCTCTGTCGCCTAGGCTGGAGTGCAGTGGTGTAATCTCAGCTCACTGCAGCCTCCACCTCCTGGGTTCAAGCAATTCTTGAACCTTGTACCAGAGAGGAGAGGTACAGCGGCCCTAGACCCCAGGGCTCTGCTCCTATTGGTGTAAGTGTTTCCTCCTGCGCCCTACCTCCCTGTCTCCAGGCAGGGCCTGCTGTGGGTCCCTCTCCTCTCAGCCCCAAGGGACCTGTTCCCTCCAGAAGGCACCTCCCCAAGCGGCGGCAGCGTCACGTGTGAGGCCTGCAGTTCAGGGCCAGCATCCCTCATCCCTCGCCGAGATCAGGCCCTGGAGGGGCTCCCACAGGTCTGACTCAAAGGCACAGGTCCCTGGGCCTCCCTCCTCAGCATCGTGGACCCACGACCAAGGACGTGGAAGGGATTCTGAAGATTAATGGTCGTAAGTGTCACTGGCTTTTACTGAGTGCTTCCTGTGTGTGAGTACTGCGTTCCTACTTCTCCTGTGTGTGAGTACCGCATACTTCCCTTGTGCGTGAGTACCGCATTCCTACTTCTCCTGTGTGTGAGTACCGCATACTTCCCTTGTGCGTGAGTACTGCATTCTTACTTCTCCTGTGTGTGAGTACCACATACTTCTCCTGTGTGTGAGTACCGCATACTTCCCTTGTGCGTGAGTACCGCATTCCTACTTCTCCTGTGTGTGAGTACCGCATACTTCCCTTGTGCGTGAGTACCGCATTCTTACTTCTCCCGTGTGTGAGTACCGCATTCTTACTTCTCCTGTGTGTGAGTACCGCATACTTCCCTTGTGCGTGAGTACCGCATTCTTACTTCTCCTGTGTGTGAGTACCGCATACTTCCCTTGTGCGTGAGTACCGCATTCTTACTTCTCGTGTGTGAGTACCACATACTTCTCCCGTGTGTGAGTACCACATTCCTACTTCTCCCGTGTGTGAGTACCGCATTCTTACTTCTCCTGTATGTGAGTACCGCATTCTTCTCTTGTGTATGAGTACTGCATTCCTACTTCTCTTGGACTCCTGAGAGTTCCATGACTAAGACAGTAGTTTAATATAGTTGGTTTCCTTTGTCATCCTGCATAGTTTAGTTTTACGCATTTCAAAACATTCTTCAGAGAAAGGTCCCTTGGCTTCACCAGGCTGCTGTGGGTCCAAGGCACGAAAGCATGAAGAGTCTCTGCTCATCGCCAGAGGACTGTGAGTCCCAAACAGGCTCCCTGTAGTCTGAACAGGCTTCAGCCTTCTCTGGGTAATCCTAGGCTGTGGTTACAACGGTGGCTTTGGCTGCACTGGGAGGCAGGAGATCTGGGTTTTTATTCTACCTCCGCCACTCCCATGCCAGCCCTCTGTGTCCTCAGCTGTGAAATGTAAGGGTTGGACTAGCCCTACGCACTTTTGATTCCTTTTTTTTTTTTAAGACAGAGTCTTGCTCTGTCACCCAGGCTGGAGTGCAGTGGCACGGTCTTGGCTCATTGCAACTTCCAACTCCCAGGTTCAAGCAATTCTCCTACCTCAGCCTCCCGAGTAGCTGGGACTACAGGTGCCCACCATCACGCCTGGCTAATTTTTGTATTTTTAGTACAGACAAGGTTTCATCATGTTGGCCAAGCTGGTCTTGAACTCCTGACCTCAGGCGATCTGCCTGTCTCGGCCTCCCAAAGTGCTGGGATTACAGGTGTGAGCCACCGCACCCAGCCATTTTCTGTGTTATATGTGAAATGTAGCAATATGCAAAACAGCACATACAATGTCTGGGTTTGGTTTACTAAAGACTAACGAGACGGCTGGGCGCGGTGGTTCACGCCTGTAATCCCAGCAGTCTGGGAGGCCGAGGCAGCTGGATTGCCTGAGTCCAGGAGTTTGAGACCAGCCTGGGCAACATGGCGAAACTCCATCTCTACTTTAAAAAAAATAAATAAATACAAATTTAAAAAAAGAATAAAAAGAAGAAGAATTACATTGTAAGCATGTTCCTGTGAGCTGCCCTTTTCTGGTTAAATTTATGTTTTTAGGTTCATCTTCGCTCCTGCCTGTAGCTCTAAACTGTGCACCGTCAAAGCTGCCTGGAATTCCATTGCAGGAATAAATGGCGGCTTACTCAGGGGTGGTCACGCTCCTTCCACCTGTTGGAAGAGAATCCATAGTGGAAAATCATTTCATGCTGCAACGCGACACACATACGTACATCTGCACACACACATATACCCATGCACGCTTGAAATGAGCCTCATAAAGTAATACCTGCCCTTATTAGGCGAGATAATCCTTTTCAATCCATTCTAGAAGGTGACCTACCAAACTGCACGATCCCTTCCTAGGCTGACCTGCAGCATGAATGATACGGGGCTGAGTGCACCCCATCGTGGGTCTGCCTGGGTGCGCCTGAGGTTCTGTGCCTGGCAGGCAGGCTCAGGTCATGGTCCTGCTGATCCCACCAGGCTGTCCGCACGCATTGGCGTGAGAGCGGTGTGCCTGCCGGTTCCTTTCCTTCATCTGCCGGGATTGTTGGCTTCCCCCTGTTCCGCTGGGCGTGTTCCAGCAGCGGCTCTTCCCTTGTAGTTGCTGCTTCTCAGGGCCTGTGGCCTGAGGGACCAGCCCCCTAGGCATGTTAGAACTGTGTGCACTGAGGTCGGGCGCGGTGGCTCACGCCTGTAATCCCAGCACTTTGGGAGGCCGAGGCAGGCAGATCACATGAGGTCAGGAGTTCGAGACCAGCCTGGCCAACATGGTGAGACCCTGTCTCTATTAAAAATATAAAAATTAGCCGGGCGTGGTGGCGCACACCTGTAATCCCAGCTATTTGGGAGGCTGAGGCAGGAGAATTACTTGAACCCGGGAGGTGGAGGTTGCAGTGAGCTAAGGTTGCACCTTTGCACTCCAGCCTGGGCGACAGAGTGAGACTTCATCTCAAAAAAAAAAAAAAAAAAGTAATGTGCGCTGTAGCACGACTGACTTAGTAGCAAGAGAGGGTAGTGTCTGAGACCAGACTGCCCGGGTTCCAAGCTTTGCCACTCAGCAGCTGTGTGACCTTGGGCCAGTCATCTGACCTCTCTGAGCTTCGGTTTCCTCATCCGTAAAATTGAGATAATATTAGTGCCTGCCTCCTGGCGCGGTGTGAGGCTGCGGTGAGTTAACTTATCGTATGTGTGTGTGGACTGTTGTTATTACTGAGCCTGCCTGTGCGTCAGAGCCTGACATTGATCTAATTCTTTGCTGGTATCCCTGGACACAGTGGCTGTGTTGAAATGAGCTCAAAACCCTCGGCTAAAAGGAGGTTGGAGGTGGACGGAAGAGCCACTTCTCAGGCTGCCTGTATTCAGATCCCAGCCTCACCATTAAGTAACTACGTGACTATGAGCAAGTTAGTCCATCTCCCTGTGCCTCAGTTTACTCCTCTATGAAATGGGGATAATAGTGGAACTCACTATTCACCAAGTAATTGTTAAGAGGATTACATAAGATAATGCACATAAAGCTTTTTTTTTTTCTTTTTGAGACAGAGTCTCTCTCTGTCACCCAGGCTGGAGTGCAGTGGCACGATCTCCACTCACTGCAACCTCCGCCTCCCGGGTTCAGGTGATTCTCCTGCCTCAACCTCCCAAGTAGCTGGGATTGTAGGTGTGCGCCACCACGTCTGGCTAATTTTTGTATTTTTAGTAGAGACGAGTTTTCACCACGTTGGCCAGGCTGGTCTTGAACTCCTGGCGTCAGGTGATCCTTCCACCTCGGCCTCCCGAAGTGCTGGCATTGCAGGCGTGAGCCACCACAGCATTTAGCTCTGCCGTCTACCCGGCTACCCAGCCAGGAACTCAGGAGAGGCCTTTTTTTTTTCTTCACATGAAAAGAGGTTTATTTTCTCACTGGACACTGTCGCCCATGTGAAGGGAGCAGCCACCTGGCCCCAGGTTCCCTCTCAACAAAGGCTCAGTCCTCAGAATGGCTCCTCATGAGCCCCCTGCAGCCGGAGGCCTAGGCTCTTCCCCACAGCATGTGCCCCTTAGATACCCGTCTGCCCTCTGGTGTAGGCTGGTGGGCATGGGTGTCTGAATTTGGGTCCCCACAGCACCCCCATTGAGGATCACAGTGTTGGAGTTGAACCTGGGGCCACCTGGGTACCAGGACACTGTGCTCCACGGTGAGCACCTCTCCTGTCCCTCGATGGCCAGCAGGATCTGGTCACCCACCTACCTGCCACCCTATCCTTTTTTTTTTTTTTTTTTTTTTTGAGACGGAATTTCGCTCTTTTGCCCAGGCTGGAGTGCAATGGCGCAATCTCGGCTCACTGCAACCTCCGCCTCCTGGATTTTCCTGCCTCAGCCTCCCGAGTAGCTGGGATTACAGGCACCTGCCACCACGCCTGGCTAATTTTTGTAGTTTTAGTAGAGACAGGGTTTTACTATGTTGGTTAGGCTGGTCTCAAACTCCTGACCTTGTGATCTGCCCGCCTCGGCCTCCCAAAGTGCTGGGATTGCAGGTGTGAGCCACTGCGGCCGGCCTAGATGTCTTTTTATCGTTGAGTTGTAAGATTTTTAAAATATAGTCTAGATATGTTTTCTTCCCCTCTGCACATTGTCTTTTCACTTTCTTGATGGGGTCCTTTGAAGCAAAGAACTGTTCATTGATGACGTGCGGTTCCCCCGTGCTCTCTGTTGCTTGTGCTTCTGGTGTCGTATGTAAGAATCCTTTGCCAAGTCCAAGACCATGAAGATCTACCCCCAGGTTTTCTTCTACATGTTGTTTAGCTTTAGCTGTTACATTTAGGTCTTTGATCCATTTAGAGTTATTTTTTGAATATGGTAGAAAGTAAAAGTTCAACTTTTACATGTGGCAATCTGGTTGTCCCAGCACCATTTGGTGAAAAGATTCTTCTTTCCCCATGAAGGGTCTTGGTGCCCTTGTTGACAATCCGTCGACCATAGATATGTGGGTTCCTTTCTGGACTCACTCAACGTGACTCCGTGGATCTGTGTGTCTGGAAAGATGCCCCCAGCCTGACAGTTTACCTTCTTTGCCCATCTGCTCCAGTCATCCTGGAGGCTCCCATAGTACACATTGCTGGGACATCCCAGAGCTGAACACCATCTCTCAAGTGGCCTCAGAGCTAATCACTTCCCACAGGCATCGAGGCGACCACAGAGAGGGCCCAGTGTGACTGGCTGGCCCCCAGGGCGCCCGGGAAGGGATCTGCAGATCCCTCCTCCTGGCACAGCGTCCTGGCAGGAGGCATGGTCCCAGAGCAGGCCCTGTTTGTGCTGAGGCCCCGCCAGGATTGGGTGGATGCCTTGGTGAGGGCCAGGTAGGAGGGAACAAATGCAGGGTGGGAAGTGGCTGCTGGAATGGGGAAGGGAGCGGGGCCTGCAGGAGGGAAGCATTCTTGGCACTAGTGGCATCGTCACCAGGACACCGGCCTTGGGAGGGCGAGCACTACATCCATGGGTAGGCGCCGGAGCCCTGAGGACACGGCATTGCCAAGCTCTTGTCCTGTGGCTTCCTTCCCTGTGTCCGCAGTGTGTGGGGGGTGGGCGGGCAGGCAGGACGAGGTGACCCCCATCCTTTCTGTGTGCTCGTTCCATGAAATTGGGGGATGTGGATGCTTGAACGGGCTCTCAGCTAGTGTGCCTTCCGTGCAGAGGAGGTAACACTCCCCAGGGCAGCCAGACACCCTTGTGGAGTGGGATGGAAAGCTGGGAGGAAGGGGCTGGCCGGCACCATGGAGATATTTTGGTTTGCAGGAGGATTCTGGGCTTTATGAGCACTTTAATGCAACCAGGGCAGGCAGCACCACGGGACGGGAACTGTAAGCTGCACCTGTTGAATTCTGAAGGTCCGGGCTGCCCGTGGGCCCCGGGAAGTGGGGGTGCCCAGCTTGTGGGGTGCAGGCGGGGAGGGGACCGTGTGGTGGTGGAGACGCCATGGTACAGCCTGTCTCCCGATCCCCCAGGTCCCCTGAGGCCTTAGAGATGAATCTCCCAGAAGTGGCAGCCGCGGCAGGGACACCAGGATCATGAAGGACCTGGGAGGTGAACCCGCTGCTCAGTTCCTGGCCCTCGCCCCTTAGACCCAGTCCTCGGAGCAGAACTGGGGGAAGCTGAGATTTCTGTGGGCTGCGTGCCCACCTCCTCCCTCTTCGTTGGTCCTCCCACGCGCCCGCCCCCGAGTGGGAGCAGAGCCATGTGAGCTGAGTTGGAGCTGCTCGCTGCCGAGAATTGCATCAGCCCCGCCTGGCAGGCTGGAGCGGGAGCCTGTTGCTATGGTGACCACCAGGCTTCAAACCAGTGAGAAGGATGAGATGGTTGCCGGGCGAGGTTTTCTCACCATGTGATGCGTGTGACAGGCTGACAGGTTCGGTAGACCTGGACCCAGCCCTCCCGCAGGTGTGCCTGGATCCCCAGCCCTCCCGCAGGTGTGCCTGGACCCCCAGCCCTCCCGCAGGTGTGCCTGGACCCCCAGCCCTCCCGCAGGTGTGCCTGGGTCCCCAGCCCTCCCGCAGGTGTGCCTGGACCCCCAGCCCTCCCGCAGGTGTGCCTGGACCCCCAGCCCTCCCGTAGGTGTGCCTGGACCCCCAGCCCTCCCGCAGGTGTGCCTGGACCCCCAGCCCTCCCGCAGGTGTGCCTGGACCCCCAGCCCTCCCCGCAGGTGTGCCTGGACCCCCAGCCCTCCCGTAGGTGTGCCTGGACCCCCAGCCCTCCCGCAGGTGTGCCTGGATCCCCAGCCCTCCCCGCAGGTGTGCCTGGACCCCCAGCCCTCCCGTAGGTGTGCCTGGACCCCCAGCCCTCCCGCAGGTGTGCCTGGATCCCTAGCCCTCCCGCAGGTGTGCCTGGACCCCCAGCCCTCCCGCAGGTGTGCCTGGACCCCCAGCCCTCCCGTAGGTGTGCCTGGACCCCCAGCCCTCCCGCAGGTGTGCCTGGATCCCTAGCCCTCCCGCAGGTGTGCCTGGACCCCCAGCCCTCCCGCAGGTGTGCCTGGACCCCCAGCCCTCCCGTAGGTGTGCCTGGACCCCCAGCCCTCCCGCAGGTGTGCCATCTGCTGGGGGGCATGATGGGCACTGTCCCAAAAGCCATCTGGGCATTGGCCAGGCTGGGGGGTATGACTGAGGGACACAGGGGGCCACACCAGGCCCATGTAGTGTCAGGGGGCCTTCCTTGGTCCTTCTGCCTAGTTATGGGGGAAGGGGTATGGTGGGGATTTGACCAAGTGCACCTGATGATGGGGCAAGAAAGGGGTCCAGACTGGTCCCCATCTCCCAGAACAGAGGGCGGCTCTGGATCACAGCTGATTAAACCTGCCCAGGCTGTGTCAAAAATTTTTTTTTTAACGGAGTTTCACTCTTGTTGCTCAGGCTGGAGTGCAATGGTGCAATCTCGGCTCATTGGTTCAGGCGATTCTCCTGCCTCAGCCCAAGTAGCTGGGACTACAGGCGTGCACCACCATGCCTGGCTAATTTTGTATTGTCTGTAGAGACAGGTTTCACTGTGTTGGCCAGGCTGGTCTCAAACTCCTGACCTCATGTGATCCACCCACCTCGGCCTCCCAAAGTGCTGGGATTACAGGCATGACCCACCGCGCCCGGCCTGTGTCAGAATTTTTTTTGTTAACCACGTGACAAAGCTCATCATCTTGCTAAAGATAACAGAGCGCTTGGCCAAGCCAGTGCAATGCCTGGGTTCAGATCTCCTCTCTCATCTTTTGCCTACAACGGGAAAGGAGGTAAAAAGTCTGTGTTCCAGGTGTGCTGAGCACTTGTTGTGTGCCGGGAGTTGTAGTAGACACTGTCCTGTCTTTTTTTTTTTTTGAGACAGAGTTTCACTCTTGTTCTCCAGGCTGGAGTGCAGTGGCGCGATCTCGGCTCACTGTAACTTCCACCTCCTGGACTCAAGTGATTCTTCTGCTTCAGCCTCCCGAGTAGCTGAGATTACAGGCACGCACCACCACGCCCGGCTAATTTTTTGTATTTTTAGTAGAGATGGGGTTTCCCCATGTTGACCAGGCTGGTCTCAAACTCCTGACCTCAGGTGATCCACCCACCTCAGCCTCCCAAAGTGCTGGGATTACAGGCATCAGCCACCAGCCCAGCCTGTCCTGTCTTTTTTTTTTTTTTTTTGAGACAGAGTCTCGCTCTGTAGCCCAGGCTGGAGCGCAGTGGCGCGATCTCGGCTCACTGCAAGCTCTAGGTTCACGCCATTCTCCTGCCTCAGCCTCCCGAGTAGATGGGACTACAGGCACCTGCCACCACACCTAGCTAACTTTTTTGTATTTTTAGTAGAGACGGGGTTTCCCCGTGTTAACCAGGATGGTCTCGATTTCCTGACCTCGTGATCCACCTGCTTTGGCCTCCCAAAGTGCTGGGACTACAGGTGCTCACCACCACGCCTGGCTAACTTTTTTGTATTTTTAGTAGAGGCGGGGTTTCCCCGTGTTAGCCAGGATGGTCTCGATCTCCTGACCTCGTGATCCACCTGCTTCGGCCTCTCAAAGTGCTGGGACTACAGGCGCTCATCACCACGCCCGGCTAACTTTTTTGTATTTTTAGTAGAGACGGAGTTTCCTCGTGTTAGCCGGGATGGATGTCCTGTCTTTCTATTGTATCCTCTCCCTCACTTGGGGAGGAGGCAGTGATGTTCCTGTTTTGCAGAAGAGCCGGATCGGGCAGCCAGAGAGTTGAAGTGACCTGCCCAAAAAGGGTTCAACCTAAATCCTTGGGCTTCCTGTCCAGGGCTCTGTAGGATGTCAGCCATCCCCAGAATCAGGCATTCTCAGGATGTCCTGTGAAGAAACACACTTCTCCATCCCCTGCTGGAAAAACCATGACAATCTCTCCGCAGGGAAGAACGCGGCTTTGAGGTGGGGAGTGGCTGACCGAGGCCCTTTGTGGTTTCTAAATGGCAGAATGAGAGAGGTGGGGGCGTTGAGGGTGTCACGCCCAGGAAGCAGTTGGGGAGGGCAGGGCTGGACACTGACCAAGCCTAGCCTGGGTGCAGGAACTGAGCTTGGGATTTTTGCTTGGGGCCCTCTAGGGATTAGGATGAATTGTCAGATGAGTTCTCAGCAGACAGGGCTTTAGGGAACTGGTCCAGGGAAATAAGACGTAGAGCCAGAGGGGAACCAGGGCCTCTGTGAGAGCCTGGCAGTCATGAGATCTGACTTGCTGAGCTTCTGAGGTGTGGTAATAGGAACTAATCCTCTCTTCGGTGTGCTTTAGATGTTTACTCGTTTCATCCTCACAGAAACCCTGTGAACTTGGGTGCTACTGTTACTCCATGTTGAAGGTAAAACAGAGGCACAGAGAGGTTATGTGACTTGCCCAAGGTCACACAGCTGGTAAGGGGTGGAGCCTGTGATTCAGACCCAGTCAGTCTGGCTGCAGAGCATGAGCTCTGAATCAAATGTTCTCCTGCCTCCATTCTTACCTTTTAGAAAGATGACAGCAAGTTGCATACGTGACCTCCTCACCCCCAGGAGTGTGTGTGTGCACATGTGTATATATATGCACACATACGCGCACCAGTAGCTCAGCAAGGGAGGGAGGCTCAGGAATGGGCTCGTGGGCCTCTGTGTGTTGATGGCTGGGTTTGCAGAACCTAGGGAGTCCGGCGTCTGTGTGCGTGATGCTCCTCCCTTCGTCCCTCCCTGCTCGCGTGGTTCCCAGTGGGTGGGGTGCCCTGTTGCCTCTGGTTTAGAGCCGTGCAGGATGTTACCACAGACCGTGTACCAGGAGTGTTCACCCAAACTTGTGAAGGGCCCTGGACTCCCAGGAAGGAGCTCAGATCTAGGACTGGGAGTGGACGGCGGCCGCCGGAGGAGTGAGAGGGGGCAGTGCGCTTGCCATGCCCGGGGCCCGTCCTCCTGGGCCTCTCTCGGCGCTTGGGCAACCTGTGTATTGCCCACACGTGTGCCGCTGCTTGCAGCTCCTGGCCACCACCCTCCTCTTTGTGTCTGGACGAATCTGACTGCTCTGAGCACCTCTTCAGAGTGGAATCATACAGGACAGTGTCTACCGCAACTCCCAGCACACAGCAAGTGCTCAGCACACCCGGAACACAGACTTCTTACCTCCTTTCCCATTGTGGGCAAAAGATGAGAGAGGAGATCTGAGTGCAGACATCGCGCTGGCTTGGCCAAGTGCTCTGTTATCTTTAGCAAGATGAAGAGCTTTGTCAGGTGGGTAACAAAAAAAATTCTGACACAGGCCGGGCGCGGTGGCTCACGTCTGTAATCTCAGCGCTTTGAGAAGTGTGTCAGCCCTTGAGAAGACACCGGGCAAGCTGGCCTTCCTCTCGGTGTCTCTCCCAGGCCGGGACTATGGGGAGAAATCATAACAACAGGGACAACAGCAGTGACAACGTCAGTGACGACAATAACAGCCACTAACGTTATACCACGTGCCAGGCCCTGTTCTTAGAACTTCGCCTGGACTAACTCATTCAACTGTCACAAAAGCTGCATGGGATGATGTTGTTATGTTATTATCTTCATTTGACAAATGAGGACACTAAAGCACAGAGAGATGAAGCAACTTGCCCCAGGACACACAGCTAAAACTGGGAGTGGAATTCGGAGAGCCTGGCTCCTGGCATTTGGAGCTGACAGGTGCCCGGCAACCCCTACCTATGGCCGAGCTGAGCTCGTCTTGTGCCAGGGAGTTGGCGGCAAAACAGAAATGAGCTCTGGGCCGGGCACAGTGCCTCACGCCTGTAACCCCAGCACTTTGAGAGGCTAAGGTGGGTAGATCACCTGAGGTCAGGAGTTCGAGACCAGCTGGCCAACATGGTGAAACCCCATCTCTACTAAAAATACAAAAATTAGCTGGGTGTGGTGGTGCATGCCTGTAATCCCACCTACTCGGGAGGCTGAGACAGGAGAATCTCTTGAACCCGGGAGGTGGAAGTTGCTGAGATCACACCACCGCACTCCAGCCTGGGTGACAGAGTGAGATTCTGTCTCAAAAAAAAAAAAAAAAACTAAAACCAGAAATGAATTCTGGAGGTGGGATCTTCCTTTGTAATTCAGAAGGTGACTCCCAACCCCTCTTCAGAAGCTGGGTGGGCTCCAGGCCTGGTTCAGCCCCCTGGCCTCCTGTCGATACCCATGGGGGGGTCTCTGTCCCTGGTATTACTCCTTTCCTGTCTACTTTTTTTTTAAATTTAGATTTTATTCTATTTTTTTAAATTATGGCAAAATAGGCCGGGCGCTAGGTAGCTCACGCCTGTAATCCCAGCACTTTGGGAGGCCGAGGTGGGTGGACCACGAGGTCAGGAGATCGAGACCATCCCGGCTAACACGGTGAAACCCCGTCTCTACTAAAAATACAAAAAAATTTAGCCAGGCATGGTGGCAGGCACCTGTCGTCCCAGCTACTTGGGAGGCTGAGGCAGGAGAATGGCGTGAACCCAGGAGGCGGAGCTTGCAGTGAGCCGAGATGGCGCCACTGCACTCCAGCCTGGGTGACAGAGTGAGACTCTGTCTCAAAAAAAACAAAAACAAAAACAAAAAACAAAAGAAAATCATGGCAAAATACACATGCCTAAAATTTTCCATCCAGTGTACGCATCAGTGGCCCGAGGCACGTTCACACTCTGGTGCGGCCATCAGCACCGTCATCTCCGGAACTCTCACCTGGCTAAACTGAGACTCCGCATCTGTGAAACCAGCGCACCAGGGACCGGCTTCGTGGAAGACACTTTTTCCACGGACCGGGGAAGGGTGGGGAGCGCTTTCGGGATGGAACTGCGATCCCTCGCACGCGCAGATCACGACAGGGCTCACGCTCCTACGAGAACCTAATGCCGCTGCTGCTCGGATGGGAAGTGGGGTTCAGGGGGTGACGCTTGCTCACCCACCACTCACCTCCGGCTGTGCATCCTGGTTCCCAACAGGCCACGGACTGGTGCCGGTCCATGCCCGGGGGGGCTGGGGACCCCTGTATTGAACAACAGCTCCCCGTTTCTCCAGCCCCCAGCTCCTGGCCACCACCCTCCTACTTTCTGACTTGATGAATCTAACTGCTCTAAGCACCTCATCCGAGTGGAATCATGTGGTATTTGCCTTTCTGTGACCAGCTTCTTTCACGTAGCCTAATGCCCCCAAGGTTCATCGATGTCAGAATTGGCCTGTGTCGGAATATAAGCCGAATAATATCCGTTTTATGTAAAGGCCGCGTTTTGTGTATCCATTCATCCACCCATAGACACTTGAGGTGTTTCTGTTTTTTGGCGAGTGTCAATAATGCTCTTAGGAATGCGGGTATTTCCCCGACAACCTTTGGGCTTACTTCACTCATCAGCAGCAAGCAGGCCATCCTTGAAGCTTACCGTGGGGTGGGCCCATTGACCAGCCTGGGGAGAGTGGGTGGGTCATTGACCAGCCTGGGGCCATCATGCTGGCTGGGAAGGCGTGGCCCTCAGGTGCCAGCTTCTACCCAACACTAAGCCGTTGGTGCTCCTGGCACTTACTTACTTGCTGGAAGACATTCCACCTTGCTTTCCCGTCTTTCCCCAGAAGAGGGTGCTGGGTTTCTGCTTCTCTCCTGAATGGGAAAAGGGCGGCTGCAGCTTGCCATGAGGCTGGCGTGGGTGGGGTTAGGAGAAAGGACTGTCAGGTGCTGTGTTGGGAAGTGTGTGTGGAGCTTCCGTGAGGCTGGGGTTGGCCTTCTGAGCATACATGGAAGGGCTGAGTGGGAGCAGGGTGTTAGGGTAGCCGGTCATGCCGTAGAACCAAATTAATGCTGAAGGCCGGGCGTGGTAGCTCACACTAATCCCGGCACTTTGGGAGGCTGAGGCGGGTGGGTCACCTGAGGTCAGGAGTTTGAGACCAGCCTGGCCAACATTGGGAAATCCCATCTCTACTAAAAATATAAAAATTAGCTGAGTGTGGTAGTGGGTGACTGTAATCCCAGCTACTCAGGAGGCTGAGGCAGGAGACTCACTTGAACTCAGGAGGCAGAGGTTGCAGTGAGCCGAGATTGTGCCACTGCACTCCAGGCTGGGCGACAGAGTGAGACTCTGTGTCAAAAAAAAAAAAAAACAACCAAAACCCCCCACAAATTACTGCTGAAATCCTCATCACTTAACACAAGCAAGCTGCTGCTTGCTCACAGTGGTCCTGGTAGACGGGGGGCTCTGCTCCCCGTGGTCATGCCGGGACCCAGCCTGATGGAGACTGCACCATTTGGAATATGTGGCCTCCAAGGGTCACAGAGGGAGGAGAAAGGGAGAAAGAGCTGTGTGTAATTTTTCACTGTTCAGCCGTGAAATGATACTTGTCATGTCCACTTACAGTTTGTTAGCCAGGACTGAGCACCTGGCCCTGCCCAGGGACTGCCAAGTGGCCAGACAGTACGGCCTTCCATGTGCCCAGAAAGACAGGAGGATGGGGATATTGCTGGGCACTGGTCGTGTTGACCACATAGTGGCAGGTGGCTTATGTGAAGGATGAAGGCCCTTGAGCCTGCTCTGTGGCCAGGGCAGTGGTGTCATGGTGGCAGTGGTGGCAGTGGCGGCAGTGGTGTCATGTGGCAATGGTGGCAGTGGTGGCAGTGGTGGCCTGGTGGCAGTGGTGTCGTGTGGCAGTGGTGGCCTGGTGGCAGTGGTGGCCTGGTGGCAGTGGTGTCATGTGGCAGTGGTGGCAGTGGTGTCGTGTGGCAATGGTGGCAGTAGTGGCAGTGGTGGCATGGTGGCAGTGGTGTCGTGTGGCAGTGGTGGCCTGGTGGCAGTGGTGGCATGTGGCAGTGGTGGCATGTGGCAGTGGTGGCAGTGGTGTCATGTGGCAGTGGTGGCATGGTGGCAGGTGTCTGGGCACTGAAGGGACTTGGGTGTAACTGACTTCTAGGGGAAGTGGCAGAATCATGGTCATCTTCATGTGCCCCGCACTGTGCTGAGCTGTTTACAGACGTCATCTCATGGAATCCCCACAACAATCCTATCATTCCGTTTCACCTTTGGGGAAGCCAGAGCTCAGGACCACAGCCTCCAAGTGATGGCTGTGCTTGCTGGTAGGAGGGTGCTTATGGCAGCAGAGAGGCCGGGGGCTGAATGGAGTGTGGGGGCCAGAGGTGGTGGGGCCACAAGGATGTGATGTGTGTGTGTGTGTGTGTGTGTGTGTGTGTGTGTGTGTGTGTCTCCATGTGCCTGCGTGGATAGAAACAAGCAGAGACAAGCTGGCTGGGCTTTTGCCCTTCCCCAGCTCCGCGCACACCTAGCTTTGCACCACTCTGGAGGAATGGTGACGTCGAATGTCCAAGGAAGAGGCTAACCTGGGCACGTCCTCTTACCTGCCCTCCTTGAATGACACAAGACATTGGAAGTGGAAGTCACAGTCACCGGTGCTCTGGAGCTGGGAGTGGGGAGAAGGAGGTGACTTTTGAGGCACTCTGTGACAGCCCAGTTCAACAGTAGAATTATGTTTAAGGCCCAGGAAGGCTCTGGGTGGAGAGCCAGCATTTTGAGCCGAAGGCCAGTGAACGTGGCCACCCAGCAGCACTGGGCAGAGGTGCGGCTGCTTCTGCAGGTGTATGTGTGAAGGGGTGCAAGTGGACGCCTTGGGCGACTTCTGCGGACAGGGGCAGGAGCCCGGAGCTGCGTGGCTCTGGGATTGAAGGGCACCCTGGGGTGGAAGGCAGGGGTCGTGCATCCTGGTCCTGGCTGCTGCCACCCTGCAGGGCTGCTTTGAGAGTCTTGCTGGCCTCTCTGGACCTGGCATTACTTGTCTGTTCTCTGAATTGCCTCTTCCTACTTCTCAGCACTAGATTGTCATTTAATTTTTCATAAATACCCTAAGGACTTACAAAGCCATAGATGGGAGGGGGGCTCCGAGGAGGCCATCCCAGGCAGGTGGTGAGCACCGTTGGATTGAAAGGTCCTCCCAGGTCATCGCCTCCTGGCCACCCGCCTTCTGCAGCTCTGGGGCTGAGTGGCATTTCCCACAGGGAAAGACAGGAGGAAGAGCAGAGCCTTAAATCAAATCAGCCCAGGATTATTACTTGTTATCAATTCTTGAGGAGGTTCGGAGGGGAAGCAGGAAGTAGGCTGAAGCTGTTAACTCTAATAAGGGTTAGAACTCCTATGGGATTTGTCAGAAGGACTTCCTGGCCCCCAGACCCTAAATAATTGAATTGGTTGTTATGGGAAGAGATGAGGAGGATTATTAGGAGATCGTATCACTCAGCCAGCAGTTACTGAGCATTGGCTCTGCGTGAGTCCTGTCCTGGGCGCCACAAATAACAGGCAGTGAGCAGAAGAGGGCCACCACCTCGCGGGGAAGACAGAATATACCGATAACCCAAACGAACTCAGACTTGCTTTCTTTGTAGAGGATTTATTTTCTTTCTTTTTTTCCTTTATTTTTATTTATTTATTTTTTTTGAGACAGAGTCTCACTCTGTCACCCAGGCTGGAGTGCCGTGGCACCATCTGGCCTACTGCAACCTCCACCTCCTGGGTTCAAGTGATTCTCCTGCCACAGCCTCCCGAGTAGCTGGAATTACAGGGGCCCGCCACACACCCAGCTAATTTTTGTATTTTTAGCAGAGATAGG
Source organism: Homo sapiens (assembly GCF_000001405.40). Taxonomy (NCBI): domain Eukaryota; kingdom Metazoa; phylum Chordata; class Mammalia; order Primates; family Hominidae; genus Homo; species Homo sapiens. Next base: position 188,494 of record NT_187613.1, on the reverse strand, counting down.
GTTTCACCATGTTGGTCTCAAACTCCTGACCTCAGGTGATCTGCCCGCCCCGGCCTCCCAAAGTGCTGGGATTACAGGCAGAAGCCACTGCACCCAGCCCTAATTTTTGTATTTTTAGTAGAGACGGGGCTTCACCATGTTGACCAGGCTGGTCTCGAACTCCTGACCTCAGGTGATCCACCCACCTCAGCCTCCCAAAGTGCTGGGATTGCAGGCGTGAGCCACTGAGCCTGGCCCCTGCCCCTTTTTTTTTTTTTGCCTGATTGACTGAACGCGTTATTGTTTGTGAAATGCTCTTTTTATCTGGTATCTCTTGTCACTCCACAGGGGCAGCCCTGTGAACTGCGCAGGGCAGCTGTGTCTTGCCCATTTTACAGATAAGGAAGTGGCGGCACCTAGAGATTAGGTCTGGACGCGGGACCCAGATCTGCCTCCTGGCCCCATGCCCACCTCGTTGAATCCCGTTGCCTTTCCATGGGCGACTCGTAACGGAGCTGGGGGTGCTGGAGTCTGTGCCCGCCCCTGCATCTGGTGTGTGATAGCTTAGGAGATGTTTGTTGAGTGGCTGTTGCTTGCGTACACATGCCGTCAGCTTTCGTCGTATCATGGCAAGGTTATACGGCCCGTCTGCAATATGATTCCTCTATGTTCGGTGGGCACATAACTGTCTTTCCTACAGAGAGATGAGGAATTTTAGTTCCCTCTGCCAAGGTGGGGGGATTTTGTCAAATCGCAGGAAACAATGGCCTTGGTGCAAAGAGTAGCTTTAATCTGTGGCTCAGCTGTTTCTCAGCCAGGTGGCCTTGGATGAGACTCAGAAGCCTCAGTTTTCCCCCGTGTCAAAGGGGGCCATTCATAGCTACTTTGACAACCTCCCTGGGCTGTGGGGATGAAATGAGATCCTGGCCGTGGGCTCACCGTGTAAAACACTGCGCAGATAATACTCAGCATGTCCCATCCATCCCCAAGAGCTGGAGACTGGTGAAGCCACATGCGCTTCTCTGCCCAGGGCTGCTGGCCACCCTGACACCCTGGGCCTCAGCCTCTGCCCTTGATGTCCAAGAACTATGATTCCTTTGTCTCAGGCTGTGGAGCCCTGAGCTTCTCCAGGCGGCCACTTCTCCAGGCGGCTACGGTCTCTGCCTCCCTCTTCCAAGGATCTTGGAGGTGGATGATTGGATTTCATCTCCATGGCAACCAGAGAGGCCATAACACCCGCCCATGGTGGGGCCTCGAGTCTGTTCCCAGCAGTGGAGGCAGAGCCGGAGCAAACAACTCCTGCAACAGCAGCTGTCCCCCAGGAATGAGCTGTCCCCCAGGAGCGAGCTGCCCCCCAGGAGCGAGCTGCCCCCCAGGAATGAGCTGCCCCCCAGGAGCGAGCTGTCCCCCAGGAATGAGCTGTCCCCCAGGAGCGAGCTGCCCCCCAGGAGCGAGCTGTCCCCCAGGAATGAGCTGTCCCCCAGGAATGAGCTGCCCCCCAGGAGCGAGCTGCCCTCCAGGAGTGAGCTGTCCCCCAGGAATGAGCTGTCCCCCAGGAGCGAGCTGCCCCCCAGGAGCGAGCTGTCCCCCAGGAGCGAGCTGTCCCCCAGGAATGAGCTGCCCCCCAGGAGCGAGCTGCCCCCCAGGAGCGAGCTGTCCCCCAGGAATGAGCTGTCCCCCAGGAGCGAGCTGCCCCCCAGGAGCGAGCTGTCCCCCAGGAATGAGCTGTCCCCCAGGAGCGAGCTGCCCCCCAGGAGCGAGCTGTCCCCCAGGAATGAGCTGTCCCCCAGGAGCGAGCTGCCCCCCAGGAGCGAGCTGTCCCCCAGGAATGAGCTGTCCCCCAGGAGCGAGCTGCCCCCCAGGAGCGAGCTGCCCCCCAGGAATGAGCTGTCCCCCAGGAGCGAGCTGTCCCCAGGAATGAGCTGTCCCCCAGGAGCGAGCTGTCCCCCAGGAGTGAGCTTCCTCCCAGGAGTGAGCTGCCCCACAGCCTCTGCCCGGCCTCCAGTTGCCGCTTTGCTGGGCTAATGAGGGGCTCCAGGCCTCGGGGTGAGGGTGGCGCTGTCTGTGCTCCCAGTGGCTGCTACAGGCCAGGTCGAGGGTCCTGAGTGAATGAGACAGGGGCCGACCCCCACCCACCCCTGCCTGTCTGTGGTTCACAATCAGAGCAAAGCCCTTTCCGTCCGTCTTGTCTTCTCTTCCCCAGCGAATCCCACAGTCCCCAAGACTGAGGACAAGCCCTGCCTCTTCCGGGCAGCCTTCCCTGTGCTGGCTGAATTGATCACGCGCCTGGCTGATGGCTTCATAGGCTGCTTCAGAGTATTTTTTTTTTTTTTTTGAGATGGAGTTTCGCTCTTATCGCCCAGGCTGGAGTGCAATGGTGTGATCTCAGCTCACTGCAACATCCGCCTCCCGGGTTCAAGCGATTCTCCTGCCTCAGCCCCCCGAGTAGCTGGGATTACAGACATCTGTCACCATACCCGGCTAATTTTTATATTTTTAGTAGAGACGGGGTTTCTCTATGTTGGCCAGGCTGGTCTCGAACTCTCGACTTCAGGTGATCCGCCTGCCTCGGCCTCCCAAAGTGCTGGGATGACAGGCGTGAGCCACTGTGCCCAGCAAGAGTCTTAGTTCCATTTGGTTGTAAAGACGCTCACTTCAGTGTCCCTGTCTGAACCTGGCGGCTCTTGGCCTTCCTATACATTAGAGTCACCTGGGGAGCTTTTAACAGGCCTGATGCCCAGGCCATTCCATACCAATTCAGTAGCAATCCCTGGGGTAGGAGCCAGAGAGCTTCCCAACTCCCCAGGGATTCCAGTGTGCAGTGAAGATTGGAACAGTTATCTTAGGATTCAAGTCATGAACTGGCCGGGCGCAGTGGCTCACACCTGTAATCCCAGCACTTTGGGAGGCCGAGGCAGGTGGATCACCTGAGGTCAGGAGTTTGAGACCATCCTGGCTAACATGGTGAAACCCTACCTCTACTAAAAATACAAAATTATCCGGGCGTGGTGGCGGGCACCTGTAATCCCAGCTACTCAGGAGACTGAGGCAGGAGAATTGCTTGAACCGGGGAGGTGGAGGTTGCAGTGAGCCAAGATTGTGCCATTGTACTCTAGCGTGGGAGACAGAGCAAGACTCTGTCTCCAAAAAAAAAAAGAATTTAAGTCGTAACTAGTCCACCAGCCTGTGCTGAATGGAGGCTGACTGATGAACAGCAGAGTTAGCTGACAAAGCTTGCTGTAGTCTTAACTCACTGCAAATTGCCAAAGCCCTGGTTTGTTTTTTAAGGGCTGGGAGGTCCCTAAGGGTTCTTGGTACTCAGGAAGGAGAGCAGGGGAATAATGATAATAGCTGCCGTTTTGTTAGCGCCAGCTTTGGGTGCCTTGCATAGCATATATTTCCTCATTGTAACCTCGCAAAAGCTTCATGAGGTATAGATCTTGTTTTTATCCTCATTTTAGAGATGAGAAAACTGAGGCTCTGAATGGCTAAGTAGCTTGCCCAAGGTCACATGGCTAAGGTCACATTCCCGAAGTGCTAATCTCAGGAATGGAACCCGAGTGTGATTCCAAAGCCTCTGCCCTTGACCACTGAGCTGTCCTGGCTCCCCAACCTCTGCTCCATCAATCAAAGAATGGGGGGCCCTGAGAAGGAGGTGGCTTGTCCCGTGGGAAAGATGCTGGTTTCCAGGATTCCTCCCCTTGGAGCCAGGCCCTGACTGAGGGGCTCCCGATGGTATTAAATATCTCCTGGATCAGCTGGGGTCACCTGGACCCTGAAGGTGTCTACTTTCCCGTTGCCTACGACACCCACTCGGCTTCAGCTGAGCTTTCCCAAGGACCCTTCTGCCCTGATACTGTGCCCAGTTCTTTAACCTACATCATGTTATTTAATGTCATTTTCACAACCACCCTGTGACATGGTATCGTTATCCTCATCTTGTTTCTTTGAGACAGTCTCACTCTGTCACCCAGGCTGGAGTGCTGTGGTGCGATCTCAGCTCACTGCAACCTCTGCCTCCCAGTGCAATAGAAGACTGGCCGGGCGCGGTGGCTCACACTTGTCATCTCAGCACTTTGGGAAGCCGAGGTGGGCGGATCACTTGAGGTCAGGAGTTCGAGACCAGCCTGGCCAACATGGTGAAACCCCATCTCTACTAAAAATACAAAAATTAGCCGGGCATGGTGGCGGGTGCCTGTGATCCCAGCTACTTGGGAGGCTGAGACAGGAGAATTGCTTGAACCTGGGAGGCGGAGGTTGCAGTGAGCTGAGATCCCACCACTGCACTCCAGCCTGGGTGACAGATTGAGACTTCGTCTCCAAAAATAAATAAATCAATAAAATAAAGTGCAGTAGAAGACAGTGTCCTTATTGTTGTAGGTGAGGTGGTAGATTTTGTATCTGAGCCACCATCCCTGCTGAAATTGCCCCGGACAGGCTGATCTGGTACAGGTGGCACCTGGGAAGTGGCAGCCTCGCTTCCGCTGGCCAGTTCCCTGGTTCAGGGTTGCCGGCCTCCCAGATCCACACCTGTGGTCCAGACTCTGCTGTCTGGCTGCCCGTTGGATCTTCTGACAGGGATGGCCATGAGTCTTCTCAGTCCAGACATGTCTCCACCTGGACTTAGGGTCTGTTCCCCCGGAACCAGCTCCCCCTTCCTGTCCATCGCTCAGCCCTCCAAGCCCAGAGGACCCTGCTGTGGCCGCATTTTCAGTCAACTCTCCCATCGCCAGACTTTGCCCTTGGTTCCCACCATGGTCACCTTTGACAAAGCACGGAGGGGCGGTTTGCCCCGTTCCACATCATCTCATGCACCACAGTCAGCTTCGTTTTCCTGAAGTCACCTCTGAAATCACCTTGCCATTTTGGCATCCGTGGCTCCCAGCGTGCGTGAAATCTGACTATTCAGGATAGTGTTCCAGGCCCTCTGCAGTCTGACCCCTCCAGAGCTCGGCTTCAGTGGTACCAGTCTGTTCATCAGGGCCAACCTCCTGCGTCCTGCCCCCATTCTGCACGCTGATACCCTGCCGCAAATGGACCTTTTCCTTCCTCACGCTCTGTGACTGGTTGTTTCTTCCATATGAACCCCTCAGGGCAGCCCACGCACTTCGTGTTTGGTATTTGTATGAGTCCTACATATGATAACATTTTAAGAGCAAAGGTTGTGGAGTTGGATGACCTGTGTCCATCTGGTTTCCCACCTGACTGCCGTGAAATCTTGGGCAAGTAACTTAACTCCCTGCGCTTTCATTTCCTCCATTGTAAATGAGTCATAATGGTACGGAGGCAGAAATTTAAAAACAAATATGTATGTATTTACTCCAAGAAAAGTAACAGGCAAGGCAAGGGTTAAAAAGAAAAAAAAAAACAGGCCGGGCACGGTGGCTCACGCCTGTAATCCCAGCATTTTGGGAGGCCGAGGCGGGTGGATCACGAGGTCAGGAGATGGAGACCATCTTGGCTAACACGGTGAAACCCTGTCTCTACTAAAAATACAAAAAAATTAGCCGGGCATGATGGCAGGCACCTGTAGTCCCAGCTACTCGGGAGGCTGAGGCAGGAGAATGGCTTGAACCCGGGAGGCGGAGCTTGCAGTGAGCCGAGATGGCGCCACTGCACTCCAGCCTGGGCGACAGAGCGAGACTCCATCTCAAAAAACAAAAAACAAAGGAACAAAAAAAACCTCTTTTTTTTTCTGCCTAGCAAGCTCACTTTAAGGAGTTATAAGATAACGCTGTTTAAGAAGCCAAGGCTAAAGAAATGGGCTCCACACACCCGCCTTTTAGAGCAAGGTTGAAGGAAAAAAGAAAGAGAAATTCCTTTACTGTTACTCCTTTCCCTGGCTTCCTAAGCATAACTGTGTTTACAAATGTCTGGATTTAGCCAGTCCTTGTTTTTCTTTTGACACAGCTACAAGCCACAAGTTATGCACTATATGATTAACTGCTTTTGTTTTACTTTTGTGAAGTCTGCTTATAAAAACCCCATTCTGTCTTTATTCAATGCTAAGCTTTTTAAATGCAAATCCACTGAGCTAGTGCATACCTAAAATAAACAGTCCTTCCCTTCTCCATATCGGTCTCTCCGGTCCTCAGTTTCCTGCAACAGTACAACTTAGATTTTAAATTTTTAAGAAGTTTTTCAGGCAGAGTGTGGTGGCTCATGCCTATAATCCCAGCACTTTGGGAGGCCAAAGTGGAGGACTCTTTGAGGCCAGGAGTTCAAGACCAGCCCGGCCCACATAGCAAGACCCTGTGTCTACAAAAACTTTTTCGAATCAGCCAGGCATGGTTGTGCATGCCTGTGGTCTCAGCTACTTGGGAGGCTGAGGCAGGGGGATCATCTGAGCCCAGGAGTTTGAGGCTGCAATGAGCTATGTTTGTGCCACTGCACTCCAGCCTGGGCAACAGAGCGAGACTCTGTCTCTAAAAAAAACAAAAAACAAAAATCAAAAAACAAAAAAAAGCTTTTCAAGTGCACCAGTCTTAAGCATAGAGCTTGGTGAATATTTCCATATGTCTGCTTGTGTAACTAACACCCAGATCAAGATATGGAACATCTTCAGTGTCCTGGAAAGTTGCTTCCTGCCCCTTCCCAGCCAACACTCCCTGTCCCCGTCGTCCACCCCCAGAAAGCCACTGCCATGGACTTCTATCACCATCCATTTGTTTCGCCTGTTCTTGAGCTTTGTATTTAGGCTGGTGCAAAAGTAGTTGAGAGCTGGACGTGGTGGGTCACACCTGTAATCCCAGCACTTTGGGAGGCTGAGGCGGGTGGATCACCTGAGGTCAGGAGCTTGAGACCAACCTGGCCAACATGCTGAAACCCCATCTCTACTAAAAAAAAAAAAAAATTAGCCGGGTGTTGGTGGTGGGCACCTGTAATCCCAGCTACTCAGGAGGCTGAGGCAGGAGAATTGCTTGAACCCAGGAGGCGGAGGTTGCAGTGAGCCGAAATTGTGCCACTGCTCTCCAGCCTGGGTGACAGAGTGAGACCCCGTCTCAAAAAAAAAAAAAAAGTAATTGTGGTTTTTACCATTATATATTACCTTTGCTCCAACCTAAAGTAAATAGCCTCCTGCGGTGCAGGCATACCTCGCTTTACGGCACTCCTGTGATGCGGGCGTACCTTGCTTTACGGCACTCATGTGCAGGCGTACCTCGCTTTACGGCACCTCCATGCTTAGTTGAGCTTCAAAGATGCTGCGTTTTTTTTCACCAGTTGGAAGTGTGTGGCCACCTCGCATTCTCTCTGTGTTACGTGTTGGTGGTTCTCACGATCTTTCAGACTTTTTTATTGTTATGACACCTGTTACAGTGATCTGTGATCAGCGATCCTCCATGTTAGCATTGTCATTGTTTTGGGCACCACAGACCGGACCCGGCAACCTTCATCTATGAACGTTGTGTGTTCTGGCTGTTCCGCCCACCAGCCTTTCCCAGCCTCTCTCTTCTCCCCGCTCCAGCCTCCCTATTCCGAGACACAAAAATATCCAAGTTAGTCCAGTGAGTAACCCTACAGTGGCCTCGAGGTGTGCGTCTGTCACTTTAAATCAAAAGCTAGAAATGGTTCAGTTTAGCCCGGGCTCGGTGGCTCACGCCTGTAATCCCAGCACTTTGGGAGGCCGAGGCGGGCAGATCACGAGGTCAGGAGTTCAAGACCAGCCTGGCCAACATGGTGAAACCCCATCGCTACTAAAAATAGAGAAATTAGCCGGGCGTGGTGGCGGGCGCCTGTAATTCCAGCTACTCAGGAGTCTGAGGTGGGAGACTCACTTGAACCTGGGAGGCAGAGGTTGCAGTGAGCTGAGATTGTGCCGCTGCACTCCAGCCTGGGTGATAGAGACTGTCTAGAAAAGAAAGAAAGAGGGAGAGAGAGAAGGAAGAGAGAGAGAGAGAGAGAAAAAAAAAAAGAAATGATTTAGTGTAGTGAGGAAGGCTTGTTGAAAGCCAAGATAGGCTGGAAGCGGAGCCTCTCCTACCAGTTAGCCAAATTGTGAACACACAGGAAAAGTGTTTTAAGGAAATTCAAAGTGCTTCTCCAGTGAACACAAGAATGATAAGGGAAACAGCCCCACTGCTGATATGGAGAAAGTTTGAGTGGTCGGATAAAGATCAAACCAGCCACAACGTTCCCCTGAGCCGGAGCCCAATCCAGAGCAAGGCCCTCGCACTCTGCAAGTCTGTGAAGGCTGAGAGAGGTGAGGAAGCTGCAGAGGAAAGTTTGAAGCTGGCAGAGATTTGTTCATGAGGGGTCAGGAAAGAAGCCGCTTTCATAACAGAAAAAGGCAAAGTGAAGCAGCAAGTACGGATGGAGAAGCTGCGGCCAGTTGTGCAGAAGATGTAGCAAAGACTGTAAAGGAAGGTCACCGCACTAAACATCAGATTTTTGGCCAGGCGCGGTGGCTCACGCCTGTAATCCCAGCACTGTGGGAGGCCGAGGTGGGTGGATCACTTGAGGTCAGGAGTTCAAGATCAGCCTGGCCTACATGGTGAAACCCTGTCTTTACTAAAAATACAAAAATCAGCCAGGCCTGGTGGTGCACATCTGTAATCCCAGCTACTCAGGAGGCTGAGGCAAGAGAATCACTTGAACCTGGGAGGTGGAGGCAAGAGAATCACTTGAACCTGGGAGGTGGAGCTTGCAGTGAGCTGAGATCGCGCCATTGCACTCCAGCCTGGGCAACAGAGCCAGACCCTATTTCAAACAACAACAACAAAACAAAACAAAACAAAAACAAAACAGATCAGATTTTCAATGTAGACAAAACAGCCTTCTATTGGAAGAAGACATATGTAGGACTTTCATCCTAGAAAAGGGATCCGTGCCTGGCTTCGAAGCTTCAGAGGACAGAAGGACAGGCTGACTCTAGTGTTAGGGGCCAGTGCAGGGGTGACTTTAAACCAGTGCTCACTGACCATTCTGAATATCCCAGGGACTTTAGGAATAATGCTCAAACAATGGTATTCTTCACAGAAATAGAAAAAAAAAAATGCTAAAATTTATATGGAACCAAAACAAAAATAACAAAACTGGAAGAATCACATTACCTGACTTTATTTGTTTATTTTTTTGAGACAGAGCCTTGCTCTGTCACCCAGGCTGGAGTGCAGTGGCCCAATCTTGCCTCACGGCAACCTCCGCCTCCCGGGTTCAAGCGAATCTCCTGCCTCAGCCCCCCGAATAGCTGGGATTACAGGCACCTGCCACCAAGCCCAGCTGATTTTTGTATTTTTAGTAGAGACAGGCTTTCACCATGTTGACCAGGCTGGTCTCAAACTCCTGACCTCCGGTGATCTGCCTGCTCCAGCCTCCCACAGTGCTGGGATTACAGGTGTGAGACACCGCACCTGGCCTCTCTGAAGACTTTTGATGCAGCTTTGGTGGAATAATGGTCAGGGCTGGGCTCCCTCAGCTGCTCTTCCCTCTCTCATTCCCATCCTCAATTCTTGGGCAGAAAATAAGTTTATCACTTAACAGTCAGCCTCTGTATCACCCTTGTGACAGGCTGGAGGGTGTCGCTCCAGCCTGGGCAACAAGAGTGAAACTCTGTCTCAAAAAAAAAAAAAAAAAGAAAAAGAAAAAGAATAAAAAATAAAGTTAGCAATATTCAGCAATGATGTGGCCGGCAAGAGCCTGCAGAGGATCATGGGCCAGGTCACCCATCCTCACTGAGTCCTGCACGGCTCTCGGCTCAGCTCACGAGGCTCTCAGGAGCAAGTCCCTGCCTCCTCTCCAGCACGGCCCTCTCCCCCTCTGCTCACTCTGTGTTCTAGCCCTCCTGGCTATTTATAGTCCCCTCCAGGGGCCCTGCTGTTTCCCACTGGGTGCCACTGCCAAGCCTCCTCTCACCGCCTGAAACTCTGCTCCTGTCCCCCACCCGCCTGGCAGGCACCCACACAGCTTTCAAGATCCAATTAATAACATTAATAATAGCAGCTGAGATGGATTGGGTGCTTCCTATGTGCTAAGTGCCGTATGCGTGTCATCCAGTTTAACCCCCGCAGCGGCCCGTGCACTTGATCCTGTGTCGTCCCCCGTTTCACACGGATTTGCTAAACCCGTATCCATTTAGTAGCAGCCGCCCTGTGCCAGGCACTCCTCGGAGGCACAGAGAGGTTAGGAAGTGCCAGAGCGTGGGCTGGAACCTCCGCTGCCGGACCGCAGGGTCCCTGCTCTCAGCCACAGCGATGAACTGTCTTCCTTAGCGTGGCACCAAAGCCTCCCCAGCCACCTCCCCTCCCCGAGTGTTGCCCACACCCTCCGGTCCGCCTTGCCGGGCCTTTGAGGCCTCTGTCGTAGCATCTCGGAGATTTGATTGCTGATTGGACTCGCTTCCTCTCTGGGCTGTGAGGATATCATTTGGAAATGTGTTCATTGTAAGCAGCAGAAAACCCAATATATAGGGACTTGTATTTCCCATGAGCAGGAAATGAGACAGGCTCTTCCTAGTGTGGCTCAGCTGAACAGCATGAGGGAAATGGCTCTGTTCTTTTATTTATTTAATTAAATTAATTAATTAATTTTTATTTTTTGAGAGGGAGTCTTGCTCTGTTGCCCCGGCTGGAGTGCAGTGCTACAATCTCAGCTCACTGCAACCTCTGCCTCCTGGGTTCAAGTGATCTCCTGCCTCAGCCTCCTGCGTAGCTGGGATTACAGGTGTGTGCAACCATACCTGGCTAATTTTTGTAGTTTTAGTACAGACGGGGTTTCATCATGTTGAGCAGGCTGGTCTCAAACTTCTGACCTCAGGTGATCCACCTGCCTCAGCCTCCCAAAGTGCTGGGATTAGAGGCGTGAGTCACCACCCGGCTAATTTTTGTAGTTTCTGTAGAGATGGGGTTTCACCATCTTGCCCAGGCTGGTCTCGAACTCCTGACCTCAGGTGATCTGCCCGCCTTGGCCTCCCAAATTGCTGGGATGACAGGCATGAGCCACGCGCCCAGCCTCTGTTCTTTCTTGACCTGTTCGTGGTGGCAGCAGTAAAGCCACCGTAACTCCAGTCATCACCCATGAGTTCAAGGCAAAACGTCTCTTTGTAATCATCAAAGTCAGGGCCTTGCCAGAGGTCCCAGCATGCTTCACTTGGGTCTCAGTGGCCAGAATGGTGTAGGGCAGCCGTTCCTGGTAATGAGAGAGGCAGAGAAAGCGGGTATCTTGCCTGGGACTGGTCTGTTGCCACTTCCTAGAAAACGAGGGTAGAGTAAGCAAGGAAGAAGGGAAGACGGGTGTCGGGTGTCTGCCAGTGCCCTAGAGCGCAGAGACCGTACATTAATTTTTTCAAAATTTCCAGAATCGGAAGGCTCTAATGATTTTGTGTTGTAGCCTTCCAGTCTTTTTTCTATGCACGTATGTTTTTACTTTTTTCAGACATTGTAACATACTTTAATTATTGTTATTAATCTCTTTTTGCACTTGATAAGATGCTATTCATCATCCATATAGTTTTTAATGCTATATAGCAGCCCATCTTGTAGAAAAACCATAATTGACTCAACCAGTCTCATAATTCAGGTTGTTTTTAATATTTCACACTTACAGACAGCCCTGTGACTTACAACTTTATTTTTATGTTCATTTATAACTAGTATCATAGATCATAATCTTATTACGCTGGGTATAAACTGTACCAACCACTAAACCTTTTGATACCAGTTACCAGATTGACTCTAGAAAAGTTGGGCCAACTTTTTTTTTTTTTTTTCGAGACGGAGTTTTGCTCTTGTTGCCAAGGCTGGAGAGCAATGTTGTGATCTTGGCTCACCGCAACCTCCACCTCCCAGGTTCAAGCGATTATCCTGCCTCAGCCTTCCCAAGTAGCTGGGATTATAGGCATGTGCTACCACGCCTGGCTAATTTTGTATTTTAGTAGAGATGGGGTTTCTCCGTGTGGGTCAGCCTGGTCTCGAACTCCTGACCTCAGGTGATCCGTCCACTTTGGCCTCCCAAAGACCTGGGGTTACAGGCGTGAGCCACTGTGCCCAGCCAAAGTTGTGCCAGTTATAGGCAGCCTCCAAGAGTTTCTGTGAGTACCTATGCCCTGACAGCTCTGGATATTGTTATTATTATCTTAAAATCCTTGCCAATTTGACACGAACAGTGAAAACTATATAGAACTTTACATTTTCTTTCATTACAAATGAGGTTAACATTCTTTTTAATGCATTTTGAATATTTGTAGTTCTCTTTTAAATTTTCTGTTCATTTCCCTTACACATTTAGAAAGTTGAGGTTTTCATCTTTTCTCATTGGCTTGTAAAAGTGCTTTATTGGCCAGGTGTGGTGGCTCACGCCTGTAATCCCAGCACTTTGGGAGGCCGAGGTGGGTGGATCACGAGGTCAGGAGTTGGAGACCATCCCGGCTAACACGGTGAAACCCCGTCTCTACTAAAAATACAACAATTAGCCAGGCATGGTGGTGCATGCCTATAATCCCAGCTATTCGGGAGGCTGAGACGGGAGAATCGCTTGAACCTGGCAGGTGGAGGTTGCAGTGAGCTGAGATCGTGCCAATGCATTCCAGCCTGGGTGACAGAGCGAGACTCCATCTCAAAAAAAAAAAAAAAAAAAAGTGCTTTCGGTATTCAAGTATTATCATAATATGTAGAATACAGGAAAGTTCCTGGGAGAGGGCACAGATGAGGCAGATTTGAGGGCAAAACAGGATTTCACCAGGTGGACAAGGGGTAAGGAGAGGTATATATATATGTGTATGTGTGTGTGTGCGTGTCTTTGTGTGTGTGTGTGTTCACAGAGACAGAGTCTCCTTATGTTGGCCAGGCTGGTCTCAAACTCCTGGGCTCAAGTGATCCTCCTGCCTTGGAGGATGCCCCACATCATAGTGATGGGATGACAGGCGTGAGCCACCGCGCCCAGCAAGGAGGGTTTTCTAGGCACGGGAGCAGTGTGTGCAAAGAGGGGGGAGCTGTGTGCGTGGCAGGCACTGCATTTGGTGTGCAAAGAGGGGGGAGCTGTGCGCGTGGCAGGCACTGCATTTGGTGTGCAAAGGGGGGGAGCTGTGCGCGTGGCAGGCACTGCATTTGGTGTGCAAAGAGGGGGGAGCTGTGCGCGTGGCAGGCACTGCATTTGGTGTGCAAAGGGGGGAGCTGTGCACGTGGCAGGCACTGCATTTGGTGTGCAAAGGGGGGAGCTGTGTGCGTGTCAGGCACTGCATTTGGTGTGCAAAGGGGGGAGCTGTGTGCGTGTCAGGCACTGCATTTGGTGTGCAAAGGGGGGAGCTGTGTGCGTGGCAGGCACTGCATTTGGTGTGCAAAGAGGGGGGAGCTGTGTGCGTGGCAGGCACTGCATTTGGTGTGCAAAGGGGGGAGCTGTGCGCGTGGCAGGCACTGCATTTGGTGTGCAAAGAGGGGGGAGCTGTGCGCGTGGCAGGCACTGCATTTGGTGTGCAAAGGGGCGAGCTGTGTGCGTGGCAGGCACTGCATTTGGTGTGCAAAGGGGAGAGCTGTGTGCGTGTCAGGCGCTGCATTTGTGGCTTAATGCTGCCATTAGAGATTGCCATGAACTTGATGGCTTAGAACAGCAGAAATCGATGCTCTCGCAGTCTGAAGACCAGAAGTCTGAAATCAAAGTCCCAGCCCCTCCCCAGGCTGCCGGGGCAGAGTTCCCACTTACTCCCCTCTTTCAGTGTCTGGTGGCTCCAGGCATTCCTTGGTTGGTGGCAGCCCCAGTCCAAACCTTGCCTCTGTCTTCTCCTCTGTCTGTGTTTTCCCCCTTTCTCTTTCCATAGGGACACAGCATTGGATTTAGGACCCACCGGTTAATCGACAATGATCTCATCTTGAGACCCTTCATTTATTCACATCTACAAAGAATGTTTTCCAAATAAGGTCACATTCCCAGGTCCCAGGAATTAGAATCTGGACATACCTTGTGGGGGGGCCACTACTGAACCCACCGCAGGGAGCTAGAAGGAGTCCGATGTCACAGGGCAGGAGAATAGGACCCTGGAGAGGTGGAGCAGGTGCAGACCACAAAGGGCCTTGAGCTGAGGAGCGGGGCTGTGTCCCTAAGTGAATGGGGGGCAACACGGTCTGATTTGTGACCCGGCTGCTGTGGGGAGGGTGCTGGAATTGTCCTTGTAAGAGTTGGTGAGGGTGGGGAGGAGCGGGGATGCCTCACAGTGCAGGAGATGAGGGGCGGGAATGTGGAGGCATCTAGAATGGCTCCCAGGTTCCCTACGTGTGTGGTCTTTGGGAAAAGGCTGCGTTTGAGGCTCCTAAAGGTGGAGATGCCCAGGAGTCTGCAGACCTGACTTCTTCCGGGAGCAGGAACACAATTCGGGAGAGGAAGGTGATGCGAGGTTGATGGAAGCTGGCGAGTACCAGTCCCTGCCACCACCACCATTTTATCATGAACAATTGTAAGCACACAGAAAAGTTGAAAGAATTCACAGTGAACACCCATTCACCTGCTGTCTAACGTTCCCAGTGATGATTTTTATGCGCTTGCTTTATCACACAGCTGTCCATCTTTCCATCCCTCTGAACATCATCATTCCATCTTGGTTTTTTTGTTGTTGGTTGGTTGGTTGTTTCGAGACAGAGTCTCACTCTGTCACCCAGGCTGGCGTGCAATGGTGCAATCTCAGCTCATCACAACCCCCACCTCCCGGGTTCAAGCAGTTCTCCTGCCTCAGCCTCCCAAGTTGCTGGGATTACAGGCACCCGCCATCGCACCCAGCTAATTTTTGTATTTTTAGTAGAGAGGGGGTTTCACCATGTTGGCCAGGCTGTTCTTGAACTCCTAACCTCGTGATCCACCTGCCTCGGCCTCCCAAAGTGCTGGGATTACAGGTGTGAGCCACCGCGTTCAGCCCATCTTATTTTTTATGTATTTCGGAGTAAGTTGCAGAGAGTTGTACACTTCACTCCAGCATGTCACTCACTGGAGCCCAACATTTGCTGAAGTGCATGAATCTTTTTTTGTTCTTGTTTTTGTTTTTGTTTTTTTGAGACGGAGTCTTGATCTGTCGCCCAGTCTGGAGTGCAGTGTCGCGATCTCAGCTCACTGCAAGCCCCGCCTCCTGGGTCCACACCATTCTTCTGCCTCAGCCTCCTAAGTAGCTGGGACAACAGGCGCCAACCACCACGCCTGGCTAATTTTTTTGTATTTTTAGTAGAGACAGGGCTTCACCATATTGGCCAGTATGGTCTTGATCTCCTGACCTCAGATGATCCGCCCGCCTCGGCCTCCCACAGTGCTGGGATTACAGGCGTGAGCCCCTGTGCCTGGCCCTGTCATCTAGGTTTTAAGCCCCTTGTGCATTAGGTATTTGTCCTAATGCTCTCCCTTCCCTTGCCCTCCACCCTCCAACAGGCCCCAGTGTGTGACGTTCCCCTCCATGGGAACAGCAATTTTTAAGGGATGGGTAGAGAAAGAAGATTTCACCAAGGAGCCTGAGAAGGACGGTGACAGTCAGAGGAAAAGCACCGAAGCGGGGACGTCAGGGAAGATCACCTGGGTCAGTTACCTTAGATTTGACTGCAGATAATAGAAAAACCAAGTAACAGAGGCTCAAATTGCATTTGGCACTTTTTCTTTCTTTTATGTAAAAACGTCCCGAGGTAGACCTTCCTGGGGTGGGCTCCACTGTGCCCTCAGTGACCTGGACTCCCAGCTTGTGAAAACGTCCCGAGGTAGACCTTCCTGGGGTGGGCTCCACTGTGCCCTCAGTGACCTGGACTCCCAGCTTTCTGCTCAGCTGTCTTCAGTGGTGGCTTCTATCCTCAGCTCACCTCATGGTTCAGGATGGCTGCTGGGGCTCCAGCCATCCCATCAACTCTCCAAACCAGCAACAGAAGGAGGAACAAGGGCAGTGTGGATAGTGTACCTTTCGGCTAAATCAGTCTCTTCCAGCAGCTTCCTGCAAGTTCCACACATATCCCTGTAACATCTTGTTGTCTAGAACGTAATCATATGGCTCACACCATCAGGAAAGGTGTCTTTGAACTAGCTGCTGGGTGCACTGCCGCTCCGAATACAGTAGGATTTCTGTTAGTCGGCGGGGAAATGGATATTGGCTGCCAGCAGCCTTTGCCTTGTCTGCCTTTTCTTCTTTTTTGAGATCTGGTGCCCAAGCCGCTGTCTGCTCAGCATACCCACCTGTGGCCGTCGGAGACTGAAGCCTGTGCTCAGTAGGTCCCCATCTTCCTCCCCCAGGGTTCCTGCCTTCTCCGAGGATTGGTTTCCCCATCTTTTCTGTACCCCTTTTCCTGGTTGGAGTCTCCTGGGCTCTCATGGTTTTGTGGGGGCAGAAATGAAAGGGGAAGGCCCTGGAAATGTTCGCAGGCCGAGCCCTTTCGCCGCCCCTGGGCCTCCGCCCACCAGCACCCTGTCCTCAGGCCCCCTGCGTTCAGCTCCATGGTCAGCCCCCCTTAACCAGGAGGGATATGGAAGGGGACTTCTTTGGAGTGAGATTCAGAGGGAAAGGGAGGGCATTTGAGACCTGGGTTCTGATCCTGTGATCTTCGGCAATTGTATGTAAATTGGGAAAAATAAGAACTGCCTCCCCGCGGAACATCCAGGCTGGAAGGAGCAGGGGATGGCAGGGCCCGTGGTCCTCTGCTCTGATCAGGATGAACTGTGCATGTGGGGAGACTGGCAGAGACCTTCCCTACCGTCCCTTCCCCCCCGTTGATCTTGGACGATCTCCCAAGTGTGTGGGGTCCATTCCTGCGACCCCTGGGAATTGGTCAGTGTACAGGAGAGTCTGCTTGGCCGGCTGGAATCTAAACTGTGGGCAAAGCCGCGGTCCACTATTGCTTATTTTCCCTGGACTCCAGGCACCAACAGGGCAGCCTGGAGCCTCCTGGAGAGGAGGAGGGAGGAGGGAGGGGCCGGCGGGAGGCTGCCTTCCATCCCCTCCTGTGCTTCTCCAGAGTGAGGGGGTGTCACCAAACGGCCAGGCCCTTCACGGACCCAGACTCAGGCCAGCTGGGTGCCGCTGTGCCTCTTCCTCCTCCCCCTGGAAGGACCAGAGTCATTTCACATCCCTTCAGCCACAGACACAAGTGTCATGGTCTCCAGGGCACTGGGCCTTATGTCCTAGGTGCGTGGCCTACACACATCTCAGTGGGAGGGCATCCTGGGTCCTGCCCAGGTACGTGGCGTACACGCGTCTCAGTGATGGGGCATCCCTGGGTCCTGCCCGGGTGTGTGGTGTACACTCATCTCAGTGATGGGGCATCCCTGGGTCCTGTGGTTCTTCATACACAACCCTGTCTAGGGAAAAAACTAGTCCATGTCCCCTGGCAGCTGAATGGGGCATTGGCTCAGGGACGAGGAGAGGCAGCCGACAGAAGCAGGTGCAGCGAGCCTAGGGGAAGCGCTCGGCTGCCAAAAGGCCAGATTGGGCAGAGTGTGGCCACGGCCAGGCGTCCCGGTGACCTGTTGACACCATTCTCCAGCTGCTGGTTGCCTGTGGGCTGGTGTGTTGTGACAGAGGAGGGAAGAGCTGGGGCCCCCGTGGAGAACTTGGCTGGCTGGGACTTGGCTGAAGCCTCAGACCTGAGACAGACGGTGCGATCCTCTGCTCATTCATTCGCTCCACGCACTTTCCCCGAGAGCCTGCCACAGGTGGGGTTGTGGGTGCTGGCGTACAGTGATGACTCAGATGCTCACCTCCTGCCCCAGGGGCTCAAGGACAAAGGGGCAGGATTCACTAAGGTGCCAGGGGGCCAGGTGCCATGGGGAGGGTGACCTGGAGGAAAGGATGTCTGGGCAGATGGCAGGGCAGGCTCAGCCAGCCTCCCCCATCACACTGTGCGAGATCCGAAGATGCCTGGCCAGGGAGTCCCGCCCGGAAGATACCCGGGGAGGTTTAACAAGCGGACGCCACCACTGGGCAGTCTGGTGCGTAGGAGGCTCCTGCTGGCCCCAAGGCTGCCGGCACGGTGATCTTCGTGTCTCCAGGACGCCCTGCGGTGCCAGCTCCCGCTGGCCCGCACGAGTGCTGAAGCTTACCCCTGCTCTGCGATGAGTGTGAGAGGGGTGTCCACCCCCCGCTGGCGGCCCCAGCCCAAGGAGGTCCACCACAGCCCTCGGGAGCAACACTGCCACGTTCTCCGTTGCCAGTCGTGGTGGGTCAGAGCTGGGGAGCAAACAGGCCAAGGGGCAGGGGCCGGTTTGTGGGAGGGTCCCTCCTATAGCCATGCTGGTGGGGCTGGACGCAGGGGCCTTTCCGAGGCCGCCCTCGTAACCCTTTTGGAAAATGTGAAGCCCTGAGCTGCTGACCTGCACACCCCGCTCGCTGCACTGGCTCAGCCTCCCCTCCCAAGGTGGGTGGGCTCCGTGCCTGGGCTCTGGAGCCCAAGTGGTGCTGGCAGCCCTGGGGGGTTAATGCGGCTCAACTTCCCGGTCGCCTTTCCTTCCCTCCTCCTTTGAAGGAAGCCCACACTGGGGTGATAGAAATAAGCACCGGCTCCGAGGAGTCTGCTGTGAGCCCCTGTCCCTGCCAGGCCTGGGCACAGCCTCCTCGCCCACGCCCTGCTGCCTTGGGCTCCGTCCTCCGTGCGGGGCCTTGTTCTGAGGGCTGAGGGCTCCCCTCCCACACTCCAGAACCTGCCCTGGACCCCTGGAGGGAGTGGGCTCAGTACAAATGGTACCCAAGGAGGAGGGCCACAGGAAGTGACATCGACCGGCCCCCCCCACCTCCTTATTCCCTATAAAAAGCAAAATGGTGACTCAGAGAGGAGAGTTGGAAGCGTCCTGCCTCTTGCTCCCACTGTTAATTTTTACACTTGGAATTAGGCAGAAGGCAAAGAAAACAGCAGCTTGAAATACGCGGCTGACATGCTCTTCATCGGGTAGCAACAGCAGAGCCGCTCCTCCCCGCCTCCCAGCAGCCCCGGAGCGGGCAGGGCCCGGTGCCTGCTGGCTCTCCCCCGCCCCTCACCAGGCCCAGGCCCCCGCACAGCCCCCGCCCGGGCCAGGCGTGGATGGTGCGGCCGGGGCCATGGCTGCCGGGGGCCGCCGCCGGCGCCCACTACGCTACCAGTCCCTGGCAGCTCTGGTGGAGGATTCTCAGTGGCCTTTCTTGTTCCTTGTCTCAGACTTCAGCTACGGGACGGACGAGTACGACGGAGAGGGGAATGAGGAGCAGAAGGGGCCCCCGGAGGGCTCAGAGACCATGCCGTACATCGATGAGTCGCCCACCATGTCCCCGCAGCTCAGCGCCCGCAGCCAGGGCGGGGGGGATGGCGTCTCCCCGACTCCACCTGAGGGACTGGCTCCTGGGGTAGGTACACCGGCTTTTCTTTCTGGGTTTGGGGAGGGGTGACGGGAAGGCCTGGGCATCGTGGGCCAGGCCCTGCTTGGGTTGGTCTCGAGAGATTGGGACTGGAGACGTTTGGACCTGGCCGTTCTTGGTGCCTCGTCATCTCGTCCTGGCCCTGGACCCCTCTCAGGCTCGGGCTTCCCTCCCCACCTGCTTTGCCAACGCTGCCGCCCCTGTCTCTCCCCGTCTACTAGCCGTCTGCTCCCCAGGCCTCCCAGACCCCTCCGTGCCTCTTTCAGCTTTCCCCTGTTAGCCTGTCTCCTCCAGAGGACCCAGGAGAGGACCAGGCTCTCCTCCCCTCTGCACCCAGGCCAGGCAGTGGCTGCATGCGTGGCCCGTGGGCTCCAGGTGTTCAGATGCTGCTCCCGCAAAGCCAGCCTGGGCCTGGTGCTCCCTGTGGGTGCAATGAGCTGCCCGCTCCAGCCCTCCTCTGTTCACTCTGGAAGGGAACAAACTCTGATGGCATCCACCTCTCCTTGTTGACAGAGACAAGAGTTCTGCTCCAGAGAGAAGCATTGTAGAAGGAATATTAAGTATGTGCTCTGAGACAGGCCAGGGATAGAAACTGTGGAGGGTTTGCGGTCCTTGTCATTAACGTGTTCCTGGCGACAGGGACTGACGCTGTCTGAGCGCAGCTCGTGTGTGCGTGTCGGAGACACATGAACGAGCAAAACAGAGGTTCTGGGGGTTGTTTGCCTGGAGCTGGTGGGGGAGAAGAATCCAAGCCGGTCCTCTGTGGGGGGTGTGTGTTGCAGGAGGCGGTGGGAGTGCCCCATCCTTGCTTGGTCCTGCTCGTCCGGGTGTGTTTTGTAGGGGGTCTCCGTCCTGCCTTCTGACGTCCCCAGAGGAGCAGTCGCTGAGATGCCACGGGCTGCCTCTTCTTCCTCCAGGGGCTAGTGCCCCCCCACCCCAGCTGAGGCCGCCTGAACCCTCCCATTCTTGAGAACCCCCTGCTCCTTCCAGCCCCGCCGGCCACCCTCCACCCCCCACAGAGCTCTCACCCCTCTTCACACACCGGGGTGGCTGTTATAGCCTTTGGCAACAAGGGCCTTGGCAACGGGCTTCCCACTTGGGGGAAGCCACATTGCTGCCATGGCAACAGAGGCCGAGGCCGAGTTTAGCGGCAGTCCAGGCGTGCACCTGTGGGAAGGGCTGGCGGGGGGCAGGTGGGAGGCAAGGGGGCCGGCGAGGGGGTTGGTCAGTGTGTTGTTGACCTGCCCTAAGACGGGAGGCGGGTTAGAGACAAGCGTCTCGGACCTGCGGGGGCAGGGTTTTTGCCCTGGTTCTCCTGGAGGCATTGGGCTCAGGGTACAAATAGTAACCCAAGGAGGCAGAGCAGGTGTTCAGGGACCTGAACGGGGGCCAACCAGGGGAGAGCAACGAGGAGAAGACTCTCGCTCCCATCTCTGCCTTCAGCTCTCAAACCACAGCAGGGCTCAGAGCCCCGCCCGGGGGGACTCAGCTCTCACCCCACTGTGAGCAGCTGCAGGAAGATGCTGCGGAATCCCGGTGTGGGGCCAGGGTCTTTGCCGCTGCCTGTCCCCGCGCCACCTCCCTCTTTGCTCCCTGTCCCTGTGCCCTGTCCTTGTCGCGTGACCACCATGACTGGTTTCCGTGTCCGTCGATTTTCCGATTCCTTTGGTGCTGGCAGGTGCCTTCTCTCGGGAGACAGATCACGGGCGTCACGCACAGATGCCCCCGCCTGGCGCTCCGGGGCTTCGGGGCAGAACTTGACTTGGTGGCTGTGCGTCTTGCTTGGTGGCTCACGAGGGACTCACTTGGCTTGAGGACCTTGAAATCCAGAGATGCTAGAGTGACTGCCCCCTAAAGTGCTTGTGGCCCCCAGGGTTGATGTTTACACCATCGACTAGAAGCCACGCAAGGCAGGAGTAGGGAGCACTTGTCCAGCCTGGGGATCGTCCGGGCAAAGGTCCCATCCGCGCACCTGCCTTCCCTCCTCGGGGAGCGTTTCTGCCCTTTCCGCTGGGTCACCGGCCCCACCTAGTGGACTCTGCAGGGATTGCTGTTTACACGGGGTGCCTGGAGGGAGCTGACGCCTCTTCCTGAGTACTTGGGGATGTTTTGGTTAAAAACACTATTAATAAAAGACCGAGGTTTCTGCGGCTTGGCTGTGCTTATTTGGCCAAACAGGTCCCCTCCCCTACCAGGCTTCCTGCTGGGGCCTTGGGAACAGGGGGGACTTCTGGACCAAATCAGACAATTGTTGTAGATATTCAGATATCTGGCTTCTGGCACCGCCTTATCGCTGGGCCTTCCACGCCCAAATATGCAGCCAACGGGAAGCCCAAGGTTGAGTCTTTGTGTTAGTCAGTGTTCTCTAGAGAAACAAAACCAACAGGGCGTGTGCGTTATCTGTATCTATATCTACATACGAAGAAAAGTATTAGAAGGAATTGATTCAGGTGATTATGGAGGCTTAGAGGTCCTAATCTCTGCAGTCAATAGCTGGAGACCCAGGACAGCCAATATTGGTTCCAGTCCAAGTCCAAAGGCCTGAGAGCTAGGAGAGCCAGGGATGTAAATTCCAGCTCATAAGCCAGTGGACTCGAGGCTCAGGAAGAGCCAGTGTTTCAGTCCGAGTCTGGAGGCTGGAGGAGGCCAACATCCCAGCTCACGCTCAGGTAGTCAGGCGAGAGGAGCTTCCTCTTATTCTGCCTTTTTGTTGATTCAGGTGTTCAGTGGATTGGATGAGGCCCACCTATACTGGGGAGGAGTCTTTTTACTCAGTCCACCAATACACATATCAACCTCATCCCAAATGCCTCACAAATATGTCCGGATTAATGTTTGGACAAGTATCTGGACACCTTGTGGCCTAGTCAGGTTGGCCTAGAAAATGAAGTGTCATACTATTATTCCTTCAGCCACCCAGGATGGAAAGCAGATAAGCTTTGCGCAGATGAAAATCTATTACTCTCAGGCTGGGCGCGGTGGCTCACGCCTGGAATCCCAGCACTCTGGGAGACTGAGGCAGCCAGATTACCTGAGGTCAGGAGTTTGAGACTAGCCTGGCCAACATGGTGAAACCCTGTCTCTACTAAAAATACAAAAATTAGCCGGGCGTGGTGGCACATGCCTGTAATCCCAGCTACTCAGGAGGCTGAGGCGGGAGAATCACTTGAACCTGGGAGGTGGAAGTTGCAGCGAGCCGAGATCTTGCCACTGCGCTCCAGCCTGGGTGACAAAGCGAGACTCCATCTCAAGAAAATAAAAGAAAATCTACTCTTTAGCTGTGAGACATTGGGCAAGTGTCCTCATACCGCTGAGCCTCAGTCTCCTTGTCTCTAGATAGCTCTAACTCCCCTGAAAAGTAGTGGGGAGGAGGCCCCACTGTGAGCAGCTCTCAGACCACAGCAGGGCTCAGAGCCCTGCCTTGGGGACTCAGCTCCCATCCCACTGTGAGCAGCTCTCAGACCACAGCAAGGCTCAGAGCCCTGCCTGGGGGACTCAGCTCCCATCCCACTGTGAGCAGCTCTCAGACCACAGCAGGGCTCAGAGCCCTGCCTTGGGGACTCAGCTCCCATCCCACTGTGAGCAGCTCTCAGACCACAGCAGGGCTCAGAGCCCTGCCTTGGGGACTCAGCTCCCATCCCACTGTGAGCAGCTCTCAGACCACAGCAGGGCTCAGAGCCCTGCCTGGGGGGACTCAGCTCCCATCCCACTGTGAGCAGCTGCAGGAAGATGCTGCGGAATTTCAGCATGAGGGGAGGCCTGCAGCATTAGGCCTGGCTCACCAAAGTGCACAGCCCTTGGCCACCAGGGCCCACAAGACTTTTCTCGCCAGGTTTAGAGGGCTGGGGAGCCAACAGCATTACCACTGCAAAGACCAAGTCTGATCAATATCTGCTGCACCATGACCGAACCTGCTTTTGCAATCAACCTCCTTTCTGCCACATGGGGTGGCCCCGGGTGAAGCCGGGTCTCTGCGGTGTTGGCAGGACATGCTCCTCTCTCCCCAGCACGCCCTTCCACAGCCTTGCACTCTGCCTTTGTCTTCGTTTGTGTCCCCAAGACATGGATCCCACAGAGGTATTAGGGTGAAACCTGAAGCCCTGCCCCATAAACCCTGCCCAAGTCCAGGCTGAGCAGGGCAGCACGGCAGGGCCAGGCCCACAGACCACGGGTGGCTCCATTCAGCGGAGACTGCCCAGTTTCACTCTGAGAAGAAAGGGCCAGGACTCATCTCAGCTGACAAGTGGGGGTGTAGGTTCCTAAGGCAGGACCATGGTCTTACAGAAAACCCGCCTCCCCACAGGCCACAGACTCCTCTGTCTGCTTGCCTCTTGGGAAGCTTAGTAAAAAGGGGCTACAAGGCAGAGAGAAGAACTGGGTTTTGTCCCCACTCTACCACTGTCTCACTGTGTGGCCTGAGGGGTGTCACTCATGACTCCCCACCAGAGCTGCAGTTTGCTCATCTGTAGTGTGAAGACACTGAGAATTTCCTCCCTCCTGACCTCACAGGGCTCAAACCTCACAGCTGTTGTGAGGTTTCTGTGAGATGGTGTTTGGCAGAATGCTTTGTCAATGTAAAATCGAAACAGGGGATTAGACTCCAGCCTGCAGGAGAACCCAAAGATAAGGGTGGAGGCGAATTGAAATCCTCACCATTGGCCGGGTGCGGTGGCTCACGCCTGTCATCCCAGCACTTTGGGAGGCCGAGGTGGGTGGATCACCTGAGATCAGTAGTTCAAGACCATCCTGGCCAGCATGGTGAAACCCTGTCTCTACTAAAAACATACACAAAAAATTAGCTGGGTGTGGTGGCAGGTGCCTATAATCCCAGCTACTTGGGAGACTGAGGCAGGAGAATTGCTAGAACCCAGTGGGGACAGAGGTTGCAGTGAGCTGAGATCACGCCATTGCACTCCAGCAGCCAGGGGAACAGAGTGAGATGCCATCTCAAAAGAAAAAGAAAAAAAGGAAAAAAAAATCATCATCATTGTCCCTATCATCCTCTTCCTCCTCCTCCCCCTCATCACAGCTGCTTAGAGAGGCTTGTGCTGAACCTTTCACGTGTTGGTTTCATTTAAGAGCCCCAACAACTCTATGAGGTAGGTGCTATAACCATCTCCACATTACAGGTGCGAAAACTGGGGCTCGGAGAGGTGACGTAATTTGCCTAAGATTAGCTGGGCGTGGTAGTTCACTCCCATAATCCCATCTACAAGGGGAACTGAGGCAGAAGGATCGCTTGAGCCCAGGAGTTGGAGGCTGAGAGGTGCTAGGATCACGCCTGTGAATAGGCATTGTACCCCTGCCTGGGTGACAGAGCAAGGCTCCATCTCTTAATAATAGCTATTAATATTATTGTTTGTCCAAGACCATGCAGCCAGCGGGGCAGCGTGTTATTGAAACTTGGGTTTCTATGATGCCAGAGCCTGCACAGCGCTGTCAGGTCCCGCTCACACGCCCTCCCTTGTGAAGCTTTCACACCCACCCCGCCGCTGATCCTACTGCAGTTTGGGAGGTATGCACGGTCACTTGTGGGGTGCATCCGCCCTGTAAGATCAGGACCTTAATCCCTGATCATCTGTGTGGACCCCAGTGGAAGCTTCTTGGCACCTAGGGGTTCTCAACTGGTATTTGTGGAATGGAAGCAAGTAGTTCTGGGATGTTCAGTCAGGAGGAAGGGAGGAGCAAAGGAAGGCTCAGGCAATAATGCTGGGAAGAACTCAGGCTCAGGGATAAAGCTGGGAAGAACTCAGGCTCAGGGATAACGCTGGGAAGAACTCAGGCTCAGGGATAACGCTGGGAGGAACTCAGGCTCAGGGATAACGCTGGGAGGAACTCAGGCTCAGGGATAACGCTGGGAGGAACTCAGGCTCAGGGATAACGCTGGGAGGAACTCAGGCTCAGGGTTAACGCTGGGAGGACTCAGGCTCAGGGATAATGCTGGGAGGAACTCAGGCTCAGGGATAACGCTGGGAGGAACTCAGGCTCAGGGATAACGCTGGGAGGACTCAGGCTCAGGGATAACGCTGGGGAGAACTCAGGCTCAGGGATAACGCTGGGGAGGACTCAGGCTCAGGGATAACGCTGGGAGGAACTCAGGCTCAGGGTTAACGCTGGGGAGAACTCAGGCTCAGGGATAACGCTGGGGAGGAACTCAGGCTCAGGGATAACGCTGGGAGGAACTCAGGCTCAGGGATAACGCTGGGGAGAACTCAGGCTCAGGGATAACGCTGGGAGGAACTCAGGCTCAGGGATAACGCTGGGGGGAACTCAGGCTCAGGGATAACGCTGGGGAGGACTCAGGCTCAGGGATAACGCTGGGAAGAACTCAGGCTCAGGGATAACGCTGGGAGGAACTCAGGCTCAGCGATAACGCTGGGGAGAACTCAGGCTCAGGGATAACGCTGGGAGGAACTCAGGCTCAGGGATAACGCTGGGGAGAACTCAGGCTCAGGGATAACGCTGGGAGGAACTCAGGCTCAGGGATAACGCTGGGAGGAACTCAGGCTCAGGGTTAACGCTGGGAGGGACTCAGGCTCAGGCAATAACGCTGGGAGGGACTCAGGCTCAGGGATAACGCTGGGAGGACTCAGGCTCAGGGATAACGCTGGGGAGAACTCAGGCTCAGGGATAACGCTGGGAGGAACTCAGGCTCAGGGTTAACGCTGGGGAGAACTCAGGCTCAGGGATAACGCTGGGGAGGAACTCGGGCTCAGGGATAACGCTGGGAGGAACTCGGGCTCAGGGATAACGCTGGGAGGAACTCGGGCTCAGGGATAACGCTGGGAGGAACTCGGGCTCAGGGATAACGCTGGGAGGAACTCGGGCTCAGGGATAACGCTGGGAGGAACTCGGGTTCAGGGATAACGCTGGGAGGAACTCAGGCTCAGGGATAACGCTGGGGAGGACTCAGGCTCAGGGATAACGCTGGGAGGAACTCAGGCTCAGGGATAACGCTGGGAGGAACTCAGGCTCAGGGATAACGCTGGGAGGAACTCAGGCTCAGGGATAACGCTGGGAGGAACTCAGGCTCAGGGATAACGCTGGGGAGGACTCAGGCTCAGGGATAACGCTGGGAGGAACTCAGGCTCAGGGTTAACGCTGGGGAGAACTCAGGCTCAGGGATAACGCTGGGGAGGAACTCAGGCTCAGGGATAACGCTGGGAGGAACTCAGGCTCAGGGATAAAGCTGGGGAGAACTCAGGCTCAGGGATAACACTGGGAGGAACTCAGGCTCAGGGATAACGCTGGGAGGAACTCAGGCTCAGGGATAACGCTGGGAGGAACTCAGGCTCAGGGATAACGCTGGGAAGAACTTAGGCTCAGGGATAACGCTGGGGAGAACTCAGGCTCAGGGATAACGCTGGGAGGAACTCAGGCTCAGGGTTAACGCTGGGAGAACTCAGGCTCAGGGATAACGCTGGGAGGAACTCAGGCTCAGGGATAACGCTGGGAGGACTCAGGCTCAGGGATAACGCTGGGAGGACTCAGGCTCAGGGATAACGCTGGGAGGACTCAGGCTCAGGGATAACGCTGGGAGGAACTCAGGCTCAGGGATAACGCTGGGAGGAACTCAGGCTCAGGGATAACGCTGGGAGGAACTCAGGCTCAGGGTTAACGCTGGGGAGAACTCAGGCTCAGGCAATAACGCTGGGAGGAACTCAGGCTCAGGGATAACGCTGGGAGGACTCAGGCTCAGGGATAACGCTGGGAAGAACTCAGGCTCAGGGATAACGCTGGGAGGAACTCAGGCTCAGGGTTAACGCTGGGAGGGACTCAGGCTCAGGGATAACGCTGGGAGGGACTCAGGCTCAGGGATAACGCTGGGAAGAACTCAGGCTCAGGGATAACGCTTGGGAGAACTCAGGCTCAGGGATAACGCTGGGAGGAACTCAGGCTCAGGGATAACGCTGGGAAGGACTCAGGCTCAGGGATAACGCTGGGAGGAACTCAGGCTCAGGGATAACGCTGGGAGGAACTCAGGCTCAGCGATAACGCTGGGAGGAACTCAGGCTCAGGGATAACGCTGGGAGGAACTCAGGCTCAGGGATAACGCTGGGAGGAACTCAGGCTCAGGGTTAACGCTGGGAGGAACTCAGGCTCAGGGTTAACGCTGGGGAGAACTCAGGCTCAGGGATAACGCTGGGGAGAACTCAGGCTCAGGGATAAAGCTGGGAAGGACTCAGGCTCAGGGATAACGCTGGGAGGAACTCAGGCTCAGGGATAACGCTGGGAGGACTCAGGCTCAGGGATAACGCTGGGAGGAACTCAGGCTCAGGGATAATGCTGGGAGGAACTCAGGCTCAGGGATAACGCTGGGAAGGACTCAGGCTCAGGGATAACGCTGGGGAGGAACTCAGGCTCAGGGATAACGCTGGGAGGAACTCAGGCTCAGGGATAACGCTGGGAGGAACTCAGGCTCAGGGATAACGCTGGGAGGAACTCAGGCTCAAGGATAACGCTGGGAAGGACTCAGGCTCAGGGATAACGCTGGGAGGAACTCAGGCTCAGGGATAACGCTGGGAAGAACTCAGGCTCAGGGATAAAGCTGGGAGGACTCAGGCTCAGGGATAAAGCTGGGAGGAACTCAGGCTCAGGGATAACGCTGGGAAGAACTGCAGCCTCTTCTTCCCTTTCTTGGTCTCTTCAGAAGGCTTAGGGCTTGGGATTCGAGGTTGCTGGTAGGTGCGTGAAGAGGCGGCATGGCAGCCAGGAACTCCTGAGATGGTGCCTGCTCCACTCCCTCCTGACTGCTCTGGACCTGGGCTGTGTGGTTCAGGGACTCCTCGAGTTTCAGCCTCCGCCCCCCAGCAGCCGGCCCCTGCATTTCTCCCCTTCCTGGATCTTGGGTCCCTGCTGCAAAGAGAAGGACACGAGCTGGACCCTCCCGTGTGCCAGGTGCTGTGCTAGGAGCCCAGGGGCTGCCCTGCCACCCAAGTCCTCCAGCCATGGGGCTGCCCCCCGTTTAGTAGATGAAGACACTGAGGCTCAGGGTGGCTCCTGGGCTTGTCCCAGTTGGGAAGGAGGTAAGTCGGAAGTAGGTAGGCTAGTGCCTTGGTTGTGACCCTGGGTCCCGTCATCGCTGGCTCCCATCCTCTCTAGCCCTCCTGGATTCACACCTGGCTGGGATCTTGCTCACCTCTGCATACTGTTAATCTTCCCTGATGAACCACACCTGGCTGGCCTGGCTCATCCCACAGCTCTCACGCCCTGTCTGGGATCTCCGTCTTCTGGCTAGCTAGCAGCCCTAGAGTTGGTGCCGTAATTACCCCCATTCTATAGATGAGGAAACGGAGGCACAGGGAGACTAGATGACATGCCCAGGTCACACAGTTGGCAAGAGGCAGAGCTGGGGCTCACATCGAGAGTGCAGGGGAGTTTTCTTTCTGTTTTAGTTTATTTGTTTCACTTATAAACAGTGTTGTGTACCGGCTTCTCCTCAACATTAGCTTTATTTTATTTTATGTAATTTATTTATTTGAGATGGCGTCTCCCTCTGTCACCCAGGCTGGAGTCCAGTGGCGCAATCTCGGCTCATTGCAGCCTCCGCCTCCTGGGTTCAAGTGATTCTCCTGCCTCAGCCTCCCAAGTAGCTGGGATTACAGGCCACCACATCCGGCTAATTTTGTATTTTTAGTAGAGATGGGGTTTCATCATGTTGGCCAGGCTGGTCTTGAACTCCCAACCTCAGGTGATCCGCCCGCCTCGGCCTCCCAAAGTGCTGGGATTACAGGCGTGAGCCACCTCGCCCAGCCTATGTATTTTATTTTTTTGAGACAGAGTCTCCTTCTGTCACCCAGGCTGGAGTGCAGTGGTGTGATCTCGGCTCACTGCAGCTTCCGCCTCCCGGGGTTCAAGTGATTCTTCTGCCTCAGCCTCCCTAGTAGCTGGGATTACAGGCACCCGCCAGTACGCCTGGCTAATTTTTTGTATTTTTAGTAGAGACGGGGTTTCACCACGTTGGCCAGGCTGGTCTTGATCTCCTGACCTCAGGTGATCTGCCCGCCTCGGCCTCCCAAAGTGCTGGGATTACAGGCGTGAGCCACTGCATCTGGCCAACATTAGCTTTATGTAGTTGAACTATGTATATGATTTTGGAGTGACCTGTACTAGAACAGAGAGGAGGCAGAGGGAGGAGCAAGGTGATCTGGAAGGTGACGAATCCAGTCCCATCTGTGGCTGCAGTTAGTGGCTGCAACTGCCCTGGCACTTGCCCTTTGGTGTCAGTTCCCATTGGCTGAAGAGCTACTGAGCTTCATACAGTCTGGAGGTGGGGCTTGAGTTTCTGCCAGGAAAGCTGGGAGAGCCAGGGAGAAGCCAAGAGGCGGGAGAAAGTGCTTCAAGCCGAGGACCTGCCGTTGTTAAAGGCCTGGAAGTGAGAACGTGCCAGGCCCTTTGAGAGGTTACTGTCAACAGTGAGATGGGTGAGTCATCAGCTGGGGCCCCATGGCTCTTGTTTGGGCTGGCTTGGTGGCTTCCTGCTGGGCATAGAGTGAGCAGTGTTTTAGAAAGAGTCATCTGATGTCAGCAGGAGGGATGCAGGATGCATGTCCTGTCACACCTGTCCTGAAATCCTCCAGCACCTTCCCTTCGCCTATGGGGCCCCCCTTCCCTTTGCACAGCTGTCAAGGCCTTGTGTGACCTGACCCCTGGACCCCCTGCCTACCTCTGTGGCCTCAGGACCAACTCCGTGCTAGAATTGTGAACTCTCACGAGAGAGAGATTTTGTCGGTTTTGTAACAAAACTTGCTCATTGCAGTCTCTGGTGCCGAGAACTGTGCCTGGCACACAGTAGGTGCTCAGTAAATATTAGCTGAATGAATGCATGAACCAGCCAGACTAAACTCATGTCATTGTGCCTCACATAGTCTCTCTCCTGTCTGTTCCCCAGCCCCACCAGCATCTCTAACCACTGCTTTTTTTTTTTGAGACGGAGTCTCTCTCTGTCACCCAGGCTGGAGTGCAGTGGCGCGATCTCGGCTCACTGCAACCTCCGCCTCCTGGGTTCAAGCGATTCTCCTGCCTCAGCCTCCTGAGTAGCTGGGACTACAGGCGTCCACCACCACGCCTAGCTAATTTTTGTATTTTTAGTAGAGACGGGGTTTCACCGTGTTAGCCAGGATGGTCTCAAACTCCTGACCTCAGGTGATCCGCCTGCCTCAGCCTCCCAAAGTGCTGGGATTACAGGTGTGAGCCACTGCGCCCGGCCATAATTTTTTTTTTTTTTTTTGAGACAGAGTCTTGCTCTGTCGCCCAGACTAGAGTGCAGTGGTGTGATCTCAGCTCACTGCAACCACTGCCTCCCGGATTCAAGGAATTCTCTTGTGCCTCATCCTCCAGAGTAGCTGGGATTACAGGCCTGTGCCACCCCTCCTGGTTAATTTTTGTATTTTTAGTAGAGACAGGGTTTTACCACGTAGACCAGGCTGGTCACGAACTCCTGAACTCAAGTGATCTACCTGCCTCGGCCTCCCAAAGTGCGGGATTAAAGGCGTGAGCCACTGCGCCCAGCCTAATTTTTTTTTTTTTTTTGAGACAGGGTCTTTCTCTGTGGCCCAGTCTGGAACACAGTAGCACAAACACAGTTCATTGCAGCCTCAATATCCTGACCCAAGCAATCCTCCTGCCTCAGCCTCCCAAGAAGCCGGGACCACAAGAGCATGCCACCACACTCAGCTAATTATTTTTTAAAATTTTTATAGAGATGAGGTCTTGCCATGTTGCCCAGCTGGTCTCAAACTCCTGGGCTTGAGTGATCCTCCTGCCTCGGCCTCCCGAACTGTTGGGATTTCAGGCGTAAGCCACTGCACCCGGCCTATATGTATAGTTTATTCGTGGACACAAATAAGGAAAAATGTATAACTAACTCTTAGAGGCTCCCTCTGTCAGAGGGAACCAGAGGAGACTTTCTCTTTCTTTATTATGTGTGTCTACAGAGTTAGAATTGTTAGTGATGTAACAGGAAAATAAAGAAGTTAAAATAGAAGTGCCACGATTGGGAACGTAGAGTGGGCTCTGAGGGCACCAGCGGGCACATCTGACGCAGCCAACGGGGAGTCACGGGAGGCTCCCTGGAGGAGGTGACGTTTAAAGTCGAATCTAAAAATAAGCAGTGGGCCAGGTGCCGTGTCTCACACCTGTAATCCCAGCCCTTTGGGAGGCCGAGGCGGGTGGATCACCTGAGGTCAGGGGTTCGAGACCAGCCTGGCCAACATGATGAAACCCCATCTCTACTAAAAATACAAAAATTAGCCGGGCCTGGTGGCGGGTTCCTGTAATCCCAGCTACTTGGGAGGCTGAGGCGAAAGAATGGGTTGAACCGAGGAGGCGGAGGTTGCAGTGAGCTGAGATCATGCCACTGCACTCCAGCCTGGGTGACAGAGCGAGACTCCGTCTCAAAAAAAAAAAAAAAAAAAAAAAAAATCGCAATAGGTGTTTCCATGTTATCCCTTCCAGAAAAGTGGCACCTCAGCTGCAGAGTTCTGACACTGCTCCCCTCCCCAGTACGGCCTTGCCCCTCCCTTGACACTGCCTTGGGAGTCAGTCACCAGGTCAATCTGTCCCTGAGACTGTCAGCTCCGCGAGGGTAGGCACGGGGTTCCCTGTCCATGGCTGCATTCCGATGCTAGCACACTGCCTGGTGCACAGCAGGCGGCTAACAAATGCTTGCTGATTGGGTCAGGCGGTTAACAACTGCTTGCTGATTGGGTCAGGCGTTAACAAATGCTTGCTGATTGGGTCAGGTGGTTAACAAATGCTTGCTGATTGGGTCAGGCGTTAACAAATGCTTGCTGATTGGGTCAGGCGTTAACAAATGCTTGCTGATTGGGTCAGGGAAGGAGGGAATGGAGGGTGGGTGTGGGGGAAGACTGTGGGGAGTCAACCATTGGAGACTGAGATTTAGACTTGATGGTGTCAGAAATCTCAGTGGCTGCGAAAGATTTCAAACAGTAGCTAGGTGTGGTGTGTGCTTATGCCCCTCACCCTCCATGATGCTGTTCAGCCCACTTCTCCAAGTTCATCTTCTGTCCTCTAGCAAGCAGCGCTTCTTAACCTGCCTTCCTTCCTCTCTTCCTTCCTTCCTTCCTCCCTCCCTCCCTCCCTCAAGACAGAGTCTGGCTCTGTTGCCCAGGCTGGAGTGCAGTGGTGCGATCATAGCTCATTGCAGCCTCCAACTCTTGAGCTCAAACGATCCTCCCACCTCAGCCTCCTGAGTACCTGAGATTTCAGGTGCGCCACTGCAACCGGGTTGCTGAAGCTGCTTAACCCTTTCCTTTCGGGCCTTCTCTTCTTTGCCTGGAAACCCTTCCCTATTTCCAGATGCTACTCAGAAGCCACTGTCCTGTGAAGCTTTCACTCTCAGGCAGCGTTAGTGCCACTGTCCTCCATCCCCAGGGTGGCTGGTAAACGAGAACACTGCCTCGTGTGTTCACACGTCCTCACCCCAGACGGATCGAGAGCCTGAGAACGGCAAGGGCCCCGTCTCCCAGCCTCGTATGTGTGCCATGCCAGGCCTTTTCTGGGTATGAATGAATGAATGAACAGACAGATGGACAGACAAGATCAGGAGCCAAAGTGGGGAAGTACGTGTGGTCGTGTGGGTGTAAGAGGCTCTAAAGCTTGGTGGGGTGGTGGCTTTGGCAAAGGAAAAGAAGAACCGAAGGACTTGGTAAAAGGGATGTGGGGGTTGAGGGAAGGAAGACTCGTAAGATGGCGGCCGCACTAACAGAAGTGGAAACCCGGAAGGGGAAGCTGTTTCAGAAGGAGGAAGGGTCCTTTGGTCCAGATGTGTGGAGTGGAAGGGCCGTGGCTGGGCTTCCAAGTGAGGAGACCCAGTGGCCGGGGCAGGTGCTAGACCTAGAGCCCAGCAAGACACCAGGGCTGCAGCTGGCAGCGGGCCACCACTGGCCTGGAAGGGAGAAGGGCTGCTTCTCTGGGGGAAGGGAGCAGAGGGCTGAGGCTGGGCCCAAGCAAGTGACTCCACATTTACAGGAGGCGGGAGAATGAAGGGCCAGCCTACACCAGAGAGTGGTCGGGGCAGTGCCTGCATCAACAGGGCAGCTGAGGGCTTGGAGAAACTCTAGACTGCAGAGGCCAAAGAGTCGGAGAGGGAGGCCTCTGGCTTTGGAATAAACCGTTTGGGGGGGCCTTTGAAGCAGGCTGCTTCTATGGAGAACATTAGGAGCCAGGCCGAGGCAGATGGAGTGTGGAGCTCAGGTCCAGGGCTGGCTCAGGGCATTTGTCAGGGAAGGGGAGGGAAGCTGTGGGGACTGGTGAGTCACTTCCCCTCCAGGGGGGCACCGAGGGCCTGTGAGTGGAGTCTGTGTCTGATGGAGGGGCACTCTCATTACTCACTGGAATTTCCAGCCACCGGGGACAGGGTGGAGTAGAGAGGCCCTGGATACTCAGGGAGTCACTTGTGTGGGGTTCAGGGATTTTGGGAAGAAGTGGGCGTCAGTCTCACCATGCCGTGTAGAGGTGTGGGGAACGGGGACGAGGATATCCTGGCAGACTTCCAAGGGCACCTCATGTCCTCTTGAGTGGAGGAAGGAACACAGCAGGGGCCTGTGGGGTTTTAGGCCCTTCTTCGTGTCACCTGCAGGTCTGACTCATGTGGGCAGCCCATGCCATGCACTTGGAGCCCGCCGGGCGGGAGACAGAAGAACCCGTGGTACCAGGCCCTGAGCTGGCATACTTGTGCCCTGGGGAATGCCAGGCCTGGTCGTTCCCAAGCCCTCGCCACAGCCTCACCCGCCCGCACCAAATGAGGAATTGTGGCTGAAAGGGCCCTTCAGATGCGCCCTGGCTATTTATAACCCACCCAGGCAGGGACAGGGGAAAACCAGGGGCTGGAAGGAGATGGGTGGGGTGGGGGTGTGCCTCTGTTGAACCCTGGTGGCACAGTTCCCTGATCAAAGGCTGTTAGCCCTGGGGCCCCTCAAGGGCTCACCCCGCAATCCCCTGCTCTGTATTTCAGCTCTGCAACAGGATGGAGCCTCTCTCCAGGGAGGGCAGCTTCTCTGCTGCCAATGGAATTGCATGAGCCCCACCTAGAGCCCAGAGCTTCTGAAGAATTCTGGGGGGAGTGGGGGGCTGTGGCCTGAACTCGGGCCACAGGTGTGGTTCATTTAGACGGCACCATGTTGTTTTAAAATGTTAATTATTTGCCATCGTTTTAAAATCAGGAGCATTCCTGTTAATAAGCCAGATTTTAGCTTATTTTGAACAGAGATCAGGCAGCCATGAGCTTGCGTTTCCTCCAGCAGCCATCGGCTGGAGTGAGTGGTGGTTTCACCCTGCCCTACCTGGCTCGCTTCACCGGCTGGCCTCACCCGCAGGCCTCACCCGCACCCTCATGGGTGCCGTTTGCAACCTTTGCTCCATCGTTGGGTTGTAAAAGAGCTTTTCCCAGGGCCTCCTCTGGACTCCTCCTCCCATGGAAGGAGGTGTATGTGCATCTGGGAACTAGGGCCAGGGGGACCAGAATGTGGCCTCACTCCCTGCACAGTTGGGGGTTCTGCAACCATTGGAGAAGCCAGGGGAAGCTGGCTGGGAGTGGGCAGGGCCGGAGATGGTGCCTGTCCTGGGTTCTGTGTGCACTCCCCTTGCAGGATGGCTCCCTGCGGTGGGGTGGCTGGGGGGGCTGCTTGGAGGAGGTGGGGGTGCTGGTCTCAGCAGTGCCTGTGAGTAGGTGGGAGGCTGCTCAGAGGAGGTGGGGGTCCTGGTCTCTGCAGCGCCTGTGAGTAGGGGGGCTGGTCTGTGAGTGGGGGGGCTGCTCAGAGGAGGTGGGGGTGCTGGTGTCAGTAGCGTCCGTGAGTGGGGGGACTGCTCGGAGGAGGGGGGCTGCTTGGAGGAGGGGGATCCTGGTCCCTGTGAGTGGGACGCCCACCGCTCCTGTGCAGGACAGTGGTGGCGCCGCGCTCCTGCCTGGGGGCAGGTCAGGCCTGTCTGTTGCAAAGCCTGACTCCTCCAGCGGCGGCGGGACGCGGCTGTGGCTTCTGGGCGGGCCGGGGCCTCCCCTCCGGAAGGGGGCTCCGGCGCATGGGGACTCCGGGGTGGCTCTGGGGGTCGCCCCTGCTCGCCGGGCTCCTGGCTCGGCCGCGCGCGGGGAATGAAGATGCGTCTGGGAAGCGGCCTCCCCGCTCCACCCCACCCCGGCCCGGCCGCGGCCTCCTCGCTCCTCCTCCGCCGCAGAAGCCTCCGCCAGCCGCGGCCCCGCAACCCCAGAGGACGGGCGGCTCCACCTCGCGACGCGCGTTTCCTGTGTGTTCGGAGCGAGCGCGAGCCCGAGCCCCGGAGCCCGGGAAGGGCGGGCCCTGCGGGGCCGGGCGGGACACGGAGGAGGGCGCTGGGCTGCTGTGCGGCGGGTTCGCCTCCGCCACGGGCCGGGCACGGCGTCAGGGGCTGCCCGGGCCTTGCTCCCCCTTTCGCCGGGCGAGGACGCGCGAGGCGGCGGCGGCGGCGGCGGAGCGGGCTGGACTAGGTCCGGGATGCAGTCCCGGGTCGGGAGCCCCAGGCCGGGCGCGCGGGTGTAGACCTGCCCCCCCTCCCGCCCGCCTCCTCCCTCCTCCCTCCTCCCGCCGCCGCTGCGTGGACCCCGCTTCCTGTCTGCCCTCCGCGGGCTCCGGCTGCCATGGAGGAGGAAGAGGAGGCGATAGGCTTGCTGGACAAGGTTCTGGAGGACGAAGATGTGTTTCTCCTGGAGGAGTGCGAGCTGGGAACCCCGACCAGCCCCGGCTCAGGGTCCCCCTTCCTGGTGGCTGTGAAGGTGGGAGCGTGACACGCCCTGGGCGCTGGGGGGGGCCGGGCCGGCGCTGCCGAAGGTGCGCGGGAGAAATGGCTGATGCGGGCGCAGAGCGCGCGGCCGGGTGGAAGCCCTCGGCGGAGGGTCCCGGCCCCGGCAGCTGTTCCCGGGGGAGAGGGGCGGGCCTGCCTCCCCGACCGGTGTCCTCGGGGCAGTGGTGGCCGCCCCCTCCAGGCCAGCCCAGCTCAGGGCTCCGGCGGCTGTGCCAGGAGTCACCTGGCGCGCCTGTCAGCCCGAGCCTCGCCGCCTCCCTGGAGCGGGTGGGCAGGAATCCCCCGTTTCCACGGCAACCGCAAGAGAGGGGCCACCCTCTTCCCAGCCAGGAGACAGGGACTTGGTGTCTCCGAGCTGAGGCAAGAGGGTGTTTGCAAAGGGCAAGAGCCAGAGGTCACTGAGCTTCCTTGAAGGAAAAGCACTGGGTCAGCTGAAGGGGGGAGGGAACAGCTGGCTTGGAGGCTGCAGCCAGGTGGGCAGGTGCCCTTCCCGAGGCGGGACAGGCAGGGAGCATCTGCTGGGCCCTGGCCCACCCGCTCTGGGGCTGACGGCGTTCTCTGCAGCAGTGACCCGTCCTGTAGGAGAGGTTGGCTCCCGGTGGAACTGGAGGGCAGTGGTGGCCAGAATCCCTTGAGGAGCGGGGCGGCCCCGGAACCACGCCGGCTCTGTGAGTCTGGCCCGGCACACCACAGCGGTCTTCCTTTTTCTCTCCTGGACACACCTCTCAGAGCTTCCACCTCAGCCTTTTGCTCAGCTGCTCTCTGGTTCTGTGTCGAGAAGGGAGGCCCAGTGAGGATGCGTTTCGGGGAGTTTGCAGACTGCTAGGCGAGGCTGCCTAACCGAGTGCCCATCGGCGGGGCCTAGAAGGCATGTGCAGCCAGCATTGCTGGGGACGGGAGGCTGTCCCTGAACCTCTCTGGGCCTCCCTGCCCCTCACAGAAGATGGGGATCACAGTCCTGCCCCACCCACTCTACAGTGTGGCTCTGAGGAGGAGCCAATGGAGGTAAAAATAGATGCAGAACCACGGGAGATGGCTGATGTGTGAGTATGGGTGGAGCGGTGGCTGCAGGCCTGGGTGGGGAGTGGAGCTGTAGGGAGGCTGGCAGTGGCTGGCACCCCACCCTGTCTTCTCTGATCTGGTGCTGGCGTAGGGCCGTGGGGGTAAGTCACGTCTCCCCGTGGGCTCAGGGAGGCCTCTGCACTTAGGGTCTGACCAGCCTCCCCACTAGGAACAGGGTGGGAAAGTCTGCTCCTGAGCCAGGAGTCAGGCTGGGAGTAGCAATGCTGGGATGGGAGGTGTGTGGCCCTCATGGGCCTCCTCTGGGAAGCCCCCAGCACAGATGTGGGCCCACTCAGAGGCTGCCTCCTGGACCTCCCCTTCTGCTGGACCCCGGCGTATGCCTCAGCTAAGCCCGTATTTCATTCTGCTCAGATGCTCAGAACTCTAGACATTTGCCTCCGCAATTATATCCCATTCTCCTGGAGGACCAGGACCATGTCATATTCATTGCTGAACACTGCACAGTGCTTGGTGTGGGGCTGGTGCCTGTGAGAGTCTGCACAATGTGTGAGGCCCGCTGGGGCCCACGAAGGGTGCACCAGGTTCCCAGCCTCGCTCCATCTCAGAGGTGTCCTGCTGTGTACGGCGGTGGCCCACGGATGCCAAGAGAGCCTGAGCACGTGTCACACCTGAAAACGCTGCTCCTCCTGGGTCCCCGTGAGCACCGGGATGGTGTCTTCCCCTCTACTTTGCTGCCAGCATGGGGGAAGGAGACCTTTCTCGAATGCCGGGGAGTTCCAGGCTCCCTGCTCCATCCTGAACACCTCTAGAATTCCTCCCTCCTCTACCGGCATTGGCCTCAGAGGGAGAAGACAAGCAGGTGGCCACAGAGCGGTGGGAAGAAAGCTCCTGGATTCATTCAACAAACACTCTCAGGTTAGGTGCTCTTCAGAGCACCCTGCCTGGCACTGTAGAGATGACAAGAGGAACAAGGCGTGATCTTCCCTCACAAGGCGTTCAGAGCAAGGGGCAGGTACAGGGAGTAGGAATAGAGTACGGAAGTAGGCAGGGTGGGCCAGATGCGGTGGCACACGCCTGTATTCCCAGCACTTTGGGAGGCTGAGGTGGGCGGATCACCTGAGGTCAGGAGTTCGAGATCAGCCTGACCAATATAGTGAAACCACATCTCTACTAAAAATACAAAAATTAGCCGGGCGTAGTGGTGGGCGTCTGTAATCCCAGCTACTCAGGAGGCTGAGGCAGGAGAATCGCTTGAACCTGGGAGGCAGAGGTTGCAGCGAGCCAAGATCATGCCACTGCATTCCAGCCTGGGCGACAGGGTGAGACTCAGTCTCAAAAAAAAAAAAAAAAAAAAGACTGTGAGAAGAGTACTGATAAAAGGGCACCAAATTCAGGGGAGAAGGGACCACTTCTAGTGGAGTTGGGGATGGCCTGGATGCGTGCATGTGTGTGTGTGTGCAGGCCAAGGGTCATTTCTGGATGATACACTCCTGTCCTGGGCTGCAGAGGTTCTTGGCACACCCTTCCCTGGCAGCTAGTAGGAATCCAAGGCAATTCTCTTTGCTATTACTTTACTTTAGGGGTACTTACCTTAAGCAGCAGTTGCGTTGTGAGCATGTGCCCAAGTGCCAGGCCCATAAATCAATCCTGTTTCCAGTGTCATTTCCAAGACGCTTCATCTTCCTGGGGGGCAGAGGTAAAGTTGGCTGCAGTTTTCTCCAAAGCTATAGCTGGAGTTTGCTGCATATCTCAGCCCAGACTTACCTTTGAAGAGTTATTGATCTGTAAAACTGGTAATGCAAATAAAATACTGATAGCAGCGTCATGTTGCATTTGTAAAATGGCTTACACTTGCCAAAAATGTTTCATGCCATTCTATTTAAAGATAGGTAGGGTTGTGACGGGGGCGTTGTAGAAGGTGCTATTTTAAGGAACTTATTTGTCAGGAATAAAAACCCTTTTGTAATGCAGATTAACCCTTTAGGTATCATTCTGTGCCATTTTTTTTTTTCTTTTGAGACAGAGTCTCACTCTGTCACCCAGGCTGGAGTGCGATGGCACAATCATGGCTCTCTGTGGCCTCCACCTCCCAGACTCAATCAGTCCTCCCACCTCAGCCTCCCCCTCACTACAGGCACATGCCACCACGTTGGGCTAATTTTTATATTTTTGTAGAGACAGGGTTTCACCATGTTGCCCATGCTAGTCTGTAACTCCTGGGCTCAAGCAATCTGCCCCTCTTGGCCTCCCAAAGTGCTGGGATTACAGGAGTGAGCCACTGAGCCCAGCCCAATTCTGTGCCAGTTTTTAATGGATCATCTGAAACATCTCTATTTCTGTTTCACCTGCCCAGGTCTCTTGTGCCTGCACATCATGCCTGTATCCCCCATTTGGATGTTTTTCTAAGTGCGGGCCCCACGTGGTGATTTGAGAAATGATCGGTGGCACCTCGATCTATATTTTGCATTTTAATGGTTAAGTATATATTTTAATATATATTAGAAAAAATATGACCTGTACATTTTTCTTACGATTTCAAATACGTGTAGGGTAAGACTGCTTTTTACAAGTCAGTTCTTGGGCGCAGTGGCTCATGCCTGTAATCCCAGCACTTTGGGAGACTGGGCGCGGTGGATCATGAGGTCAGGAGTTCAAGACCAGCCTGGCCAACATGGTGAAACCCTGTCTCTACTAAAAACACAAAAAGTATCTGGGCGTGGTGGCGTGCACCTGTAATCCCAACTACTCAGGAGGCTGAAGCAGGAGAATCACTTGAACCCGGGAGATGGAGGTTGCAGTGAGCCAAGATCCTGCCACTGCACTCCAGCCTGGGTGACACAGTGAGACTCTGTCTCAAAAAAAAAAAAAAAAAAAAAAAGTTACTGTAAAGAACAATATTGAGTAAAGAATAGTGCAGGTGGTGGTATGTGAGTATGGCAAAATTTTAAGGGTGGGATATGAACAACCAAAGTTTCAAAACATTGCCTGTGCCCTATGGTGCCTGCCTAAGACCTCAGACAGCAATAGGGAGCCCAGAATACGGGGATCCACCCTTCAGGAGAGAGGGGCCACTGGAATTTGGTCTTTGTCCCCCAGCAGTTGACCCGTCTTCTCTGTTCTAAATTCTGCCAAGGAAGCAGCTGAAAGAGACTTCCTCAGCGCCTAGCGCTGGGAGAGGAGAGGGTCTCTCGATGCCTCTACACTGCCTCAGCTGTCCTGAGACTGAGATGGGCCAGTTGTCCTGAGGTTGATGCTTGGTGTGGGTATAAGCCCCAGGCACGGCCACCCCCACCCCCAGGCCCAGTGGCATCTACTCTGAGCAGATCCTGCTGGGTACTCCTGGCAGCCAGCTGTGGCCCGTGAACTGACTTCTACCGTCTGTGAAGCCTCAGACCCTCGCTGCATGCCCTATAGCCTTGAGTCGCAGCCAGAGAGCCAGCCCTGCTTGTTGTCTTGGAGGCCAGTGCTACTGGAGAGATTGTGTCTTTGCTTGGCCTGGAACCAGATGTTTGGAGGCTTTATTTAGCCTCTCAACTCTGTGGAGGACCAGGCCTGAGCTGGCCACGCCTTATCTCTAGACATTGTTCCTACCAGAGTGACCTGACGTCTTTGGTTTGGCGGCTTCAAGCTGCCACACTGTCAGCCTAGCAGATTGTGCAGGATGCTGAGGATAAACGAACCCACCAGGACTGCATTTCACAAGTTCTGGCTGGGAGGAAGTGAGGACAGGCAGCTTCCCGGTGCTGGAGACAGGTAGGCAGCGTGGCAGAGGCTGTGGGACCTGGAACTCTTTAGAGAACTCGCTCCGGAGCATTCTAGGCACGTGGGCACCTCTCCTTCACCTTCGTATTCCCAGTGCCTGGCTCCCGGTGGGAATGGGTGAGTGAGTGGTGAGCCTGGTTTTTGATGAGACAAGAGACGCCCTGCAAAGACTGAAGAAACAATGTGAATTTCCTCATGGCTCTAAACTGGGAATTGTGGAGTCTGAGGAAAGCTGGAAAAGATGGGAGATGGAACAGGCCTTCCTTTGGTGGTGACTGAGCAACGGGTCTCCTGTTAGCCAAGTGCACCGAGGCTAATTTCCCATCCGTACGCTCTCCAACGCCTTTGCTCCAATCTCAGCCAAAACTGCAGCGTGAACGGGGCCCAGAGCAGGACTCTTGGGGCTGACTGTTGCCTCTTGAGGGAGGGTCTTCCTGAGTTGTCTTCCCATCAGAACCAGCCTTTCAAGAGTGGACTATGAATGGAAGTCTTGAGGGGAGGATCTTGCAGAAATGGGCGATTACAGGGCTTCCAGGGTCTATGCTCGTGCCAGGGGGGATGAAGCTTGTTTGTGGCTGGGGCTGCAAATCCCTTTCTTCCCCCCATCCTAGTCCAACCAGCTCTACAGTTACAGCTCACGGTGTGGCATTTGCTAAACCCTCAGGCAAAACCTTGGTTGGCAGGGAACAGGAGGGAGTGCTAGCCCCCAGCACAGGGGATGAGTTCCCATTTGTCAAGGCTGGGAAGCAGCAGGAAGACCCCTGAGGGTCTGACCTGGAGGGGCTGGAGCTGGGGGCTGTTCCAGGCTCTGATCTTGTCCCCCGGGGCTACGTGTGCTGGAGGCTGTGCAGGCCTCTGGCAGTCCCGACTCTCGGTGCCTCAGGAAGATGATAACACCTGCCAGGTTTTGAGACTCCGGTGAATTGAACCACAAAGATAGCTAAGCTCAGTTCCTGGAATTTGTGAAGCCGCCAATAAGTAACTATTGCCCTTGCCTGAAGCGTGGGGTCTGTCTTGCTTTTCTAATGCTGCTGAAACAAATCGCCACAAACTTAAGGGCTTAAAACCACACAAATTTATTCTCTTATAC
Source organism: Homo sapiens (assembly GCF_000001405.40). NCBI lineage: Eukaryota > Metazoa > Chordata > Mammalia > Primates > Hominidae > Homo > Homo sapiens. The sequence continues at coordinate 146,576 of NT_187613.1, read as the reverse complement.
AGAAATCTAAAAAGGATCTCGGCCCGGCTCCATGGCTCACACCTGTAATCCCAGCACTTTGGGAGGCCGAGGCGGGCGCATCACCTGAGGTCAGGAGTTTGAGACGAGCCTGGCCAACATGGTGAAACCCCATCTCTACTAAAAATACAAAAATTAGTGGGTGTGATGGTGGACGCCTGTAATCCCAGGTACTCGGGAGGCTGAGGCAGGAGAATCGCTTGAACCTGGGAGGCAGAGGTTGCAGTGAGCTGAGATCATGCCATTGCACTCCAGCCCTGGGCGACAGAGGGAGACTTTGTCTCAATAAGTAAATACATAAATAAATAGATTAATTAAAATAAAAAGGATCTCCAGGGCTGCATTGCTTCTGGAAGCTCTAGGGCAAGCTTTTCCAGCCTGCGGCCATACGGCCCAGGACTGCTTTGAATGTGGCCCGACACAAATTTGTAAACTCTTAAAACATTATATATTTTTCTTTTAGTTCATCTGCTGTCGTTAGTGTTATTGTATTTTATGTGTGGCCCAAGACAGTCGTCTTCTTCCAGTGTGGCTCAGGGGAGCCAAAAGATCGGAAGCCCCTGCTCTAGGGGAGTGAGTTCATTTTATTGCCATTTCCAGCTTCCAAAGGCTCTCTGCATTCCTTAGCTCGTGGCCCCATCCTCTGTCTTCAAACCTACCAGTGTAGCATCTTCCAAGCAGTCCCTCACCACTACCCTGTCTCCCCGGCCCTCTCACTCCCCTTCTGTGGCCACGATGCCTCAGGGAAAGATGGCATTTTAGGCAGCAGGTAAAGAACGAACCGAAAGCTAGAGACCTTTGAAGATGAGGAGGCTGGTTCTCCTGCGTGTGGGGGAGACTGAGCGATGTCCTGGCTGTGGGAAAGACTGGAAGGGTAGGGACGGGCATCCGGGCCACTGCAGGTGGCTCATAAAGGATATGGTGGGCCCCATGTCCCAGTCTAGGGCCGAATCTTTACTTGTTTTTTAAATGTCTTTCCGGCAGGGTGCGGTGGCTCACACCTGTAATCCCAGCACTTTGGGAGGCCAAGGCGGGCGGATCACGAGGTCAGGAGATCGAGACCATCCTGGCTAACACGGTGAAATCCCGGCTCTACTAAAAATACAAAAAGTTAGCTGGGCGTGGTGGCGGGAGCCTGTAGTCCCAGCTACTCGGGAGGCTGAGGCAGGAGAATGGCGTGAACCCGGGAGGCGGAGCTTGCAGTGAGCCGAGATCGCGCCACTGCACTCTAGCCTGGGCGACAGAGCGAGACTCCGTCTCTAAAAAAAAAAAAAAAAGAAAAAATAAATGTCTTTCCCACTAGAGTCTAAGCCACTTGAGAACAGGGGCCACTGTCTGTTTCCCATGGTATCTATAGGGCCTGGTGGACATTCAGTAAATATTTATTGAATGAATAAATAAATGGACACATAGCCCAGTGGAATCCCCAAGTACTCGCGTTTTGCGGTATTCATACTCGGTCCTTGGCAAGCATCGGGCAAGGTGGCACTCTTAGGAGTTGAATCCAGCTCTGGTGTGTGGGACAGGCAGGAGGAGAGGAAGAGAGGGAGGAAAAGTCGGTTCGAGAACCCAGGTGGAAAATAGATTGAGGGAAGCAAAACGAGATGTTACAGGAGGAATATGGGTGATTGTCTTTTCCTTTTATATTTCTGCATGTTTTGTATATTTTTTATAATAATATCTGACTTTTATCCCCTATGAAAGTGTCGCTTAAAATAAAAGGAAAGGGGAAAGGGGGGCCGGGCGCGGTGGCTCACGCCTGTAATCCCAGCACTTTGGGAGGCTGAGGCGGACGGATCACCTGAGGTCAGGAGTTCTATACCAGCCTGGCCAACATGGTGAAACCCCATCTCTACTAAAAATACAAAAAAAATTAGTCTGGCATAATGGCTGGGCATGGTGGCTCACACCTGTAATCCCAGCACTTTGGGAGGCTGAGGTGGGTGGATCACCTGAGGTCAGGAGTTCTATATCAGCCTGGCCAACATGGTGAAACCCCATCTCTACTAAAAATACAAAAATTATCTGGGCATGGTGGCAGGTGCCTGTAATCCCAGCTACTCGGGAGGCTGAGGCAGGGGAATCACTGGAACCCGGGAGGCGGAGGTTGCAGTGAGCCGAGATTGTGCCACTTTACTTCAGCCTAGGTGACAGAGCGAGACTTCGTCTCAAAAAAAAAATAAAGGTCGGGGGGGAAGGGCAGGGAAGCAGACCGTCCACGCAGGGTTTTGGCCTCCTTGCTCATGAGCTGTTGGCTGTGCTTTGCGTTTGTGCAGGTGGAAGCAGGGAAAGGCCTGGAGATGAGGAAGCTGGTTCTCTCGGGGTTCTTGGCCAGCGAAGAGATCTACATTAACCAGCTGGAAGCCCTGTTGCTGGTGAGTACAGTCCCTGCTCTGGGGCCTTCCGGTCCCCCCGCCCGTGTTGGGTGATGTCATGCTCTGAAGCTGCTTTTGGAGTTGGAGAGGAAAGGGGACCGTACCCGTCCCTCCCTGTGGACAGAGTCTGCAGCTGGTCTGCTTCTGGCTGGGCATCGGGCAGCCCGGGTCATTGCCAGAAAGGGCCTGTGCCTCTCAGCTCCAGCTCTCAAAAGGCAGGAGAAGCACACCCGGCTTAGAGATGGCAAACACACCTGTCACCCACGACCCTGGCATAGGGCATCGTGAACCCATCATGGTGCTCTGCCTGCCTGGGCGGGGGCCGAGCGCCTTCTCCACGCTGTGCTCTGGGCAGTCATTCCCAATCAATCCAGTTAAGAAGTCTCTGCCGTCTTGTGTCCAAGTCCTTCTACCTCCCTGGGTGAGGGAACCGTTAGTGCCATCCTGAGGCCCCGTGTCAGGAAATATGAGGTGGGAGGCTGTGTTCTTTTTTTTTTTTTTTTTTTTTTTAAGACGGAGCTTTGCTCTTGTCACCCAGGCTGGAGTGCAGTGGTGCGATCTCGGCTCACTGCAACCTCTGCCTCCCGGGTTCAAGTGATTCTCCTGCCTCAGCCTCCCGAGTGGCTGGAATTGCACGTGCACGCCACCAGTCCTGGCTAATTTTTGTATTTAGTAGAGACAGGATTTTATCATGTTGGCCAGGCTGGTTTCCAACTCCTGACCTCAGGTGATCTGCCCGCCTTGGCCTCCCAAAGTGCTGGGATTACAGGCATGAGCCACTGCGCCCGGCCTGTCTGTGTTCTTTTGAGAAGCGGCACAGCTCTGAGGCATCAGGCCAAGCTCAGCCCTCGGTAACATGCCTCAGTTCCCCTCCCAGATGGAGGCATCGTTGTGAGAGTCTGATTGGGAGGGGAATATGAAAATGTTTTCGGAAGATAAAAGTACTACACAGATGTGAGGTGGTTTTGCCTTGGAAGAAAGTGCTCCTTAGATGTGTCTGGATGTTATGCAGAGTGATCGTGGCGTGTCAATCTTTCTTTTGGGTATTTTGCAGCCTGAGACATAAGGTAATTGTCAGAAAAGGGAGACGCAGAAGTGTGGATCTGTGGAAGCTCATTCTTAACAAGAATTCTAAGATGCACATTTAAGTACTTGCCATGACGTGAGGTGTTGTCACACGTCAACCCTGAGATGCTGTCAGTGTCCCAGGGGACTTGACATTTATGTTACCCAGGAATGACTGTGTAAATGTGCAGGTGCAGGCCGGGCGCCGTGGCTCAGTGCCTGTAATCCCAGCACTTTGGGAGCCCCAGGTGGGCAGATCACTTGAGGACAGGAGTTCGAGACCAGCCTGGCCAATGTGGTGAAACCTTGTCTCTGCTAGAAATGCAAAAAAAAGCCAGGCGTGGTGGTGCATACCTGTAATCCCAGTTACTCAGGAGGCTGAGGCATGAGAATTGCTTGAATCTGGGGGCGAAGGTCGTAGTGAGCTGAGAGTGCGCCACTGTACTCCAGACTGGACGACGGAAGTGAAATTCCTCAAAAAAAAAGGCTGGGTGCAGTGGCTGACACCTGTAATCCCAGCACTTTGGGAGGCCGAGGTGGGTGGATCACCTGAGGTCAGGAGTTCGAGACCAGCCTGGCCAACATGGTGAAGCCCCATCTCTACTAAAAATACAAAAAATTAGCTGGGCGTGGTGGCGGGCCCCTGTAATCCCAGCTACTCAGGAGGCTGAGGCAGGAGAATCGCTTGAACCCGGGAGGTGGAGGTTGCAGTGAGCCGAGTTTGCACCATTGCACTCCAGCCGGGGCAACAAGAGTGAAACTCTGAATGTGCAGCTGTTTTGCCACACGCCAGGCTGAGTACGTCCCATCTCTCCAGGAGTTTATCTGTGTGTACGGAGCTGTTTTCCAAGTGAGGGGCAGTGTGGCAGGTAGCTGAGGGTCCTGGTCTGGGGCCAGAGCTAGGGCAAGACTTGGCCCTGCCATTAAGAGCAGGCGTATTGCACTGTTTCTCAAACTGTGCCTCTCAGCCCATCAGTGCTTTGGGTTGTGAAATCAGTACAGTGGGTTGTGAAACCAGTACAGTGGGTTGAACCAGCATTTTTAAACCAATGAAAAAATGTCAGCATGCATCATACACGGGAAAGATAAGTGAGGGAACTTTCGGTTTGTTGTCTGTCTGTGTGCCTGTATATATATGTAATTGCCGGGCCCATGGTGTCTTACACCTGTTGTGGGTTTGAAAACTGCTGGCTTTGGCCGGGCGCCGTGTCTCAAGCCTGTAATCCCAGCACTTTGGGAGGCTGAGGTGGGCGGATCACAAGGTCAGGAGATCCAGACCATCCTTGGCCAACACGGTGAAACCCCGTCTCTACTAAAAAAGTACAAAAAAAATTAGCCGGGCGTGGTGGCGAGCACCTGTAGTCCCAGCCACTCGGGAGGCTGAGGCAGGAGAATGGCGTCAACCTGGGAGGCGGAGCTTGCAGTGAGCAGAGATTGCGCCACTGCACTCCAGCCTGGGCGACACAGTGAGACTCCATCACAAAAAAAAAAAAAAAGAAAAGAAAACTGCTGGCTTTGGGCAAGCCCTACATAAATTCCTTGAGCCTCCATTTCTGGATCTGAAGATGAGAGGGATGCCATTCTTTCTCTCTCTTTCCATGGGGTTGAGAAGATCGGGAGATGCTTTCGGGACCTCATACAGCGTTGAGTTACTTAAGACACTCAACTGTTAGTGGAAGAAAGGAGGACAGGCAAAGAGACAACCCGTCAGACATTCGTGAAACACGTCTTCCAAACCGTGAATTGCTGTCCAAAAAGGAACATAGTTGTCATTACTAACAGGGTGTGTATTTGAAAGGAGTTCAGACAGAGGATCTAGACTGCCTGGCCGTACTGGCTCCAGGCTTTCAGCAGGTGAATGAGCTATCGTGCCTCAGTTTTTCCATCTGCAAACTGGGTATACAAATAGTATGCTTTTCATGGGGTCGTTGTGAGGATTAAAGGAATTTATACACAGAGTTCTTTTTTTTTTTTTTTTTTTGAGACGGAGTCTTGCTCTGTTGCCCAGGCTGGAGTGCAGTGGCACAATCTCGGCTCATTATAACCTCCGCCTCCTGGGTTCAAGCCATTCTCCTGTGTCAGCTTCCCAAGTAGCTGAGATTACAGGCACCCACCACCACGCCCAGCTAATTTTTGTATTTTTAGTAGAGATGAGATTTCACCATGTTGGCCAGGCTGGTCTTGAACTCCTGACCTCAAGTGATCCGCCCGCCTCGGCCTCCCAAAGTGCTGGGATTACAGATGTGAGCCACTGTGTCCGGCACATAAAGCTCTTAGAACACAGCCTGAGTGTTCGTTGACACTGTTAATTTCTCTATTGCTGGGAGAGGAGACAGGTTAGGGCTTCGTGGTTTCTGCCACAACACACCCGTTCCCTGAAGGAGGGAGTGGCGCCTGTCCCCATCAGACACGGAGCCCTTAGATCCCACCTGCCACCCACGAGCCTCTTCCTCTGGGCCAAGACCAAGAGCCCCTCCCTGCTCTGCCTTTCTAACAGCTCATGCCCCAAAGGCAGAATCTGTGGGGCAGGGGCCCCCTTCCTGATATGCCTGGCGCAGGTTCCCCCCTTCCCCAGCTGTCTCCTCCCGGGGCAGGTTCCCCCCTTCCCCGGCTCTCTCCTCCCCGGGCAGGTTCCCCCCTTCCCCAGCTCTCTCCCGGGGCAGGTTTCCCCCCTTCCCCAGCTGTCTCCTCCTGGGGCAGGTTCCCCCATTCCCCAGCTCTCTCCTGGGGCAGGTTTCCCCCCTTCCCCAGCTCTCTCCTCCCGGGGCAGGTTCCCCCACTTCCCCCAGCTCTCTCCACCCGGGGCAGGTTCCCCCCTTCCCCAGCTCTCTCCTCCCGGGGCAGGTTCCCCCCCTTCCCCAGCTCTCTCCTCCCGGGGCGGGTTCCCCACCTTCCCCCAGCTCTCTCCTCCTGGGCCCCTGCTTGGCTCTTTCTTGAGCAGAGACCAGAGGGAGCAAAGGAAGAACTCGCTGGGAGGCCAGGTCTGTGGTAGGAGGGCTCAGGAAGAGGAGTAGGACCCTCCACAGCCACAGCCTCAGAAGAAAACCTCAGAGTGAAAGAATCACACCCTTCCTCCTCTCCTCCCTGAGCTGGGAACCCCTGCACCCTCCCCACCCCTCAGCTAGGAGGAAGCTAAACCTTCTGCTCTTCGGGGTGGCCTCGCAAAGGTGCCAGCTTGAAGGAGAAGAAATTCGTTCCCTCCATGCTCGCTTTCCCACTCCTGACCCCATTCCCACCGCTCTGCCCCAGCCTGTTTGCTTTCATCTGAACACTTCCTGATATGCAAAGGGCTGGGTGTGTGTACCTAAAACCATGTGCACACACGGGGCAGACGAGCCTCCACACAGAAGCCTCCGTCCTGGCCTCTGGGGTGCTTGTGGGGGTCATCTTCTGGGGCCCTCCTGCTTCCTGGTGGGCTCTGATTACAGGAAAAGCCTGGGAGCCTGGGCCGAAGTAGGGGGTGAAGGAAAAAAGATGAAGCCAACTGCATTGAAATTCTGGATCTCCTTGACACTGGGAACTGAGCTTGGGAACTGTGTCTTGCTACGCTGGGGCCACAGGGTGAGGCCACTCCCCAGAGCCCCTCCCACCGCTGGCCACGACTGGCCCTCCTGGGGTGGACTCCTGGCCACGCTGCATCGCAGGCTCTTTATCTATAAAACAGGTGAATGAGGCCTTCCTCCCTGGGCTCCAGTGACGAGTGACTCGGGTGGCATGGCAGCAAGCATGCCAGGCCTTCTGGGGCAGGAGGTGGAGGAAGTGGGTACATTTCTTTCCCTTATTTCGAAAGGCCGGTCGCTGGGGGACAGAGCTGACAAACGGCTATGTGAAGTCCCACTGGCAAGTGAGAACCGGCCCAGGCCCGTCTTCCTGAGAAGCAGCTGGTATGGGAGCCAGGGTTGAAGTCACTCACGGGTCCTCTCCGAGAACTCGAGTGGTGAAATGGAGAGCCGGGGCCTGCCCTTGTCCCTGCAGCAGGACTGGGGAGGAGGGGGTGCCTGAGTGGTGTGCTAGCGCTTTGGCAGAATGGCTGTGCCGTGCCGAAGCTCAGTGTGGGTCACCTTGCCTTTCAGTCCACCCTCCTGCCCCTGAGCCCATACGCAGGACTTCACCAGAGACAAATAACGGCCTCGAGGGTCCTGGCCAGCCAAGGGCACACACCCAGCCCTGTCCCCTCCCCGCGAGTGAAATCAGGAGTAACAGCCAAGGTCCCCATCGTGTCATGAGAACCATCTGATGCCCCAAGCGCAGGCCCCGTCCTTGTGACTGGCTGTGGGTGAGCGTCCATTTCTTCCCCTTTTGCAGACGGGGTGGGAAGTTGAGGAGGAAGCATAACCATTGTGTTTTGTCTTCGTGTGGGTGGCAGATGAGCGCGTCGCGGCTTCTGAGAAATCCCGTCTCCTTGGCCTTCCTGGGACTGCTGACCTTCCTGCTTCCCTTATTTCCCCCTCAGTGGGGACTGCGCCAAGGCGGGGACAAGAATTCTTGGGTATGGGGATTCTGTGGCGACTCTGCGGGCTCCTCCGTGGGGTCCTGCGTTGAGGTGAAAAGGATAAACTCTTACGACGATGTCAATCCTGAAGCTAGTTCCATGTCCCTCATGGAGGGTGGGGAGTCCCCAAAGCTTTCAGCTCACCCACCTGGGCTTGGGGGGACACTCTTCCCTTGCTCCTGCCTCCCGGTGCCTTCTGTTTCCCTGTCTGGCATGCCTCTCTACGCCCCCACTCCTCCACCTGCTCAGCTCTCCAAGGACCTGGTATGTGTGCCTCCTCCATGCAGCCCTCCAGGCTACTCCAGCACAACCTTGGAACCATGTGGTTGGTGCTTACAGTCAGTCGCATCGTCCATAGTCATTTCATCTGTGTTGGCCCATTTTGCCCAACTGGATTATAAAGGTCTCAGCCAGGCATGGTGGCTCAACACCTGTCATCCCAGCACTTCAAGAGGCCGAGGCACGTGGATCACTTGAAGTCAGGAGTTTGAGACCAGCCTGACCAATATGGTGAAACCCCATATCTACAAAAACTACAAAAACTAGCTGGGCGGGGTGGTGGACACCTGTAATTCCAGCTACTCAGGAGGCTGAGGCAGGAGAATCGCTTGAACCTGGGAGGCGGAGGTTGCAGTGAGCCGAGATTGCACTATTGCACTCCAGCCTGGGTGACAGAGTGAGACTCTGTCTCAAAAAAAAAAAAAAAAAATTGCAGTCTGGGACCATGATCGTGTACGCACTGACGGGAATGCCAGTAGGTAGCGCATGGCTGTATTATCCCAGTTTCACACATGAGGCTGCTGGTGACACGAAGCCCAGGGATGCTGAGTGATGTGCGCACAGCAGAGCTGCGACTCAAGCCCACCCTGCCTGGCCTGCACCAGGTGGAACCCCATGCGCTTGCCTAGCAAGGACCAGACACCGAGGGGCCGTTGGTTCTAGGACGGCGAGGGTCAGAAGGAGAGGCCTGACCGGACGCAGAGGGGCCGTTGGTTCTAGGACGGTGAGGGTCAGAAGGAGGGGCCTGACCGGACACCGAGGGGCCATTGATTCTAGCACAGCGAGGGTCAGAAGGAGAGTCCTGACTGGACACTGAGGGGCCGTTGTTTCTAGCGCGGCGAGGGTCAGAAGGAGGGTCCTGCTTTGTCCTGCATGGATTGTTGGATCTGGGCTTTTTAGAGCTCGGAGGATGAAGGAGCCAGAAGGCAGAGCACCATCTGGGTGTCTGAGTAGATGAGACGACTTCTTCCAGTGAACATGGGTTCTGTCTCCATCAGAGTGAGGCGATATATCTGAGTAGATGAGACTTCATCAGAATGAGGTGATGTGAGGCTGGAGTGAGGCTGGGCTGGGAGTTTGCCGTGGTTGGCTGGAGCTGGTGGTCGTCGTTCAGAGGGAGCTGGCGCTGGCTTTGGTGTTCCCTTCAGTGCAGCATTTTCAGCAGTGGAGTCACCCATTCTCTGCTAGAATGCTTCTCTTGTCGGAAAGCTCACTACTTAATCCTATGGGGGACAGCTCTAGTGAGCCCGAATCTGACCCCATAACTTTTCCCCACTGTTCCTGGGTCTGCAGAGCAACGTAGATTAAGTCTAAGCCTCGTTTTTGTTTTTGGAGACAGAGTCTGGCTCTGTCACCCAGGCTGGAGTGCAGTGGCGCAATCTTGGCTCACTGCAACCTCTGCCTCCTGAGTTCAAGAGATTCTCCTGCCTCAGCCTCCTGAGTAGCTGGGATTACAGGTGTGCACCACCACGCCCAGCTAATTTTTGTAGTTTTAGTAGAGACGGGGTTTCACCATGTTGGTCAGACTTGTCTCGAACTCCTGGCCTCAGGTGATCTACCTGCCTCGGCCTCCCAAAGTGCTAGGATGACAGGTGTGAGCCACCGTGACCAGCCAAGTCTAAGCCTCTTTCCACGTGGCCTTCAGGTAGGTGAAGAACATCAACAGAATCCGACATGGCTGGCCGGGCGCGGTGGCTCACGCCCGTAATCCCAGCACTTTGGGAGGCCGAGGTGGGTGGATCACGAGGTCAGGAGATCAAGACCATCCTGGCTAACACAGTGAAACCCCGTCTCTACTAAAAATACAAAAAAAATTAGCCAGGCGTGGTGGCGGGCGCCTGTAGTCCCTGTTACTTGGGAGGCTGAGGCAGGAGAATGGCGTGAACCCGGGAGGCGGAGCCGAGATCGCACCACTGCACTCCAGCCTGGGCGACAGAGCGAGACTCCGTCTCCAAAAAAAAAAGAATTCGACGTGGCTGCTCTCCCTCTGGCCACCCTGCCCTTCCCTGCCACACCTTCCCTGTATGGCAGGTTATCAGGCCCTGTGTCCTGCAGGGCCTTTGCAGTACAGCCTGGTCATCTTTGGTTTTTTTTTTTCTGATTATTCATATTCATTCATTGTAGGTGATTTATAAAATGCAGAGAACCACACTGAGGAAATGCCTGCACGTCCCGTTATCCCACGGTCCCACTGCTAGGCTGGAAGGTGATGGCATCAGCTCCCGGCCAGTGCTGGGGGTTGGTCTGTGTTATCTGCCACCTCACCGTCTACACTGGCAGGCCCTGGAGCATCTTGGTATAGACAGGCAGGCATTGAGAAAGAGTCTGAGACTGGAGACCCCTGCCATGCGCAGTGGGAAGGACCATCACGGTCGCTTAGCAATGTCTGCCACGGGGGTGGGCTGCAGTGGGGGACACGTGAACGCCCATGCCTCTCCCTGTGCCAAGTGACGGGAACTTGGAACATCAGTGAGGCCAAGACTGGTCTTGAGTAACTTCGGGTCCCTACCTTCTGAGTCCTAGAACCACATTCTGTTTCTTGGAAGGAAACAGCTATAGGCTTGAGTTCCCTGTCAACCCTCCCTTCCACTGAAGTGTGACAAGGAGCTTATGACTCGGGGCACAGGCTATCGTGGAAGAAAGACGCGGATCCTGTTAACCCAGTACAGGCTGCTGCTGAGCTCAGCTGCGTGGTAGGGGAGTGAGCCCAGGCACCACCCCTCGGGCCTGGCACAGCTGCCAGGCCAGGTTCCTGCTGTCGAGTGTGCGGCTTGTTGGGGCCTGTGGCAGTGGCTCCTTGATACAAAGCTCGTTTCAGTGCCCTGCCTTTGGCAGCCTTGTCTGGGCAGGACTTGGGCAGCGGGAAGGGCTAACGATCGGCCCCGGGGCCTGCCGACACTCTGGTTTGTTTACCCCCGACCTCTGCTCTTTCTTCCTCTGTTTCTCCCAGCCCATGAAACCCCTGAAGGCCACCGCCACCACCTCCCAGCCCGTGCTCACCATCCAGCAGATCGAGACCATCTTCTACAAGATCCAGGACATCTATGAGATCCACAAGGAGTTCTATGACAACCTGTGCCCCAAGGTGCAACAGTGGGACAGCCAGGTCACCATGGGCCACCTCTTCCAGAAGCTGGTGAGTCTGCCAGGGATGGAGGGTCCTCACGCAGGGCCTCAGTGGAGCCCATAGTGTTGCAGGAGCCTCAGGAGAGGACCGGGCAGCCCTCTCGGACTCCTTGAAGGCCTGAGACCTCTCCGAGTCCGGGAGGAAGGCCTGGGCCTGTGTGTTATGGGGTGCCTGGGGCCGGGGCCTTGACTCTAGGCCTCCCCTGGTGCAGCCCTGGGAGCTTCTGGGGTGGTGGAGACAGGCTGTGTGGATAGGTCCTTCCAGGGGTGGTGGAGATGGGCTGTGTGGATGGGCACTTCTGTGGGAGCACCATCTCTCTCCCGGAGGGTGCTCCTTCTCCCTCCCGGAGGGTGCTCCGTCTTTCCCGGACGGTGCTCCCTCTCTCTCCCGGAGGGTGCTCTGAGGAACCAGCCCTGGAATGAAGGCTTCTTGCTGGGCTTCAGTCTCCTGTCCCTCAGTGAACAGAGGGGCACATGCCGGGTTAGGGGCATGAGGACTGCTCCCCTGAGACCTCGGGTCTGTAAAAGGAAGCAGTTGGGCACACTGGCCGATGATCCTCTCCTGAGGTCCCAAGAGCAGGAAGCACTGAAGCCCAGCCCTGCTCACCACTGCAGGGTCGGGAGCGGCAGGAGTGGGTGGGTTAACATGCAGACCTCGTGTTGGGAAACGTTCACAGAAGTCTTCTGGTTCCCTGTGCTTCTGTGACACCCTCTCCCCCAGCTCTGCCCCATCTCTGGCTGTGTCCCCTGGAGGACCCCCAGGTCAGACTCATGGAGCTCCCTCCCCACCTCTGCTACGTAACGTCTGACCGCCCAGCAGGCAAGAGGGAGACTGGGAGTCCAGGCCGCGGTTCTTCTCTGGGTGTGAGTGGCCAGAGGACCTTCTCCTCCTTCCTGCCCTGTTCTCTGGGTGTGAGAGGCTGGAGGCCTCCTCCCCTCCCCTGCCGTGTTCTGGCTGAATGGACAGGGCTCTGCCTTTCTCACGCTGGAGAAGACTCTCCCTCTCCTGCCTGGACACTCCTAGGACCTCTAGCTGAGTGTGTTCAGAGCTGAGCTCCCTGCCTCCGGCGTCACCTGCTCCGCTTCCTGTCTTTACCTCACCGAGTGCTTCAGACTCTTTCTGGCTGCACCCCCTCCCCCACCTGTCCTGTGGACTCCACTTTTTGGCCGTTGCTCACAGCCGCCTTTTCCTCTTCTTGGCCACCCATGGCCCTCACCTGGACAGCTGCGTATCCTCCTGTGTGGCTCCTGCCTCCAGGCCCACTCACCTCCCACCCCCACCTCTCCTTAGAGGGGAGAGAGTCACTGAAACCTCGACGGCCCCTTCAGCGGATCCCCACGGCCCTCGGATGAAGGTCAGGCTCCGAGGAATGGCTCGAGAGACCCTTTGCACACTGACCCGTGTCCAGCCCCAGCCTTGGCAGCTTCCTCCCCGCACCTCTGTGCTCCTGACACTGGACTTTCTGTTCTCAGTTCCCAGGGCAGGCACTTTCTTAACTCTTGGTACTTGAGGCCCCGTGTGCCTGAAACGTCCTTCCCCCTCTCGTCTGGCCTCCCCTGGTCAGTTCCCAGCTTAGAAGGGACCTCCTCCAAGAAGGCTTTCCAAGTCGCCAAATGCAGGCCTTGTGCCAGTCCTCGTAGTGAGCACTAGTAACTGCCTGACTCCCCCAAACCACAAGTTCCAGGAGGACGGACTGCATTTCCTTTTTTTGTTGAGACGGAGTCTCACTCCTGTCGCCCAGGCTGGAGTGCAGTGGCGTGATCTCGGCTCACTGCAACCTCCTCCTCGCGGGTTCAAGTGATTCTCCTGCCTCAGCATCCCGAGTAGCTGGGATTACAGGCGCCCACCATCACACCCGGCTAATTTTTGTATTTTTAGTAGAGACGGGGTTTCGCCATGTCGGCCAGGCTGGTCTCGAACTCCTGACCTCAGGTGATCCGCCCGCCTCGGCCTCCCGAAGTGCTGGGATTACAGGCGTGAGCCACCGCGCCCGGCCTGCATTTCCTTCTTCTTAGACTCCCAGAACCAGCCCAGTGGTCACTGCTTGAATGAGTGAATGCACCGTGACCTTGACCACTGGGCCTCGGGAGAACTCGGAAGGGCATGGAGGGAGACGTTGCAGGGCCTGAGATTTCTGTCCTGAGAGTCCTGTTTCTCCAGCACAGCTTCTAGAGCCGTGTCACAAAGTGGGCTTGAATCCCAGCGCTGCCAGATTAAACCTGCAACTGGGCAACTTACCCAACCGCTCTGAATCAGCTTCCTCATCTGTAAAAAACAGGATAGTAACAGTATTTACCTCATTGGGTGATTTTGAGGAGTTAATATCTGAAAACTGCATGGGGCTGAGTGTGGTGGCTGACGCCTGTAATCCCAGCACTTTGGGAGGCTGAGGCTGGAAGATCACTTGAGGCTTAGAGTTCAAGACCAGCCTGGGCAACATAGCAAGACCCTATCTCTACAAAGAAATAGAATAGGCCTGACTGAGCGTGGTGGCTCACGCCTGTAATCCCAGCACTTTGGGAGGCCGGGGTGGGTGGATCGTGAGGTCAGGAGTTCGAGACCAGCCTGGCCTACATGGTGGAACCCCATCTCTACTAAAAATACAAAAAAATTAGCAGGGTGTGGTGGAATGCACCTGTAGTCCCAGCTACTCAGGGGGCTGAGGCGGGAGAATCGCTTGAACCTGGGAGGCAGAGGTTGCAGTGAGCCAAAACCACACCATTGCACTCCAGCCTGGATGACAGACTGAGACTCTGTCTCAAAAAAAAAAAAAAAAAAAAATGGCTGGGCACAGTGGCTCACGCTTATAATCCCAGCAACACTTTGGGAGGCCAAGGTGGGCGGATCACCTGAGGTCAGGAGTTCAAGACCAGCTTGGCCAACATGGTGAAACCCCGTTTCTACTAAAAATACAAAAATTAGCCGGGCATGATAACACGCACCTGTGATCCCAGCTACTACTCGGGAGGCTGAGGTGGGAGAATCGCTTGAACTCGGGAGGCAGAGGTTGTAGTGAGCCGAGATCGTGCCACTCCACTCCAGCCTGGGCGACAAGAGCAAGACTCTGTCTCAAAAAAAGAAATAGAATACAATAAAGTAAAAGAAAAAGTGCTTGGAACAGGGCCTGGAACATCATAAATTAATAAGTACTCAATAACTGGTCATTATCATCAGTGCCATTATTATTATTATTATTATTATTATTATTATTATTATTATTAAATTGGGAAGAGGCACCCTGGAAGGTATCCTTCCAAGGGAATGCCACACTCTGGTTCTAGCATACCCCCCCCTGCTCCCTCCGGTTCAGGGATGGTGAACACCTGTCATCACTGCCTGCTCACCTGAGCTGAGTGGCCTGGGGGGCATCCTCTCCTCATCCCTCAGGAGGGTAGAGGAGAGCAAACCTAGGGTTGCTGGAAACGCTGTCACAGTTTATCTTTGTCACTTGGACCTGGCTGTCCCCGGTTCTGGTCTTGGCTCCACAGGCCTGGCCGTGAATCTGCTACCCACCACTTTCCCTCCCCAGCATCGTGAACCGATGCCTGAGGCCCCTGGGGCTGCAGATTTGGGAGGGCCCGGGGGGAGCCGGGTCAGGTCTGGCATCCGGAGGTGGTTTATTTTCAGCCGAAGACTCTGGGTATTTGATTATTCGTTACTGAGAGAAGGGAATTAGCGTCTCTGCTGTTTGTTTTATGAGATCACTCCAGTGCCAGGCTGCTGTTTCCAGGCAACCTGCACTTCCCAGTTAATGAACCTGCCAAGCCAGGCCTCGGGCCCTACCGCCTGGGGTGACTGTGGCAGCGGCAGTCCCTGAGATTACCGTGACCCTGGACGCAGGCCTCCGCACGGCTGGCTCCTGCCCCTGGCTCCTGGGAGGGTGGTGTGCCAACCCGGGCCTCCAGGCTTTCTCCTTCTTGTGGGAAAGGGGGCAAGAGGAGCCTTTTCCTGGAAGAATATCGGTGATCTGACTTTGGCTTAGGCAGCGACTGTCTAGTATGCCTCGTGTAGCGTGGGCATTGATGGGCCGGGCCTCAGTACTCCCTGGAAAAGGAAATAAACTCCCTCCCGTCCGGCCCCGCCCCCTTTTAAGGTCAGGCCCCACCCCCTTTAAAACTCAGGCCCCGCCCTCTTTTAAAAGTCCGGCCCTGCCCCCTTTTAAAGTCCTGCCCTTCTGCAGCTGAGACCTGAATGCCTCTGGCCTTGGCGTCACGCCGGGCGTCCCCACTCGCGCTCCCCTCTGGCTTTTCCAGATGCCCCCCGCTCCCCTGCCCCACCAGCTTCCTCAAAGGGCTCTGCCTCTGTACTGGGAGGCTCCAGGCTCAGCCGATGCTGCGGCCAGCCTGCCCCCACCCCTACCCCCACCCCAGCCTCTCTGGGTCCTTGGGGAGCATGAGGATCCTGCAGAAAGCAGAGTGGTCCGGGGTGGGGGTCCACAGCAGCCCACTTCCCCCAGCACCTTGGTGGGAAGCAGAGGCCCCTGAGGAAGCCAGGCAGCAGCTGTATCCCCCTTGCTGCTGTATTGAAAAACATTTAAACCAGAAACTCCAAAGAATAACAGCAGAACCTTCTAATGAAGAAAATACAGCGTCACACATGAAGGTGGAGTCTCCCCTCCCTCCTCCCTCTTGAAGCAGCTACTGGCATGAATTTGGTGGATAGCCTTCCAGACTGCAGTTTGTGTGTTTACTACATATCTGTATCTATTTTGGGTTGGCCTGTACTTTAAAAAAAAAAAAAGGTCTTGCTATGTTGTCCAGGCTGGACTTGAACTCGGGCTCAAGTGATCCTCCCACCTCAGTCTCCCAAGTAGCGAGGGCTATAGGTGTGTGTACCACAGCTCCCAGCTGCATGTACTTTAAAAATGTGTCTAAGCCAGGCGTGGTGGCTCACGCCCGTAATCCCAGCACTTTGGGAGGCGGAGGCGGGTGGATCACCTGAGGTCAGGAGTTCAAGACCAGCCTGACCAATATGACGAAACCCTGTCTCTACTAAAAATACAAAAACTAGCCGGGTGTGGTGGTGCGTGCCTGTAGTCCCAGTTAGTCAGGAGGCTGAGGCAGGAGAATCACTTGAACCCAGGAGGCGGAGTTTGCAGTGAGCCAAGATCGTGCCAGTGCACTCCGGCCTGGTTGACAGAGCGAGACTCCATCTCAAAAAAAAAAAAAAAAGTGTATAAGTATACACATATATCATATTTTACAGTTCAACCCATGTTCGTTTTGGAGCTTGTCAGCAATCGTATTTTACAGTTCAACCCATGTTCGTTTTGGAGCTTGTCAGCAATGCTATGTGTAAATCGGGTGCATCCATGTTCATGGCTGTGTGCGCGGCTTCCCCCGTTTGTGAGCATTTGTTACCAGTCCCTCCACTATGAGGAGGAAAAGTGAGATGGTGAACACCCTTGAGTCCCCTGGGGCACACACATAGGCCATTTGCTCCAGAGCACTGCTGTCTAATGGAAATAGCTTATGAGCCACGTACATCATTTCACATTTTCTAATACCCACCTTTTTTTTGTTTTTTTGAGACGGGGTCTTGCTCTTGTCACCCAGGCTGGAGTGCAGTGATGCAATCTGGGCTCACTGCAACCTCCACCTCCTGGGTTCAAGCGATTCTCCTGCCTTGTCCTCCCAAGTAGCTGGGACTACAGATGCGTGCCACCACGCCCGGATAATTTTGTATCTTTAGTGGAGACAGGGTTTCACCATTTTGGCCAGGCTGGTCTCGAACTGCCAACCTTAGGTGATCTGCCCGCCTCGGCCTCCCAAAGTGCTGGGATTACAGTTGTGAGCCACCGCGCCTGGCCCCTAATACCCACATTTTTAAAAGTAAAAATAGGCAGGTGAAATTAATTTTGAGAATATCTTTTATTTATTCCCGCAGATCCAAATATTATTTGAACATGTAATCAGTATTTAAAAATTAACGAGGTAATTTACATTCTCTTTTACATACTAAGGCTTTGGAACCCACTGTGTATTTTACATGTCCGGCACGTCTCAGTTTGAACCGGCCGTATCTCAGGTGCTTGGTAGCCTCAGGTAGCTGGTGGCGACTGCACTGAACGATACGGCTCTGCAGTTTGTATGTAAAAGTGGATTTGCTAAGCAATCGATGGGCTGTGCCTATCCACACTGTTATTAGTTCAACTGAAAATAGGCCATGCCTATTCTCAGCTTTATTAGTTATTAACAAATTGCTCTCCAAATAATTGTACTAATTTACACTTCCCCGAGTAGTCTAAGAGTTTAAATTGGCCGGGCGCGGTGGCTCACGCCTGTAATCCCAGCACTTTGGGAGGCCGAGGCGGGTGGATCACGAGGTCAGGAGATCGACACCATCCTGGCTAACATGGTGAAACCCCGTCTCTACTAAAAAAAAATACAAAAAATTAGCCTGGCGTGGTGGCGGGCGCCTGTAGTCCCAACCACTCAGGAGGCTGAGGCAGGAGAATGGCGCGAACCTGGGAGGTGGAGCTTGTAGTGAGCCGAGATGGCATCACTGCATTCCAGCCTGGGTGACAGAGCGAGACTCCATCTCAAAAAAAAAAAAAAAAAAAAGTTTTAATTGGCCGGGCGCAGTGGCTCACACCTGTAATCCCAGCACTTTGGGAGGCCGAGGCAGGTGGATCACCTGAGGTTGGGAGTTTGAGACCAGCCTGACCAATATGGAGAAACGCCGTCTCTACTAAAAATACAAGATTAGCCAGGCGTGGTGGCGGGCGCCTGTAACGCCAGCTACTCGGGAGGCTGAGGCAGGAGAATCCCTTGAATCCGGGAGGTTGCGGTGAGCCGAGATCGCACCACTGTACTGCAGCCTGGGCAACAAGAGCGAAACTCCATCTCAAAACAAAAACAAAAACAGGGAGTTTAAATTTCCCCATATGCTTGCCAGCCGTTGCTGTCAATTAGACTTTTAAATTTTGACCCTTCTGATGAGTATAAAATATCTCGTGATGGCTTTAATTTGAATTTCTACCCTTTGGTCCCTTAAGAGGAAGTGCTTATATACAGCGCAGCGAAGCCTTTCCATAAATATTTGGGGAATTGACTTATGGAGCCTCGGTTTCCCCTTTTGCAGAAAGGGGCGATGGGGTCTGCCCTGCCTCTCAGAAGAGGCGAGGCTCTGTGTGGTTGTGACTCAGGTTGTGACTGTGTGAGTGACAGGCAAACGTGTAGTGAGGCTGGGGCTTTGGCTCCTTGGAGGTAGAGGAGGTGGAAGAGGTGAGGACGGGGCCTCAAGGCCAAGGGAAATGGAAAGACAGCATCTTCATTTGTTGTTTTGTTTTCTTTTTGAGACGGAGTCTTACTCTGTCACCCAGGCTGGAGTGCAGTGACACGATCTTGGTTCACTGCAGCCTCCACCTCTTGGGTTCAAGCGATTCTCCTGCCTCATTCTCCTGAGTACCTGGGATTACAGGCACGCGCCACCATGCCCAGCTAATTTTTGTATTTTTAGTAGAGACGGGGTTTCGCCATGTTGGCCAGGCTGGTCTGGAACTCCTGACCTCAGGCCTCCCAAAGTGCTGGGGTTACAGGCGTGAGCCGCCACGCCCGGCCAAGACAGCACCTTTAAATGTCGTTCCCCACGCTGCACGTGGGGAGGGAGGCCTGAGCAGGCCACACGTGCCAGCTCCCCCCAGCACACACACCCCCCTCTCTCCCTGCTCCGGCTAATTCCAGGATGTGAAGGAAGTATGAGACATTAAGGGATTTCAAACCCTGGGAGACCTTCACCGTGCTGAGGAAAGCTGGATGCTGTGAAGAGTTGAATTTCTAGCAGGCCAACAAAGGCCCTAGCCTGGTCTCCCCAACCCCAGACCCCCTCATTAACCTTATTGGCTGAGCTGGTTTCCATGGAAACTGTCCAGTTCAAAGGGACACTGTAATATGTTCATCCCTGCGTTTCCCCAAGTTCCCAACGAGCTGAGTGAGAGGTTTTCAGTGCAGGGGAGCTCCCGGTGCTCCGTGAAGCTTTCATCCATTCATTAATCCTCTCCCCTCCCACCCTCCTCTCCCTCTGTTCCCTGACTCCTCCCTGCAGGCCAGCCAGCTCGGTGTGTACAAAGCGTTTGTCGATAACTATAAAGTCGCTCTGGAGACAGCTGAGAAGTGCAGCCAGTCCAACAACCAGTTCCAGAAGATCTCAGAGGTAGGCCGCTCCCCACATAGCCACCCTGAGGGACAAGGAGCTTTGGGGGCTGCTCAGAGCCCTTGGTCTCCCCTCCCTCGCTTGCCAGTCGGTGAAGTGGTTACTCTAATGGGTAACACTTAGCCTGATATTTGCTTTCTTGCACCTGACATTTTCCCTCTTAATAGAAAACGATCTATTTTATTTATTTTTTTATTATTCTCTTTCAGATTAGAGAGAGGAACAGGGGAGGCAAAAAAAAAAAAAAAAAAAAAAAATCCAAGGCAGTGTTCTCCCACACCACACTATGGTGACCTTGAGCAAGTCACGTCCCCCCTCTTGGCTTTTATGTCCTGTCCGGTAGAATGAGGGGTTTAGAAATGGCCAGATAATCCTTTTTTTTTTTTTTTTTTTTTTGAGACAGAGTCTTGCTCTGTCGCCCAGGCTGGAGTGCAGTGGCGCGGTCTCGGCTCACTGCAACCTCTACCCCCTGGGTTCAAGTGATTCTCCTGCCTCAGCCTCCCAAGTAGCTGGGATTACAGGCGCACACCACCACGCCTGGCTAAGGTTTGTATTTTTAGTAGAGATGAGGTTTTGCCGTGTTGGCCAGGCTGGTCTCGAACTCGGGTGATGTGCCCGTCTCAGCCTCCCAAAGTGCTGACATTACAGGTGCGAGCCACTGAGTCCAGCTTGGCCAGCTAATCCTGACCTTGCTTGATAAGAATCACTGGGGCATTGTTTAAAACACAGATTTCCTGGCACCTTCCCCGGAGCTTCTGATTCAGAAGGCTTTGCGTGGGGCCCAAGATTCTATATTTGAACAAGCTTCTGGGTAATATTTATGACAGGGAAGTCTTGAGGAAATTTGGACTATAGGTCGTCTTTTAAGGTTCTTGCCAACTCTAAGACTGCCATCCCATAAACACAAAAAGGGTAAGAGCCACTTATGTGGAGAAGGAGCCTTAGAATCCCTGGCCGGGAACACGCGTGCTTCTGCTCCTGAGGCCCAGCCTTCCTGGCCAGGAACACGCGTGCTTCTGCTCCTGAGGCCCAGCCTACCTGGCCGGGAGCACACGTGCTTCTGCTCCTGAGGCCCAGCCTTCCTGGCTGGGAACACGCGTGCTTCTGCTCCTGAGGCCCAGCCTTCCTCCCGCACTCCTCCACAGGGCAGAGGTGCAGTCCTATCTGCCATCAACATTTCTACCTAAGAGGTGGCATGGAGGGACAGTTGCTTAGGATCCTTCAGGACAGAGCCCAGTTCATCCCTTTGTCCAAAAAGACCTCAGTGGCACCCCTGAAGCACTGGCCTGAGAGGAACAGCCCCCAGCTCAGGGCAAGAGAACCTCCATCCTAGAAAAGGGGAGAAGCTTCTGCAGTTTTGGGAGTCCTGCCGTAAAGGCCCCTCTTGGCCCTTTGTGTTCCCGTCTCAGCTCTAACGCTAGAAGAGTTGGGGAAACGCAGGGTAGTTTTCCTGAAACTTCAGGGGTGACGGTCGATGCCCACGTTTAGAATCCACCGAGAGGCAGCAGAGAAGCTGACAGTTGGAGATGAACATGTCACCTTCATTACTGTTAAAAAAATGCAGCTTGGAAAATGTGGATTTGGATCTGTAGCCACAGTGGGCTTGCTGACACTTCGCCTCTGGAATGAAACGTACCTATAGAAGCCGGGCGTGGCGGCTCACACCTGTCATCCCAGCACTTTGGGAGGCCGAGGCGGGCGGATCACCTGAGGTCAGGAGTTTGAGACCAGCCTGGCCAACGTGGCGAAACGCCGTCTCTACTAAAGATACAAAAATTAGCCGGGCGTGGTGGTGCACACTTGTAATCCCAGCTATTTGGGAGGCTGAGACAGGAGAATCTCTTGAACCCGGGAGGTGGAGGTTGCAGTGAGCTGCGATCACGCCACTGCACTCCAGTCTGGTGACAGAGCGAGACCCTGTCTGGAAAAAAAAAAGTATCTATTGAGTCCCTTGCAGGAATAGGAAAACACAGGCCCCTCTCCACAATGAGGACAGAGCCCACGCCTCTTACCCAGTGTGCAGAGAGAGGATGGCTGACCATAGTTTCTTCTCCCAGACCCATGGAGCAGATGTGTCACCCTCTGCCTGGGAGGACGAAGTGCAGGGTGGGGAAGTCCCTCTCCATGGAGTCAAGTGGCTGGAGAGGCCAGGTGCAGTGGCTCACGCCTGTAATCCCAGCACTTTGGGAGGCCGAGGCGGGAGATTGGCTTGAGCCCAGGAGTTCAAGACCGGCCTGGGAAACATGGTGAAACCCCGTCTCTATTAAAAATACAAATAAAAGGGGCTGGAGAAATGGTGCTTTCCCTGCGGTTTCCAGCCCAACCCAGGAACTACCTGGACTCCCCTGGTCTGTGTTCAGATCAGCCCTGCCAAGGCCGCCCAAGATCCCGGGGTCAGACATGGTGCAGAGAGTGTGGGGTCTTCTCTTGGCCTGGGCTGATTGCCTGTTCTCTGTGCCTAGGCAGAAACCCCCACACCCAACCATAAGCCCCTCACAGCCTGCCCACCCTGGAGGGCAGAGCCAGGCCCCTGGCTTTCTGCCAGGTGGCTTCTCATCCTGACTCACTCGATGACGTGCTTGCTTCCTGCTGAGGCTGCCACTTAATTACTGCAATTAGGCTCCTCTCTGCAGCAGGAGTGATTTCATACCCTAGACTTCACTGGAGGGGGCGTGAGGAAACATTCCCGAAATCTGGGAGTCCAGGCACCAGCCAGAGACACAGGCTGGGGACGCTGAGTATCCCCCACCCCCCCGCCCCCCAAAATATACACACACCCAAGCTCCATCTCCAGGAGTTTTCTCTGTCTAGAAACAGCTTGAGACAGAAGTAGGAAGTTCCTGCTGTCTGAGCGCTTCCTCCCCTGCAGACCAAGCAGGTGGCATCACCTCGGCAGCTGACCTTGGCCTCATCACCTGGGCAGCTGACCTTGGCCTCATCACCTGGGCACCTGACCCTGGCCTCATCACCTGGGCACCTGACCGTGGCCTCACCTTGCCTCCTGCCTTCCCTCCCACACCCCTCTTTGAGGCTCCGTGTGCTCCGTCTGCCAAGTGGGGATGGTATTACAGCTCCAGTTGCAGGCTGCACTGTCCTGTTAGCAAAAGCTGGGGCTGGAACGTCTCTAAAGGAGGATAAAGAGGCTTGGAGCAGATGAGTCATCCCGGGGGTCTTTCCAGTACTCACTACCTGCTGCCTGGCTTGGGATCCAGGAGGGGCATTGGCTGTTCCTCCCTCGAAGCTTCCTCTCGGACCCCCAGCATGGGCAGTGGTGGGTGGGGAGTGTCGGGGGTGCTGGGGGCTGAGTAAGTGCTCTCTGATGGGGGTAGGATGCAGCTCACTGTCCTGGGGAGCTCAGCATCTCTGCCGAAGGTCCACCACTTCCCTGCTGGCGTGTGGGACCCTTCCTTCCTACCTCATGGGTTCCTCATGCCCTAAAGATTGGCTGGAGTACCTGGCGCTGGTCAACTCAAACCCTGTCTGCCCTTGGCCGACGTGTAGGGTTCCTGAGTCGGGGTTCCTGTAATCACAGGGCTCCCTGCCAGCCTCTCTCATCTCTGGGACCTGGAGTCCCTTCCTTCTTGCCCACGCCCCAGCCACTGGACTCCACGAGGCTCCAGGAGTTCACAGGTGTGGTGCAGGGGATTGGGGTGGCAGAGGCAGCCCATGGCCATGGGGCTCCTTTGTCTTTCTTTTTTTTTTTTTTTTTTTTTTTTTTTTTTTTTTTTTTTGAGACAGAGTCTCGCCCTGTTGCCCAGGCTGGAGTGCAATGGTGTGATCTTGGCTCACTGCAACCTCCGCCTCCCAGGTTCAAGCGATTCTCCTGCCCCAGCCTCCCAAGTAGCTGGGATTACAGGCACCTGACACCACACCTGGCTAACTTTTGTATTTTTAGTAGAGATGGGGTTTCACCGTGTTGACCAGGCTGGTCTCGAACTTCCGACCTCAGGTGATCCGCCCACCACGGCCTCTCAAAGTGCTGGGATGACTGGCGTGAGCCGCCACACCCGGCCTCTGTTCTCATATGTACACCCTGAGTTTCAGAACTCCCCTTCTTGCCAGGCTCACAGTGGGGGCTGGGAGAGGTGAGGGACAGAACAGGCCATGACTCCTCTCCTCCCTTTGGCAGGAACTCAAAGTGAAAGGTCCCAAGGACTCCAAGGACAGCCACACGTCTGTCACCATGGAAGGTACCTCGGGGAGCGGGCTGGATTACAGGCACCTACCTTTGTCTGGCTGTGCAGGCAACAGGCTGCGTGAACGCGGCGCCCTTCCCCTTGTGTGTGCGTGTGTGTGAGCGCGTGTGAGCGTGAGCGTGTGTGAGCGCGTGTGAGTGTGAGCTGAGTGCGCGTGTGCGCGCACGCGAGGACTCTAGCCTCGTGCCCAGGCAGCCAGCCAGCTACAAACGTGCTCCTCTTTAGGATGCCAGCAGGCTGCTGGCTCCCTCCCTCCCTACCCCTCCTCCCCTTCCCCTTCCCTCCTCTCCTCGCCACGCGCCTCCCTCCCCTCCCCCTTGCTGGAAGAGCACTCCGGAGCGGCTGCCCGATGCTGGAGTCCGTGCGGCAGCATCAGCAAGGTGGCTGAGTGGCCGGGCTGCTGGTGGGCGCCGGGGAGCCTGGAGCGATGGCTGCACGCTCCCGCCGCGGGGACAGAGGCTGCCATGGAGATTCTCCTCATTATTCGCTTCTGCTGTAACTGCACCTATGGTAACCCAGGTGCTCGCTGTGGGAGGTGGCGGACCCTCCCACCTCTGGGGGCCGGCTGGAGTGGGCTTAGATGTGGCCGGGGAGGTTAGAGGGCCGCAGGGAAGGAGGGTGGGCGAGCGGCTGGACCTGAATTCCCCCTTCGTTTTGGCGGCATCCAGCCTAGAGTTGAAACCTGGGGGCTGCTCAGAGCAGGGCCGCTTGCAAATGGAAGGACCAGGCTGGAGGGGTCCAGGTGGCCCCGAGGATCGGTGGGGAATTGGTGGGCTAGTGTGAGAGAACTTCCTGGAGGGGCTGTTAGGGAGAGACGGCGACGAGCTGTGCCCGCAGACGTAGTAGCCCTGAGGCCAGGGAGAGGGTCTGCGGGGGCCAGGCACAGCGTGGCGATGGGTGGCGATGGTCCGGACGGCGGCGTTGCCAGCCGAGAGGGTGCCAGCGCGAGCCAGAGGGAGAAGTTGGGAGTTTCTTTGTTTCTGGAGAGAGGCGCGGAGGCTGGGCGGCACGGTATTGTGTGCTCCGCGCACATGCAGCAGTAGGCGGAGGACACGGAGGGGCTGTGGGAGCAGGAAGGAGAGGTTTGTTTCCAGCCGTGAGAGACCCCCAGCCGAGGTCTGGGCCCTCAACTGTGGAAGGCAGGTCGGCAGGGCCAGCGGGAGAGGGGTGTGGCAAGCTACTCTGTGAAGGTCACACACACACACACACACACACACACCACCTTTCGGTGGAAGGGACCCGGACCATCCTCCTTGCAGCTCCCGCAGCTGGCTGGGGGCTGGGGGGAAGTCCCGGGACAGGTGCATGTCATCAACACGACTGTCGGTCGTAGGAGGATGAAGCCGGCCCAGGTAGGGAGGTGTCCAGAAGCCCGTGGACCCTGCCTCAAGAGGCAAGACGTGCCAAGGGGTGCCCTGCCTGCCTGTGGCAGGGAGTGGGGTGGGCACGTGTGGCTCCCAGGCCGGCTGCTCTGGGCCTGAGTCTGTGGGAGCAGCAGGCGGCTGGTTTTAGGACCTTCCTCTTCCTTCCCACCAGGTGTTTCGGCTCTGCACCCTTCTCAGTCACTTTGCTTTCCTATCTCCCTGGTAACCTGGAGCTCCTTGGAGCTCCTTGTCGAAGGCTGACTTGAGGGGGATGGTGGCTTGCCGGAAGAGAGATGGCAGGTTTCCTGGGCTCCTTCCCAGGGGCGGCTGTGCTGGAGGGGCTGTGTGGGGCCAGTGCCCCCTGACCTTCTCAGGACCCTCTTGATGGAAGCAAGCTCTGAGGCAGCCTCTCTCCTGCGGCCCAGCAGGGCGGCTGCAGGAACCCTGTTCTCACTTGAAATTGGCCTGGTCAGCGATCAGAGGAGAAATGGTCTTTTTGGTCTGGCCTAGGAGTTGGTCAGGTCTTGACTCTGCCTCCCTGAAAAGGAAACGTACCCTTGGCTTCCTCTCCCTTCCCCAAAAGGAAGCTTCGACTCAGTGAAACGGACCTGGGACCTGGAGTTCACGTTGCTTCGGTCTCCGTGATACTGTTGTTGAAGTCGGCTTCAAAGTGGGGAATGAGGAGTGAAAGGGCCAGCTCGTGAGGAGGGGGCTCACCCCATCCTGGTCACTCTTTCCAAGAACGCTCCTGTGGTTCATTGAGGTTTTACAGGTGCTGCCTTTCCCTGAAGAAGGTGCAGCTCAAAGCAAGGAGTGCGGGTGGATCTACCCAGCTCCCACCACTTGTAGCCACAAGTCTCTGGCCTCAGTTGCCTTGTCTGTAAAATGGGGCTAGTGAGAATTGCTTCCCGTTTTAATCACAGGAAATAATGAGAGCAAAGCAGTTAACTCAGTACCCTTGGGCACAGAGCGAGTACCCAGCAAACTAGAGAGAGACCAGCTTGCTGCCCAAGTCAGTGTCAGTGGAGAGGGAGAGTGGGTGAGGCCGGGCAGGAAGCAGGCCAGCCTGCAGGAGCCCAGGGACAGGGGAAGGGCCAGAGCGAGTGCCTCACCCTGAGTTCTCAGGGGACCCCAGCGTGCAGGGGCCGTGGGGAGCACAAACTTCAGGGCCGCTCTTATTCCCCCGGTTCCCTCCGTATCTGATGTGGTCCCAGTGCCGCCACCCCCCCCCGCCCCCCGCCCCGTGCACCTGCCCTCCTGGCCGCCCTTCCAGGGCTCATTCCACAGCCTTACTCAGGTGGACTCTGGAGGTGACCACAGACATGTTAATAACCCCTCTGAAACCCAACCTGCCATGTGTTCAGACCTCTGAGCTTAGTCAGAAACCTCTTCCTCTTGGGACCCAAGAGAGGGCTGCGGGGAGCCGATAATGCAGTGTCAGCTTTCTGTGGAGCCGCCACTCCGGAGCCCACCCTGGCAGGTGTCTGCTGAGCTTGTGCTTTCTTTTGGGTCTCTGGGGTTCTCCAGTGTGATTTTTTCCCCCTGAAGATGGGCTGAGCCACAGGTGGGTGCCTTAAACAGCCTCAGAAATGGATCCCACCTGAGCTAGGACCTGGGCTGCACCCTCAGTGCCGAGGATACCCCAAGACTGGCCTCATTCCTTCAAGCTTCCATGGCCCATGGGGAGGGTCTCTGGAAACTGCTAGATAAGAAAGGGCTACAGATATGTCATATGAAGTGTATTTACGTAAACCAGTGGTTGGCCGGGTACTCATGCCTGTAATCCCAACTTTTGGCAGACTGAGGCAGGAGGATTGCTTGAGGCCAGGAGTTCGAGACCAGCTTGTATTTGGCTTGAGGCCAGGAGTTCGAGACGAGCAACATAGTGAGACCTTGTCTCTATATTTATTTTTATTTAAACGAAGACTCACTGTGTCGCCCAGGCTGGAGTGCAATGGCGCAATCTCAGCTCACTGCAACCTCTGCCTCCTGGATTCAAGAGATTCCCCTGCCTCAGCCTCCCAAGTAGTTGGGATTATAGGCGCCTGCCACCACACCTGGCTAATTTTTGTATTTTTAGTAGAGATGGGGTTTCACCATGTTGGCCAGGCTGTTCTTGAACTCCTGACCTCAAATGATCCACCCGCTTCGGCCTCCCAAAGTGCTGGGATTACAGGCGTGAGCCACCCTGCCCGGCCCCTCGTCTCTATATTTTTAAAAAAATTAAAATAAATACATAAATAAAACATAAAGCAGTGGTTTTCAACCATTATTATACATTCAAATCAGTAAAGAAGCTTTATAGAAATGCTGATGGCCCTTGTGGTCTTGCAGAGATTTGGGTTGAGTTGACGGGGCTGGGGAGCAGGCATCTGTATCTTTTAACCGCTCCCCCAGTGATTCCGACAGGCAGCCAAGCTCGGACTGCGGGTAAGGCTGGTGGCCCTGCTGAGGCTGCATTTTCTTCACAGCCAGCAGATTGCTCCCTGAAGTGTCTGCTTAGCCGCGCACGGGGTATTTATATCTCAGGCTTTGGAGAACTATCGGGTTTGGGGCCCGGCTAGGGCGTGCGTGTTCACGCTGGGACCTGTCACAACCTGGTCTTATGGGACACCCAGTCTGGGATCCTTCTTCCCAGATGACCAACCTGCCTCTGTCACTGCCCCTGCGGCAGGAGGCCCAAGGTCATGACCCCAGGGACAGAGCATCCAGGTGCAGGACTGAAGCTGAGCCTCCTGTTGGGAGGGTGGGCGCAGCCGCGTACAGGAAGGGTGTTGGGAAGTGTTGATCCACCAGCTGCCACCTCCACCTGTCCCTGCTGAATCCCAGCCATCCTCACTTGGTGTCCGGGTTGTGGAGGGTGTGGCTCTTGGGGGCCTGGGCTGGCCTTGCCTGCGTCCTCCCAGCCTCTTTGGGGCTCTCATATGTGAGGCCTAACCTGAGTTGCTTCAGGAAACCTTTGCCCCTCAGGCTGCCACGTGTTTGAGAGCACAGCCTTTTTTCTTTTTTTTTGAGATGGAGTTTTGCTCTTGTTACCCAGGCTGGAGTGCAGTGGCATGATCTTGGCTCGCTACAACTTCCGCCTCCCGGGTTCAAGTGATTTCCCTGCCTCAGCCTCCCAAATAGCTGGGATTACAGGCATGTGCCACCACGCCTGGCTAATTTTTGTATTTTTAATAGAGATGGGGTTTCACTGGTTGGCCAGGCTGGCCTCGGGGAGCAGAGCCTTTCTGTGGAGATCAGGCCAGCCTCCTGGCCTCCAGCCTCCCTGCCTCCAGCCTTCCTGTGCTTTGCTATCTGGGGTTTGAGGATGTGGGGAGGGGTCTTTCCTCTGAGAGATGAGGCCAGTCCTGTGGATCACAGTGAGGCATGCCAATCCCAGCTGGCTGTGCCTGGCCTTCAGCTCCAGGAGCCTGAGAATGATAAGGTCTGGGGAGCTGCCCTTCCTGGAAACACAGCATGTCTCCTTCCCCCATTCTGGGGTCCTGCATGTGGCAGGTGTGCTAGACTCTGCAGGGCATGGCTGGGTGGAGCTGTGTGATTCTGGGGTTCTGCGTGTGGCAGGTATGCTGGACTCTGCGGGGCGTGGCTGGGTGGAGCTGTGTGATTCTGGGGTCCTGCATGTGGCAGGTGTGCTAGACTCTGCAGGGCATGGCTGGGTGGAGCTGTGTGATTCTGGGGTTCTGCGTGTGGCAGGTGTGCTGGACTCTACGGGGCGTGGCTGGGTGGAGCTGTGTGATTCTGGGGTCCTGCGTGTGGCAGGTGTGCTAGACTCTGCGGGGCGTGGCTGGGTGGAGCTGTGTGATTCTGGGGTCCTGCGTGTGGCAGGTGTGCTGGACTCTTCGGGGCGTGGCTGGGTGGAGCTGTGTGATTCTGGGGTCCTGCGTGTGGCAGGTGTGCTGGACTCTTCGGGGCGTGGCTGGGTGGAGCTGTGTGATTCAGGGCTGGGGGTCCAGGAGAGCATCTGCCTTGAGCCAGGTGAGGCCAGGACAGGCCTGGGGAGGGGGGCGGGGCGGCTCTCGATGAAGCCATGTCTGATGGGAGAGGAGGCAGGGCTGCGGAGGGAGCAGGGGCTGCCAGGGCTGTGTGTCACCTGTGTCTGCTGTTTGGTCGGCCCGGGGAGTGAGAACAGAGGTGGGGGCTGCCGTGGGCTCACTCTGGTGTCCCTCGAGGGGTGTTCACGTGGGAAGCATGCGGGTGGGGGGACGAAGCTGGTCTCTGGGGTGTTGGGTTGCCCTCGTCCATCATCCTCTTCCTCCTTCTCCCTGTCTCCCCCGACAGCTCTGCTCTACAAGCCCATTGACCGGGTCACTCGGAGCACCCTAGTCCTACACGTGAGTGTCAAGCCTCCGAATGGCCAGAGAGGGCTTAGGAGTTCAGTGGAAGACTGAGCCTGGGTGAGAGGGTGCTGGAGTCACCGAGAACAGTCCACCTGGGGAATCAGGGGTTCCTAGGCTCCAAGGATGCCTGTCTGGCCCGCGGTATCCGTGCCGCCAGGCTAGGGCCTGAATACAGCTTGGCTACTAAGCTTGACGTGGCCAGGTGCTCCCGGGGAGGCAGGCATTCCTGCTTCCCCACCCGCTGCCTCCTGGTCTCCAGTGTCCTTGGAGCAGCTGCAGGGCAGACACAGGGTTTCTCTCCCAGCTGCTCGGGGGGATGAGCCTCCACCTGGTCTCCACACTGGGGAGAGAGTATGACTGTGGCCAGGAGAAGAGGGGGCAGCCAGGGCCCTCTCCCCTGCTGTGCTGGCTCTGATTTTTTTTTTTTTTTTTTTTTTTTGAGGCGGAGTCTCACTCTGTCACCCAGGCTGGAGTGCAGTGGTGCGATCTTGGCTCACTGCAACCTCTGCCTCCTGGGTTCAAGCAATTCTCCTGCCTCAGCCTCCCGAGTAGCTGGGACTACAGGCGCCCGCCACCACGCCC
Source organism: Homo sapiens (assembly GCF_000001405.40). Classification (NCBI taxonomy): domain Eukaryota; kingdom Metazoa; phylum Chordata; class Mammalia; order Primates; family Hominidae; genus Homo; species Homo sapiens. The sequence continues at coordinate 116,584 of NT_187613.1, read as the reverse complement.
AGCTAATTTTTATATTTTTACTAGAGATGGGGTTTCACCACGTTGCCCAGGCTGGTCTCGAACTTCTGACCTCAAGTGATCCCCCGCCTCGGCCTCCCAAAGTGCTGGGATTTCAGGCATGAGCCGCCGTGCCCGGCCTGACTCTGATTTGTAGTTCAGATTTTGCGGGAATTAGGCAGGTCCCTGAGTGCCCACCCTTTGGATGGGGACTGAGCACTCCCCGGTGGCCACACATCAGGCCCCAGAGCCGCTCCCCTCAACTCACCGCCTCACCCTTCCCAGGACCTGCTGAAGCACACACCTGTGGACCACCCCGACTACCCGCTGCTGCAGGATGCCCTCCGCATCTCCCAGAACTTCCTGTCCAGCATCAACGAGGACATCGACCCCCGCCGGACTGCAGTGACAACGCCCAAGGGGGAGGTGAGCTCAGAGCCCGGCACGGCCCCTCACCCAGGCTGAGAAGTATCAGGTCCCTCGTCCCCTTCTCTCACACACGGGCGGCAGGTCCCTCGTCCCCTTCTCTCACACACGGGCGGCAGGTCCCTCGTCCCCTTCTCTCACACACGGGCGGCAGGTCCCTCGTCCCCTTCTCTCACACACGGGCGGCAGGTCCCTCGTCCCCTTCTCTCACACACGGGCGGCAGGTCCCTCGTCCCCTTCTCTCACACACGGGCGGCAGGTCCCTCGTCCCCTTCTCTCACACACGGGCGGCAGGTCCCTCGTCCCCTTCTCTCACACACGGGCGGCAGGTCCCTCGTCCCCTTCTCTCACACACGGGCGGCAGGTCCCTCGTCCCCTTCTCTCACACACGGGCGGCAGGTCCCTCGTCCCCTTCTCTCACACACGGGCGGCAGGTCCCTCGTCCCCTTCTCTCACACACGGGCGGCAGGTCCCTCGTCCCCTTCTCTCACACACGGGCGGCAGGTCCCTCGTCCCCTTCTCTCACACACGGGCGGCACCGGGTGCCTCCTGCCTCTCCAATCCTGATCCCCCATTCCCAGCCAAGGAGAGGTTTTCAGCCCTTGGTCACCCTGATGACCTGCAGCTTTCCAGGCCCTAGGCTGAGAAGTTTAAGTCCAGTGTCTCATTAATCCTCATAATAATCTAGGGAGGCCGGGCACGGTGGCTCACACCTGTAATCCCAGCACTTTGGGAGGCTGAGGCAGGTGGATCACTTGAGTTAGAAGTTTGAGACCAGCCTGGCCAACATGGTGAAGCCCCGTCTTTACTAAAAATACAAAAATTAGCTGGGCGTGGTGGCGGATGCCTGTAGTGCCAGCTACTCAGGAGGCTGAGGCAGGAGAATTGCTTGAACCCAGGAGGCGGAGGTTACAGTGAGCCGAGATCGCACCACTGCACTCCAGCCTGGGTGACAGAGTGAGACTCCATCTCAGAAATAATAATAACAATCCAGTGAGCCAGAAGAACCTGAGGCTGGGGAGTCTCTCCAGGTCCACCACGCAGTCTTTCAGCCACTGGTGTCAGAGCTGGATTCCTCACCTGGGACTGTCTGGAGGCCCACGCCGGGGAAGTGGCCTCCGGGTGCCTCATTCTTGAATGCAGACACCTGCCTCTGGCCAGTGTGATGCCGTCAGGGTCTCCTAGGAAGCGAAGGGAGCAGGAGCTTGGAGCTGCTTCAGCTCGGCCTGCACACGCAGTGGCTTGCGGGGAGCCCACAGCAGGAAAGGCTGGCGTTGGAGGTGGTGGAGGCCGTCCAGGTTGCCGGAATGTCCAGTGGGCACCTGCATGTGGGACAGCCGTTCCCTGGGGGCCCTTCTTGATGCAAGGGTGGGGACAGCCCAGCAAGGGGAGTACCAGGAAGCATGAGAGGGACAGTTGCCTTCGTGGATTGGCAGCCGGGCCCGGGTGAAAGGCTTCCTGTCCAGGGGAGGCCATTAGGCGGCCGTTACGAGTGAGGCTGACAGGGTGTCTGCTCCTGTGGTCTGTTTACGAGCCCCCAGGGTCTCCTGGGGAGAAAGTGGTGAGGGACAGGCCTGGACAGTGTCCACTGGGCAGAGAGAGCCGATTCCGTGCGGCTCCTGGTGCTGATGTGCAGCGTCTGGGGATCCCGTCGTCTGTTTTACTCTGGGGATATCTGAAAAATCTCCAGAGGGCTTAGCGTACCCTCCGTTTTCAGTCATCCTTTTTTTGAGACTGAATCTCATTCCATCGTCCAGGCTGGAGTGCAATGGCGTGACCTCAGCTCCACTGCAGCCTCCACCCTCTGGGTTCAAGCAATTCTCCTGCCTCATCCTCCCAAGTAGCTGAGATTACAGGCAGGCGTCACCATGTCTGGCTAGTTTTTGTATTTTTAGTAGAGACGGGGTTTCGCCACGTTGGCCAGGCTGGTCTCAAACTCCTGACCTCAGGTGATCCACCCGCCTCAGCCTCCCAAATTGCTGGGATGACAGGTGTGAACCACTGCGCCCGGCCTCGGTCATCTTAATTGTATACTTTGAATACGCTCACCTACGTATTACAGCAGATGTAGGTCACACCGTGTATCATACAGGAAAGGCTGGCACAGATGGGGACGACCCCCCGGCTCTGAGCGGGGGTTGGAAACTCTGGAACTCCCACGTGGAGCAGAAACCACCCAGAGCCCAGGTTAGAGTTGGCTGCAGGTCCCCTCTGGGCACTGCTGCAGTCCCAGGCTGGAGGGCCCAGGTCTCATCCCCAGGGGGCTGGAGAAGCCAGGGAGGAGTAGCACAGACAGGCCTGAGTGGGTCTCGGGTCTCGGGTCTCGGTTGAGCCGGGGCTAGATGAAGTTCGCCGCCGCGGTCGGGAGGGATTGCAAACGGGGATGTTCGTGCCCCAGGGTGGAGAAACCAGGTCGTCCAGGGCAGGGGGCTCCAGGGTTAGCCGCGGAGAGCCCCGTGCGTTGCACACACTTAATGTGCCAGGCACTGTGCTGTTTCACATGCACCATCTCGATGAGTCACCTTATGAGGCAGACCTCACTGTCCGCACTTAACAGAAGGTGAATCTGGGATTCAGAGAGGTCAGGGAGCCTGTCTGAGATCACAGCTGAGAAGCCTGTTGGCATTCAAACCCATGCCCATGTGACTCCAAAGGCAGTGCTTGAACCACCTTTGGTTAAGGGATGACAGGCTATGCCGCCTCTCGGTCCAGTCCTCCCTGGCTGGCCGTGCCCCCGTGTGCAGGCTCTGCCCTCGGCCGCATTCCCCTCTGAGCAGGCTGGGGGGTCTGCCATCTCCCTCAGACGCGACAGCTGGTGAAGGACGGCTTCCTGGTGGAAGTGTCAGAGAGCTCCCGGAAGCTGCGGCACGTCTTCCTCTTTACAGATGTCCTACTGTGTGCCAAGCTGAAGAAGACCTCTGCAGGGTGAGTGTGTGAGTCCAGGGGCACGGGGCGGGGGAGGGGGTCCGGACCTCTGCGGGGTGAGTGTGCGAGTCCGGGGCGGGGGAGGGGGTCCTGACCTCTGCGGGGTGAGTGTGCGAGTCCAGGGGCGGGGGAGGGGGTCCGGACCTCTGCGAGGTGAGTGTGTGAGTCCAGGGGCGGGGGAGGGGGTCCTGACCTCTGCGGGGTGAGTGTGTGAGTCCAGTGGCACAGGGCGGGGGAGGGAGGCCGGACCCTGCCACCCATGGAGCCTTCAGCAACTTTGTTGGTTTTTTTTCTTTTGAGACAGGGTCTTGCTCTGTTGCCCAGGCTGGAGTGCAGTGGTGCGATCTCGGCTCACTGCAACCTCTGCCTCCCGGGTTCAAGCGATTTTCCTGCCTCAGCCTCCTGAGTAGCTGGGATTACAGGTGCACGCCACCATGCCACCATGTCTGGCTAATTTTTGTATTTTTAGTAGAGACGGGGTTTTGCCATGTTGGCCAGGCTGATCTCAAACTCCCAACCTCAGGTGATCTGCCCGCCTCGGCCTCCCAAAGTGCTGGGATTACAGGCATGAGCCACCGCGCCTGGCCGGTTTTTTCCTTTTAAAAACTATATTAATTAACTTAATTTCACTACATAGCCTTTTTTCCTGAAAGTAAGTCATGTTTTTAATTATAAAGATAATATAAGGCCATTGGAGGAAACCCCGTCCCCCACTGAAGCATGAGGTCCGACTCCTGCCGCGCTGCTTCCTTCCCTGTTTTTAAATGTTCTCATGTTTCTTCACACAGTCGTAATCACTGTGAATGCCCAATTTGGGGCTCTGCTGTTTCTGTTTCGTGTCATAAGCATTTTCCCTGTTGCTGCCTCATCTTCATAATCATCCTTTTACTTTCCTGCACGATGTTACCCGTAGATGTGCCATCGTCTACTTAAGCATTCTCCTTTTATTAGACATCTCTGAATTTCTGCTAACTGCAGTGCTGTGAATATTCACCACGTCTCCTGCTACTATTTATTGAGGGTTTATGCCATGCCAGGTGCCGTGACACATGCTTTGAATACATGATTTCTAGTCCTCCCAACACCTCCACAAAGTAGCGACTGTTGTTCCCTAATCATAGATGAGAGAGGAGTCTTGGAGAAGGTAAATAAGCAGCCCAAGCTCGCACAGCTAGAGGCACAGGTGGGACTGGAACCCCAAGCTGACGTGCAAACTCCTTTGAGCCTCCTTCTCTCTACCCGGGAGGGTGGGACTGGAACCCCAAGCTGATGTGCAAGCTCCTTTGAGCCTCCTTCTCTCTACCCGGGAGTGTGGGTCTGCTCTGTGCCTTGAGCAGAGGCTCATTCTGCGTTCATTCACACATTCTTCCACCCACACTTAGTGATCAACTGCAGTGTGCCAAGCACACCCCTTCTCACGGCTGAGAAGCGGCAGTCTGGATTCAAACCCGTGTCTGTGGGACTCGTTTACCATCAGGCTATCTTGCCTCTCCCTTCAGCCCTCCCTGGTTGGCTGTGCCCCCAAGTACAGCACAGGGGACTCCACAGCCAGTGTGTTACACCACCAGGCTATCCTACCTCTCCCTTCAGCCCTCCCTGGCTGGCTGTGCCCCCAAGTATAGCTCAGGGGGAGCAAGCCCCACGCCCACCTCAACACTCAAGGGTCAGAATGAGAAGTGCAAATCTAAGTCCTAGGGGAAGGATCGATGATTATGAACGTCAATAAAGGGATGACTGGGCGGGCACGGTGGCTTATGCCTGTAATCCCAGCACTTTGGGAGGCCAAGGCGGGTGGATCACCTGAGGTCAGGAGTTTGAGACCAGCCTGGCCAACATGGCAAAACTCCGTCTCTACTGAAAGTACAAAAATTAGCTGGGTGTGATGGCAGGCACCTATAATCCCAGCTACTTGGGAGAATGAGGTGGGAGAATCGCTTGAACCCTGGAGGCAGAGGTTGGAGTGAGTGGAGATCGCGCCATTGCACTCCAGCCTGGGAACAAGAGCAAAACTCCATCTCACAAAATAAAAATAATTTAAAAAATAATAATAATAAAGGACATGACTCCCTGGAACTAGATCATGTTTGAGATAGTTCTGAGGCAGAGATGGCAATAATAAGCACACATGCTTCTGCCTGTCGTCCTTTGCGATGGCAGACATTACTAATCACATATGCCTCTGCCTGCTGTCCTTTGCCATGGCAGACATCACTAATCAACTAGGGCACACTTTCTTGCTAGACTTGGATGTGGCTTTGTAATCCTCCACCCAGTGTTGACCCATGTGACCACTCTTGATAAGAGGTGGCATTTGGAATAACACCTGTATTCCATTGCTAGCCTGAAGGATATTGAACACGGATAGTCTAGAAGGGAGGGAGGGGATTGTGGTGGGGAATAGGAAAATGTGAGCCCAGCCAGGAAGGCTTCGCTCTTCTTGATACCTAAGTGGTTTGGGATGTTTGACAACATGAGTCATCTGGGCCAGAAGCCTGGTAAGGTGAAGGGGCGGAGTTGCTCCCTGCGGGCGGGGCGGACCCCAGAACCCAGCTTTCATCACTCCAGTGTGTGTTTCCCAATCAGGCTCCTCAGGAGCAGGGATCGTTCGTGCTTCTGGCGAGTTCTCAGTCAACCCGTCAGTGGTTTTGTGGTTCTGGACCCAAGAGTTGAGGCTGGAAGAGCCAGGCTCCCTCTGGCTCATGGCTCCCTCTGGCTCGTTTGCAGGAAGCACCAGCAGTATGACTGTAAGTGGTACATCCCCCTGGCCGACCTGGTGTTTCCATCCCCCGAGGAATCTGAGGCCAGCCCCCAGGTGCACCCCTTCCCAGACCATGAGCTGGAGGACATGAAGATGAAGATCTCTGCCCTCAAGAGTGAAATCCAGAAGGAGGTGAGCAGAGCTTGGTATCTGAGCCTGGGGCCCTTTGAGCCAGCTGTGTTGGGGGAGGTGGAGGTGGGAAGTTGTAAGGTTTGAGACTTTGAGAGGGAGCCTTGAGTGTGTAGTTACTAAGGGAAAGACCCCGACTACAGTAGCTCCAAGCAGATCGAGGGGGTCAGTGCTCAGGATTTCATAGGGCTAACATGGGAAGTGCCCTGGAAAGCAGTGCATGTTGAACACGATAGAAAGGGGAAGCAAGTAGCCAGGCGCAGTGGCTCACACCTGTAATCCCAGCACTTTGGAAGGCCGAGGCAGGTGGATCACCTGAGGCCAGGAGTTCGAGACCAGCCTGGCCAACATGGCAAAACCCTGTCTCTACTAAAAGTACAAAAATTAGCAGAGTGTGGTGGTGGGCACCTGTAATCCCAGCTACTCGGGAGGCTGAGGCAGGAGAATGGCTTGAACCCGGGAGGTGGAGGTTGCAGTGAGCCAAGAACATGCCAATGCACTCCAGTCTAGGCAATAGAGTGAGATTCTGTCAAAAACAAAAAAAAAAAGTGGAGGTAGAGGGAAGCAAGAGAAGAAAAAGCAGGCTTTTGTAAGGAAAAGCAGGACCTGTGCAAGGAAAAAGACCTGGGAGGCCTCTCAGAAACTGACAGATCAAGTAGGCAAATAAATAAGGAGAGAGAGGCCCTGAATGCCACAATTAACATGCTTGACTTAAAAATGCAGAGAAGCTTGTGCCCTGACAGAAAACTGAGATTCTTGTCACACACGTTTGGGACCTTCACATTTATCCTATAATAGGCCACTAAGGAAATCTCAAAATTTTTCTGCAAGTTGATAGCATACAAGTCATGTTCACAGACCACAGTGGAGTAAAATTAGAAGTGAACAAGAATATTGGTCAGCCTGGGTGCAGTGGCTCACACCTTTAATCCCAGAACTTTGGGAGGCTGAGGATGGTGGATCGCCTGAGGTCAGGAATTCAAGATCAGCCTGGCCAACATGGTAAAAATCCATCTCTACTAAAAATACAAAATTATCCAGGCGTGGTGGATCATGCCTGTAATCCCAGCACTTTAGGAGGCCCAGGCAGGCAGGTCACCTGAGGTCAGGAGTTTGAGACCAGCCTGGCCAACATGGTGAAACCCCATTTCTACTGAAAATACAAAATTAGCCTGGCGTGGTGGCTTCCGCCTGTAATCCCAGCTACTCAGGAGGCTGAGACAGGAGAATTGCTTGAACCTGGGAGGCAGAGGTTGCATTGAGCTGAGATTCCGCTGCTGCACTCCAGCCTGAGCAACAGAGTGAGACTGTCTCAAAAAAAAAAAAAAAAAAGCATTGGTTTGGAAAGTTCAAACTGACAAGGTAAAGAGGAAATCAAAATTCAAAATGAGAACTGCAAACTGTTTAGTGCTGTCTGGAAATGAGTGTACTACATACCAGTACCCATGGATGCAGCCAAAGTGCTGTTTAGAGGAACATGAATAGCCCTCAGTTCACATAACAACAGTGTCTAGAGGAACATGCATAGCCCTCAGTTCACATAACAACAGTGTCTAGAGGAACATGCATAGCCCTCAGTTCACATAACAACAGCGTCTAGAGGAACATGCATAGCCCTCAGTTCACATAACAACAGTGTCTAGAGGAACATGCATAGCCCTCAGTTCACGTAACAGCAGCGTCTAGAGGAACATGCATAGCCCTCAGTTCACGTAACAGCAGCATCTAGAGGAACATGCATAGCCCTCAGTTCACGTAACAACAGTGTCTAGAGGAACATGCATAGCCCTCAGTTCACGTAACAGCAGTGTCTAGAGGAACATGCATAGCCCTCAGTTCACATAACAGCAGTGTCTAGAGGAACATGCATAGCCCTCAGTTCACATAACAACAGTGTCTAGAGGAACATGCATAGCCCTCAGTTCACGTAACAACAGTGTCTAGAGGAACATGCATAGCCCTCAGTTCACATAACAACAGTGTCTAGAGGAACATGCATAGCCCTCAGTTCACATAACAACAGTGTCTAGAGGAACATGCATAGCCCTCAGTTCACGTAACAGCAGTGTCTAGAGGAACATGTACAGCCCTCAGTTCACGTAACAACAGTGTCTAGAGGAACATGCATAGCCCTCAGTTCACATAACAACAGTGTCTAGAGGAACATACATAGCCCTCAGTTCACATAACAGCAGTGTCTAGAGGAACATGCATAGCCCTCAGTTCACATAACAACAGTGTCTAGAGGAACATGCATAGCCCTCAGTTCACGTAACAGCAGTGCTAGAGGAACATGCATAGCCCTCAGTTCACATAACAACAGTGTCTAGAGGAACATGCATAGCCCTCAGTTCACATAACAGTGTCTAGAGGAACATGCATAGCCCTCAGTTCACATAACAGCAGTGTCTAGAGGAACATGCATAGCCCTCAGTTCACATAACAACAGCGTGTGGAGGAACATGCATAGCCCTCAGTTCACGTAACAGCAGTGCTAGAGGAACATGCATAGCCCTCAGTTCACATAACAACAGTGTCTAGAGGAACATGCATAGCCCTCAGTTCACATAACAGTGTCTAGAGGAACATGCATAGCCCTCAGTTCACATAACAGCAGTGTCTAGAGGAACATGCATAGCCCTCAGTTCACATAACAACAGCGTCTGGAGGAACATGCATAGCCCTCAGTTCACATAACAACAGTGTCTAGAGGAACATGCATAGCCCTCAGTTCACATAACAGCAGCGTCTAGAGGAACATGCATAGCCCTCAGTTCACGTAACAACAGTGTCTAGAGGAACATGCATAGCCCTCAGTTCACATAACAGTGTCTAGAGGAACATGCATAGCCCTCAGTTCACATAACAACAGCGTCTAGAGGAACATGCATAGCCCTCAGTTCACGTAACAACAGTGTCTAGAGGAACATGCATAGCCCTCAGTTCACATAATAGCAGTGTCTAGAGGAACATGTATAGCCCTCAGTTCACGTAACAACAGTGTCTAGAGGAACATGCATAGCCCTCAGTTCACATAACAGCGTCTAGAGGAACATGCATAGTCCTCAGTTCACATAATAACAGTGTCTAGAGGAACATGCATAGCCCTCAGTTCACGTAACAACAGTGTCTAGAGGAACATGCATAGCCCTCAGTTCACATAACAACAGTGTCTAGAGGAACATGCATAGCCCTCAGTTCACATAACAACAGTGTCTGGAGGAACATGCATAGCCCTCAGTTCACATAACAACAGTGTCTAGAGGAACATGCATAGCCCTCAGTTCACATAACAGCAGCGTCTAGAGGAACATGCATAGCCCTCAGTTCACGTAACAACAGTGTCTAGAGCAACATGCATAGCCCTCAGTTCACATAACAGTGTCTAGAGGAACATGCATAGCCCTCAGTTCACATAACAACAGTGTCTAGAGGAACATGCATAGCCCTCAGTTCACATAACAACAGCATCTAGAGGAACATGCATAGCCCTCAGTTCACGTAACAACAGTGTCTAGAGGAACATGCATAGCCCTCAGTTCACGTAACAGCAGTGTCTAGAGGAACATGCATAGCCCTCAGTTCACGTAACAACAGTGTCTAGAGGAACATGCATAGCCCTCAGTTCACATAACAACAGTGTCTAGAGGAACATGCATAGCCCTCAGTTCACATAACAACAGCGTCTAGAGGAACATGCATAGCCCTCAGTTCACGTAACAACAGTGTCTAGAGGAACATGCATAGCCCTCAGTTCACATAATAGCAGTGTCTAGAGGAACATGCATAGCCCTCAGTTCACATAACAACAGTGTCTAGAGGAACATGCATAGCCCTCACTTCACATAACAACAGTGTCTAGAGGAACATGCATAGCCCTCAGTTCACATAACAGCAGTGTCTAGAGGAACATGCATAGCCCTCAGTTCACATAACAACAGCGTGTGGAGGAACATGCATAGCCCTCAGTTCACGTAACAGCAGTGCTAGAGGAACATGCATAGCCCTCAGTTCACATAACAACAGTGTCTAGAGGAACATGCATAGCCCTCAGTTCACATAACAGTGTCTAGAGGAACATGCATAGCCCTCAGTTCACATAACAGCAGTGTCTAGAGGAACATGCATAGCCCTCAGTTCACATAACAACAGCGTCTGGAGGAACATGCATAGCCCTCAGTTCACATAACAACAGTGTCTAGAGGAACATGCATAGCCCTCAGTTCACATAACAGCAGCGTCTAGAGGAACATGCATAGCCCTCAGTTCACGTAACAACAGTGTCTAGAGGAACATGCATAGCCCTCAGTTCACATAACAGTGTCTAGAGGAACATGCATAGCCCTCAGTTCACATAACAGTGTCTAGAGGAACATGCATAGCCCTCAGTTCACGTAACAACAGTGTCTAGAGGAACATGCATAGCCCTCAGTTCACATAATAGCAGTGTCTAGAGGAACATGTATAGCCCGCAGTTCACGTAACAACAGTGTCTAGAGGAACATGCATAGCCCTCAGTTCACATAACAACAGTGTCTAGAGGAACATGCATAACCCCTCAGTTCACATAACAGTGTCTAGAGGAACATGCATAGCCCTCAGTTCACATAATAGCAGTGTCTAGAGGAACATGTATAGCCCTCAGTTCACGTAACAACAGTGTCTAGAGGAACATGCATAGCCCTCAGTTCACATAACAGTGTCTAGAGGAACATGCATAGCCCTCAGTTCACATAACAACAGTGTCTAGAGGAACATGCATAGCCCTCAGTTCACATAACAGCAGTGTCTAGAGGAACATGTATAGCCCTCACTTCACGTAACAACAGTGTCTAGAGGAACATGCATAACCCTCAGTTCACATAACAGTGTCTAGAGGAACATGCATAGCCCTCAGTTCACATAACAACAGTGTCTAGAGGAACATGCATAGCCCTCAGTTCACATAACAACAGTGTCTGGAGGAACATGCATAGCCCTCAGTTCACGTAACAGCAGTGCTAGAGGAACATGCATAGCCCTCAGTTCACGTAACAACAGTGTCTAGAGGAACATGCATAGCCCTCAGTTCACATAACAGCAGTGTCTAGAGGAACATGCATAGCCCTCAGTTCACATAACAACAGTGTCTGGAGGAACATGCATAGGCCTCAGTTCACATAACAACAGTGTCTAGAGGAACATGCATAGCCCTCAGTTCACATAACAGCAGTATCTAGAGGAACATGCATAGCCCTCAGTTCACGTAACAACAGTGTCTAGAGGAACATGCATAGCCCTCAGTTCACGTAACAACAGTGTCTAGAGGAACATGCATAGCCCTCAGTTCACATAACAGCAGTGTCTAGAGGAACATGTATAGCCCTCAGTTCACGTAACAACAGTGTCTAGAGGAACATGCATAGCCCTCAGTTCATGTAACAACAGTGTCTAGAGGAACATGCATAGCCCTCAGTTCACATAACAGCAGTGCTAGAGGAACATGCATAGCCCTCAGTTCACATAACAACAGTGTCTAGAGGAACATGCATAGCCCTCAGTTCACATAACAGCAGTGTCTAGAGGAACATGCATAGCCCTCAGTTCACATAACAACAGTGTCTAGAGGAACATGCATAGCCCTCAGTTCACATAACAACAGTGTCTAGAGGAACATGCATAGCCCTCAGTTTCACATAACAGCAGCGTCTAGAGGAACATGCATAGCCCTCAGTTCACGTAACACCAGCTCTAGAGGAACATGCATAGCCCTCAGTTCACGTAACAGCAGTGCTAGAGGAACATGCATAGCCCTCAGTTCACGTAACAACAGTGTCTAGAGGAACATGCATAGCCCTCAGTTCACATAACAGCAGCGTCTAGAGGAACATGCATAGCCCTCAGTTCACATAACAACAGTGTCTGGAGGAACATGCATAGCCCTCAGTTCACATAACAACAGTGTCTAGAGGAACATGCATAGCCCTCAGTTCACATAACAACAGCGTCTAGAGGAACATGCATAGCCCTCAGTTCACGTAACAACAGTGTCTAGAGGAACATGCATAGCCCTCAGTTCACATAACAACAGTGTCTAGAGGAACATGCATAGCCCTCAGTTCACATAACAACAGTGTCTAGAGGAACATGCATAGCCCTCAGTTCACATAACAGCAGCGTATAGAGGAACATGCATAGCCCTCAGTTCGCGTAACAACAGTGTCTAGAGCAACATGCATAGCCCTCAGTTCAAATAACAGTGTCTAGAGGAACATGCATAGCCCTCAGTTCACATAACAACAGTGTCTAGAGGAACATGCATAGCCCTCAGTTCACATAACAACAGCATCTAGAGGAACATGCATAGCCCTCAGTTCACGTAACAACAGTGTCTAGAGGAACATGCATAGCCCTCAGTTCACGTAACAGCAGTGTCTAGAGGAACATGCATAGCCCTCAGTTCACGTAACAACAGTGTTTAGAGGAACATGCATAGCCCTCAGTTCACGTAACAACAGTGTCTAGAGGAACATGCATAGCCCTCAGTTCACGTAACAGCAGTGTCTAGAGGAACATGTATAGCCCTCAGTTCACGTAACAACAGTGTATAGAGGAACATGCATAGCCCTCAGTTCATGTAACAACAGTGTCTGAAGGAACATGCATAGCCCTCAGTTCACATAACAGCAGTGTTAGAGGAACATGCATAGCCCTCAGTTCAAATAACAACAGTGTTTAGAGGAACATGCATAGCCCTCAGTTCACAATAACAACAGTGTCTAGAGGAACATGCATAGCCCTCAGTTCACATAACAGCAGCGTCTAGAGGAACAAGCATAGCCCTCAGTTCACGTAACAACAGTGTCTAGAGCAACATGCATAGCCCTCAGTTCACATAACAGTGTCTAGAGGAACATGCATAGCCCTCAGTTCACATAACAACAGTGTCTAGAGGAACATGCATAGCCCTCAGTTCACATAACAACAGCGTCTAGAGGAACATGCATAGCCCTCAGTTCACGTAACAACAGTGTCTAGAGGAACATGCATAGCCCTCAGTTCACGTAACAGCAGTGTCTAGAGGAACATGCATAGCCCTCAGTTCACGTAACAACAGTGTCTAGAGGAACATGTATAGCCCTCAGTTCACGTAACAACAGTGTCTAGAGGAACATGCATAGCCCTCAGTTCAGGAACAGCAGTGTCTAGAGGAACATGCATAACCCTCAGTTCACGTAACAACAGTGTCTAGAGGAACATGCATAGCCCTCAGTTCACGTAACAACAGTGTCTAGAGGAACATGCATAGCCCTCAGTTCACGTAACAGCAGTGTCTAGAGGAACATGTATAGCCCTCAGTTCACGTAACAACAGTGTCTAGAGGAACATGCATAGCCCTCAGTTCATGTAACAACAGTGTCTAGAGGAACATGCATAGCCCTCAGTTCACATAACAGCAGTGCTAGAGGAACATGCATAGCCCTCAGTTCACATAACAACAGTGTCTAGAGGAACATGCATAGCCCTCAGTTCACATAACAGCAGTGTCTAGAGGAACATGCATAGCCCTCAGTTCACATAACAGCAGTGTCTAGAGGAACATGCATAGCCCTCAGTTCACATAACAACAGTGTCTAGAGGAACATGCATAGCCCTCAGTTCACATAACAGCAGCATCTAGAGGAACATGCATAGCCCTCAGTTCACGTAACAACAGCATCTAGAGGAACATGCATAGCCCTCAGTTCACATAACAGTGTCTAGAGGAACATGCATAGCCCTCAGTTCACATAACAACAGTGTCTAGAGGAACATGCATAGCCCTCAGTTCACATAACAACAGCGTCTAGAGGAACATGCATAGCCCTCAGTTCACGTAACAGCAGCATCTAGAGGAACATGCATAGCCCTCAGTTCACGTAACAACAGTGTCTAGAGCAACATGCATAGCCCTCAGTTCACATAACAGTGTCTAGAGGAACATGCATAGCCCTCAGTTCACATAACAACAGCGTCTAGAGGAACATGCATAGCCCTCAGTTCACATAACAACAGCGTCTAGAGGAACATGCATAGCCCTCAGTTCACGTAACAACAGTGTCTAGAGGAACATGCATAGCCCTCAGTTCACGTAACAGCAGTATCTAGAGGAACATGCATAGCCCTCAGTTCACGTAACAACAGTGTCTAGAGGAACATGCATAGCCCTCAGTTCACGTAACAACAGTGTCTAGAGGAACATGCATAGCCCTCAGTTCACATAACAGCAGTGTCTAGAGGAACATGTATAGCCCTCAGTTCACGTAACAACAGTGTCTAGAGGAACATGCATAGCCCTCAGTTCATGTAACAACAGTGTCTAGAGGAACATGCATAGCCCTCAGTTCACATAACAGCAGTGCTAGAGGAACATGCATAGCCCTCAGTTCACATAACAACAGTGTCTAGAGGAACATGCATAGCCCTCAGTTCACATAACAGCAGTGTCTAGAGGAACATGCATAGCCCTCAGTTCACATAACAACAGTGTCTAGAGGAACATGCATAGCCCTCAGTTCACATAACAACAGTGTCTAGAGGAACATGCATAGCCCTCAGTTCACATAACAGCAGCATCTAGAGGAACATGCATAGCCCTCAGTTCACGTAACAACAGCATCTAGAGGAACATGCATAGCCCTCAGTTCACATAACAGTGTCTAGAGGAACATGCATAGCCCTCAGTTCACATAACAACAGTGTCTAGAGGAACATGCATAGCCCTCAGTTCACATAACAACAGCGTCTAGAGGAACATGCATAGCCCTCAGTTCACGTAACAACAGTGTCTAGAGGAACATGCATAGCCCTCAGTTCACATAATAGCAGTGTCTAGAGGAACATGTATAGCCCTCAGTTCACATAACAACAGTGTCTAGAGGAACATGCATAGCCCTCACTTCACATAACAACAGTGTCTAGAGGAACATGCATAACCCTGAGTTCACATAACAGTGTCTAGAGGAACATGCATAGCCCTCAGTTCACATAACAACAGTGTCTAGAGGAACATGCATAGCCCTCAGTTCACATAACAACAGTGTCTGGAGGAACATGCATAGCCCTCAGTTCACGTAACAGCAGTGCTAGAGGAACATGCATAGCCCTCAGTTCACGTAACAACAGTGTCTAGAGGAACATGCATAGCCCTCAGTTCACATAACAGCAGCGTCTAGAGGAACATGCATAGCCCTCAGTTCACATAACAACAGTGTCTGGAGGAACATGCATAGCCCTCAGTTCACATAACAACAGTGTCTAGAGGAACATGCATAGCCCTCAGTTCACATAACAGCAGCGTCTAGAGGAACATGCATAGCCCTCAGTTCACGTAACAACAGTGTCTAGAGCAACATGCATAGCCCTCAGTTCACATAACAACAGTGTCTAGAGGAACATGCATAGCCCTCAGTTCACATAACAACAGTGTCTAGAGGAACATGCATAGCCCTCAGTTCACATAACAACAGCGTCTAGAGGAACATGCATAGCCCTCAGTTCACGTAACAACAGTGTCTAGAGGAACACGCATAGCCCTCAGTTCACATAACAGCAGTGTCTAGAGGAACATGTATAGCCCTCAGTTCACGTAACAACAGTGTCTAGAGGAACATGCATAGCCCTCAGTTCACGTAACAAGTGTCTAGAGGAAGGCACCACGGGAGGAGCATCCCTGTGAGTGGAGGAAGGGCCTGGAGCGGTTTGGTCAGCTTGGTCTGTTTTCCTCACCTCTCAGGTTCAGCTTAGGCCTCACCTCCCCTGGGAAGCTTCTCTGACACCCACGCCCACCACAGTCTTGGTTGGGTGCCCTGTCCCCAGATCCTGTGGCTTTTTGTTCACCTGTGGCTTTGCTTAAATGGTACTGAATTGTAATTGCATTGTCAGACTCCTCTCTTCCCCACTGGAATTTGAACTCCAGGGACAGCGCTATTTTCTTCTGTTCCATGTTCCTCATATTCGACACGTAGAAAACAGGTGGTTAGGGCCCAGCGTGGTGGTTTACACCGGTAATCCCAGTACTTTGGGAGGCTGAGACGGGTGGGTCACTTGAGGCCAGGAGTTCAAGACCAGCCTGGCCAACATCATGAAGCCCCGTCTCTATGAAAAATACAAAAGTTAGCCGGGTGTGGTGGTGGGTGCCTGTAATCCCAGCCACGTGGGAGGCTGAGGCAAAAGAATTGTGTGAACCCGGGAGGTGGAGGTTGCAGTGAGCCGAGATCACGCCACTGCACTCCAGCCTGGGCAACAGAGTGAGTGGGACTCCATCTAAAAAAAAAAAGGCACTTAGTAAACAAACAATTATTGAAGAAAACATAACCAGATGGCCTCTCTGAGGATTCTTTCAACTCAAGCATCTCCCTTTGAACAGGGGAAAGCAAGATCACCATTACAGCCCCAGGAGTGTTCAGGGCTGGGGGATGTCCTAGGACAGAGGGTCCAACTGGTGATACATCTGCCCAGAGGGCTTCCTCGCCAGCACAGCTGTCCCCCTCCTGAACGGCTGGGCCCTGCCCACAGTGCCCGCCCAGGAGCATCCTGCGTGCCTGTTTCCCACCCGCCCCTGGGAGGCTTGCTGCCTCCCCGTTGCCCCAGCTGTGCAGACGTGGCCTTGTGCCCAGTCGAGTCAACAGTCAACACTCAGTGAGCCCCACTGGCTGTGCTGCCTGGGGTGTGCCGGGTGCCTCATGTATATCCCTGTCCAGTGGAGGAAGCAGACACGCCCCTTGCTGACCACAGAGTGTGGTACATGTGAGTCACTGGAGAGGCACAGGTGCCGTCCTCTGAGTCACAGAAGAAGCAGTGATTTGTTTTTTGTTTTTTGTTTTTTTTTGAGATGGAGTCTCACTTTGTCACTGTCGCCCAGGCTGGAGTGCAGTGGCACAATCTCGGCTCACTGCAACCTCCACCTCCCGGGTTCAAGCAATTCTTCTACCTCAGCCTCCTGAGTAGCTGGGAATAAAGGCGTCCGCCACCACGCCTGGCTAATTTTTTGTATTTTTAGTAGAGACGGGGTTTCACCGTGTTAGCCAGGCTGGTCTCAAACTCCTGACCTCATGATCCACCCGCCCCGGCCTCCCAAAGTGCTGGGATGACAGGTGTGAGCCACCGTGCTCAGCCTTGTTCTCTTGATAATAATTTTTTAAATTTTCATGTTTTTTCTAATCCCCAATATAATACTGGCTGGTTTTAATGAGAAATGCTCGTAGTACCAGCATGTACAGGGTAAAGCTGGTCGCCACTCACCTCCCGCTGCTGACAGTTTGAGGTGTATTCTTCTGAACTCTTCTTTGCTTATGCTGGTGTGCGCCCGCGTGTCCAATGAGACTAGACTACACGTGCTGTTTTGCAACTTCAGCATTTTACTCCACAGTGGGTCTTTGAGCCCTTTGGATGTATCAGATTCTTTTTCTTTCTTTTTGAGGTAGAGTCTCGCTCTGTCACCCAGGCTGGAGTGCACTGGTGAGATTTGGGCTCACTGGAACTTCCACCTCCCGGGTTCAAGCGATTCTCGTGCCTCAGCCTCCCGAGTAGCTGGGATTACAGGTGCCCGCCACCACGCCCGGTAGTTTTTGCATTTTTAGTAGAGACGGGGTTTCACCACGTTGGCCAGGGTGGTCTCGAACTCCTGACCTCAAACGATCCGCCCACCTCGGCCTCCCAAAGTGCTGGGATTACAGGCGTGAGCCACCGCGCCTGGCAGTATCAGATTCTTTTTAACAACTGCCTCCTGCTCTGTCGCTTGGCTGCATACAAATGTTTTTGGGTGTTTGGATTGTCTCTGATTCTTCGCTCTTAGCAGGCAAGTCAACAGTAAACATCACTGCGCAGGTGCCTCTGCAGTAGGTTCCCTCCAAGTGGGATGGGCAGGGCAGGGTGAGTGTGCGCTTAATTGACAGGCTTTTACCTCTGAAAAAGCTGTGACTGGTGGCATTCCCCCTGCGGTGTGTGAGGGTGACTGTCCCCCACAGTGTCACAACACTGGCTGTGAACATTCTTTACAATTTTGCCAGTCCAGTGGGTTAAAAAGAACAAAACACCATAGAGGTGAATTCTAACTGAGGAGCTTGAGGATGGCCTTGGGAGCTGAGACTTGAAGCATAATGGTGGTTAATAAAAGGGAGGGGGTCCTTTACGAAACAGACAGAAACTTGGAACATTGAGGGAGCAGGCTCTGCCCGCAGAGGATGAATGTCTGGTGAGAGGGGGAGGCTGAGCCGACGGGACCTGGTGGGTTGTCTGCCGGGCAGGGAGGCTGGAACCCTGCCATGGGGGCCTTGGTGCCAGGCTAGCAGGTGGGGCTTCAGGCTGAAAGGTGTCTGAGGTTTCTTTAAGCAGGTGTCTCTGTTGTACCCAGGATTTAATGTGTAGAGGCAGCAGAGTGACAGTACAGAGAGGTTAATACTACTGTAATATTTGTATTATTTAGGGTTCTCAAGAGAAGGAGGCATAGCACCCCGCCCAGGGCCACGTGGAGAGGTGCCAGCTTTGAACAGGAGGCAGGAATGGAAAGAAAGTGTGGCCACAGCTTTTCTGTGGAGAAACAGGGCAGGGAAAGGGCTTGGCACCAGCTGGCTTCCGTTATGTCGGCAGCCCTGGGCTAGAGGAGTGGTCTCTGGTGACCTGGTCCCTGGCCCTGGGTGACGTGGGGCAGAGGAGATGCTGGCTTGGCGAGTGAGCGTCGGGTAGAGAAGGTGGTTGGGGACATGGGCTCTGGATCAGTGGGTGTGTGTATGAAAGCTGTGCTCATAGGGCATCACTGACAGGCTTAGGAATTAGTGAGCCCTGTGGGGGAGCAGTTTCTCACCCAGCTACCCGCCTCTCCTGCCACAAGATGTCAAAACATCACGAAATACGGAAAATGTAAAGAGCATGTTAACACACAGTGGAGTGTCGTGCTTAGTGCTGCTCGTGAGAAAGGCCCGAGTGTGAGGGGAACCCTCTGTGTCCCCATCTCCTGCAGAAAGCCAACAAAGGCCAGAGCCGGGCCATCGAGCGCCTGAAGAAGAAGATGTTTGAGAATGAGTTCCTGCTGCTGCTCAACTCCCCCACAATCCCGTTCAGGATCCACAATCGGAATGGAAAGGTCAGGATGGGTGGGGGTGGGACCAAGACAGCCCCTTCCTTAGTCCAGAGCAGCCCACTCTGTGGCTCCTGGCCCTGACCTGTATGAACCGGAAACTCAGGCCCCCTCTTCCTGAGGAGGCTGCCATGGCTCCAGCTGTTGACTCGCTCTCCCCTCTCGTGTGGAATGAGTGCCCTCTGCTGGCCGTCCCTGGCACAGCCGCTCCTGTCACCTTGGCTTCCCAGGAAGGAGCTCCCCCTTCACCCACCCACCCCCAGCTGCCTCCTCCTGCAAGGTCAGCTGTGCCTGGATAAGGAGGAGCTTTGGGCCGGGCACAGTGGCTCATGCCTGTCATCCCAGCACTTTGGGAGGCTGAGGCAGGCGAATCACCTGAGGTCAAGAGTTTGAGACCAGCCTGGCCAACATGGCAAAACTCTGTCTCTACTAAAAACACAAAAATTAGCCGGGCGTGGTGGTGGGCACCTGTAATCCCAGCTACTCAGGAGGCTGAGGCAGGAGATTGGCGTGAACCCGGGAGGTGGAGGTTGCAGTGAGCCGAGATTTTG
Source organism: Homo sapiens (assembly GCF_000001405.40). Classification (NCBI taxonomy): domain Eukaryota; kingdom Metazoa; phylum Chordata; class Mammalia; order Primates; family Hominidae; genus Homo; species Homo sapiens. Next base: position 96,702 of record NT_187613.1, on the reverse strand, counting down.
CCATTGCACTCCAGCCTGGGCAACAAGAGCGAGACTCTGTCTCAAAAAAAAAAAAAAAAAAAAAAGATAAAAGGAGCTTTGTTGGGGTCCCCAGGATCTGGGAGTACGCTTTGCCTGACTGTGGTCACCCACTTTATTCTTATCTCCTCTCTTCAGAGTTACCTGTTCCTACTGTCCTCGGACTACGAGAGGTCAGAGTGGAGAGAAGCAATTCAGAAACTACAGAAGAAGGGTAAATTCCTGCCTCTTCCACGCTCCCCAATGATGTCCGTGGCATTGATGGGCCTTTTGTTTTTCTAAGCGTTTCATGTCCAGTATCACGTCTTTGGCCCTCGCAGTCACCCTCAGAGGTGCCAGGGTGAGCGTTTAAGGATGTTACGGATTAATTGAGACCCAAAGAATCTAACTGATTGGCTGAAAGACATGATGATTTAGTCCTGGGACTGGACCCAGAGCCCAGCCTGGGCTTTCTCTCTCTCTCTACCTCTCTCTCTCTCTCACACACACACACACAGAGACACACACACACACATACACAGAGGCTGGGTACGGTGGCTTACGCCTGTAATCCCAGTCAGGAGTTTGAGATCAGCCTGGGCAACGTGGTGAAACCCCGTCTCTACTAAAAACACAAAAATTAGCCAGGTGTGGTGGTGGGCACCTGTAATCCCAGCTACTCAGGAGGCTGAAGCAGGAGAATCCCTTGAACCTGAGAGGCGGAGGTTGCAGTGAGCTGAGATCACAGCACTGCACTCCAGCCTGGGCGACAGAGTGAGACTCCGTTTAAAAAAAAAACGAAAACAAAACGCATACACCACACACACACACACACACACACACACACACACACACACACCTCTTCAGTTAGATTCTCCTACTCTGACCCCTCTCACAGCATCTACACCAGTCCTGCTGTGTCCACAAATCCTTCCCCCTCCCTCGCAAGGACCAAGTCTGCCCCAGGGATTAAGCCGTCTTCCTGCAGCAGCCCCCAGGGAAGAGCAGCCGGTCCTGGTGGACCAGTGCCCACGCTCCCTTCTCTCTCGGCTCTCCCTCCAGATCTCCAGGCCTTTGTCCTGAGCTCAGTGGAGCTCCAGGTGCTCACAGGATCCTGTTTCAAGCTTAGGACTGTACACAACATTCCTGTCACCAGCAATAAAGACGGTAAGCTCGGGAACCACAGGTGGCCCAACCGGCAGGTCCCAGCCCTCAGAGCGTGGCCGGCTTCCCGTAAGGACTCAGACAGACATGTGGCTGTAAATGGCTGATCCCTGCTCGGCTGTGCTGAGACTGTTGAGTGGCCAGGACACAGCTTGGGTAGGGGTGACTGTCTACTGAGTTCCCAGATGACCCCAGCTTTTCCTTGGGCCCCTCTGTCTGGCTTGGGAGAACTGGCACCCTGGTGCACTGAGATTGTGCTGTTAATATATTCATGAGAGAGCAGACCCGGTAGATAAAATGGTGTATGGGAAATGAGGCTGGAAGTTTCCAGGGACCAGCTCTTGAAAGGCCTTGAATCCCAAGCAAGGGAGTTTGGAATTCATGCTGTAAGCCCGGGAGTCTGGGGGGGTTTTGAGCAGTGGGGAGCTGTGATCAGGGCTGGGAACTGACCGGAGTGGGTGTATTCTAGCTGCCTGTGTGCTGGGAAAGGGTCCACTTTGTGAACGGGGTCCTGAAGGCAAGCTTTCCTCGACATAAATCATTAGCAGAATGATTTATCATATTGGTCAGTTTTCAGTGCCAGGATAGGCAGGATTTGGAGGGAGAGACAGTACCCATGGGGAATGGTACTAAGTCCCTGGGCCAGGATGGTGGGTGTGCTGGACCCCCCCAGGCTGAGTGGAGGAGAGAAGGACCCCCTAGCCCTACCCCGGGCAGCTCACATACAAGGCCGCCGTGGCCTTCGGAAACTTTTTCATCTGGCCACCAGGTGGTGATGTTGGACCAAGACTCAGCTGAGTCTCATACCCCGTCTGCCTCCCGCCGGCCTGGGGTGGAGGCTGAGGGGATCCGCTGACCACCCTCTGCCCTGGGGGCTTTTCTCTCTTGCAGACGATGAGTCTCCAGGACTCTATGGCTTCCTTCATGTCATCGTCCACTCTGCCAAGGGATTTAAGCAATCAGCCAGTAAGTGCCCTGGCCAGGACGAGGTTGGGTGGGCCATTGTGGATTCTGCACTGCTCTGCCCAGGATGGGGCCCTGCCAGCACGCCTTTAGACATGGGGCATTCCCCTGGAGGCCAGAAACCAGCTCCTCTTGGCAGGGAGGTCACCCCTGGCCTTTGTCTCCAAAGTCCTCTTTCTCAAGCCCTCCCTGAAGCTGTCTGAAACCTAGGGGCCGGGCGCGGTGGCTCACGCCTGTAATCCCAGCACTTTGGGAGGCCCAGGCGGGCGGATCACGAGGTCAGGAGTTCGAGACCATCCGGGCCAACATGGTGAAACCCCGTCTCTACTAAAAATACTAAAATTAGCGTGGGCATGGCGGTGGACGCCTGTAGTCCCAGCTACTTGGGAGGCTGAGGCCAGAGAATCCCTTGAACCCGGGAGGCGGAGGTTGCTGTGAGCTGAGATCATGGCATTGCACTCCACCCTGGGCGACAGAGCGAGAATCCGTCTCAAAAAAAAAAAAAAGAAACCGAGTGCGACAAACACATGGACTCCAACTTCATATCTGAGGGCGACAAACACGTGGACTCCAACTTCATATCTGCCCATGACAAGCTGTGTGACCTTGGGCAAGTTTCTTAACCTCTCTGGGCCTCCACTAAAAGGCAGTCACGCTTGTGAATTTTGACCCGAGAGCAGGCTGGGATATGATCGTGTGTGTGCAACGCTGGTGTGCTGCCACGCTCATCGCTTTTTCTCCCCTTCCCCCTTGTGGGTTCCTCATACTAAATCTGTTTTTAGTGTCTCACAAAGTAGGATTGCACTTTTTAATTTTTAAAAAATTTTTTTTTAGAGACAGGTTCTCCCCATGTTGGCCAGGCTGGTCTTGAACTCCTGGGCTCAAGCCATCCTCCCACCTCAGCCTCCCAAAGTGCTGAGATTACAGGCGTGAGCTGCTGCGCCCGGCCTGGTTGCGCTTTTTATCTACCTGTTATCCACACGGGAATCTGTGAGTCAGTTAGACAGCTAATAGTTTCTACCCATTTGCCAGAGGAGGTAACCGAGTCACAGAGAGGAGAAAAGACTTAACATCACAGAGGATCAGAAACCCTGACTCTCTCCCTCTCCACCTGCCCCTCCCACTCCCTGCTCTTCACTGGCAGGTGGGGTCTGCCCTCACCCCTCCCTGCAGCGCCCCACACAGAGGTGACTCCCCGGGCCGTTAGAGCAGCCTTTCCCAGGAAGCCTCCCTGAGTTCCTGGGGGCAAACTGGCCTCCCTTCTTTGTCCCTTCTTTGTGCCCACATCCCCTGAGGTTCCTTGTGCCCCCATCCCCTCAGGTTCCTTGTGACCCCATCCCCTCAGGTTCCTTGTGCCCCCATCCCCTCAGGTTCCTTGTGCCCCCATCCCCTCAGGTTCTTTGTGCCCCCGTCCCCTGAGGTTCCTTGTATCCCCATCCCTTTGAGGTTCCTTGTGCCCCCATCCCCTGAGGTTCCTTGTGCCCCCATCCTGCTCAGGGCAAGCTGGTTATGGCACCTGTCATGCTGTTTTGTCACTTAACAATTTGCGTCTCCCACTGTGAGTTCTCTGAGGGCGGGAACCAGGTCTCCTTTACCCTGGGATGCATGGGAGCTCAGAAATGTGGAATGAAGTCGTTAATTTACACAGCACCTACCGTGCACCTGGAGAAGGTGAGAACATGGCTGGCGTGTGGACGTACTCACATGTGCAAAGCCTGTGGCGTGTTCAGAGCCTCTCAGTCTCACGGTCCGCTCTGAGCCTCCGGCATCCCGCCGAGGTCACGGAAACCATCCCTGTTTTACACACGAGGACGCCGAGGCTCGGAGGGGCTCAAGGTTCCTTCCTGGAGTCACACAGTAGCAGGTGGTGCAGCAGAATCCACGTCTTCCGGCACCAGAGCCGGAGCTCTAACCTTTTGGGCACTTCTCGATGTCTGGCCGGGAACACCACACGGTCCCTCAGGCTGCTTGTTACCGTGGAAGCTTCCTGAACCCTCTCCAGACCCATAGACCTCCCTTCTTGGGGGCTGCCGCTGAGGAGCTTCTGGCTAGTGAGCTCTGAAGCACTGTCCCACCCATGTCTGGACCAGGCGCCACCACTCCATGTCCCCAGATGCCGCCCCTCCCTCTCCTGCTTCCCGTTGGCCGGGAGGTCCTCGCCTCAGGGAGCCGACCCGTGGCCTCCCAGCCTGGGCGGGTGTCAGAGCCGGCTGAGCTGCTCCAAAATCTCTCTTTACCCCCAGATTATCCTCACTCCCTTCGCCACCGCCACCCCTGACCCACTCATATGTCTGTTCTCACTCAGAGGTGAGGCCCTGTGTCTTCAGCCATGGTAAACTCAGGACCTCTGGACAGGCAGGCCCAGGGTGTAGGCACCATGACTTTTCCTGCTGTGCAGACAGGAACCTGGGGAGAGAAGGGAGGTGATCTGTGCAGAGCTGGGGTGTGGACCCAGATGGTCTGACTCCGGAACCCTCGCTCTGACCCTGTGAGCCGTCCCCAGCTCCTTCCGGAACCCTCGCTCTGACCCTGTGAGCCCTCCCCCAGCCCCTTCTCGAACCCTCCCTCTGACCCTGTGAACCCTCCCCCAGACCCTTCCGGAACCCTCCCTCTGACCCTGTGAGCCCTCCCCCAGACCCTTCCGGAACCCTCCCTCTGACCCTGTGAGCCCTCCCCCAGCCCCTTCCGGAACCCTCCCTCTGACCCTGTGAACCCTCCCCCAGCCCCTTCCGGAACCCTCCCTCTGACCCTGTGAACCCTCCCCCAGACCCTTCCGGAACCCTCCCTCTGACCCTGTGAGCCCTCCCCCAGACCCTTCCGGAACCCTCCCTCTGACCCTGTGAGCCCTCCCCCAGCCCCTTCCGGAACCCTCCCTCTGACCCTGTGAACCCTCCCCCAGCCCCTTCCGGAACCCTCCCTCTGACCCTGTGAACCCTCCCCCAGCCCCTTCCGGAACCCTCCCTCTGACCCTGTGAGCCCTCCCCCAGCCCCTTCCGGAACCCTCCCTCTGACCCTGTGAGCCCTCCCCAGCCCCTCGAGGAGGGGCTCACACCGAGATCAATCCATGATGACAGCACTTCATGGCCCGTCTCAGACACACAGGCCCACTCCCTGGTCTGGCCCAGGCTGGGGTGCCCAGGGCCTCTGTGTTGTTCACCTGCAAATCCCCAGCCCCGTTCTGTGTGTTCTGAGGCCCACCTGGGTCTTCTTTCTGTTGCTCCAGCTGGAGGCTTCTTGGGGTAGCTGCACTGTCCTTTCTGCAGGAAAGCTGGTTTTTTTGTTTTTTTTTTTTTTGAGAAAGAGTCACTTGGTCGCCCAGGCTGGAGTGCAGTGGTGCCATCTCAGCTCACTGCAACTTCCACACCCCAGGTTCAAGCGATTGTCCTGCCTCAGCCTCCCGAGTAGCTGGGACTACAGGCATGTGCCACCACGCCGGGCTCACTTTTGTATTTTTAGTAGAGATGGGGTTTCACCATGTTGGTCAGGCTGGTCTCAAACTCCTGACCTCAGGTGATCTGCCCACCTTGGCCTCCCAAAGTGCTGGGATTTACAGGCGTGAGCCACCTTGCCCGGCCAGGAAAGCTGTTCTGATGGAGAATGGCCCAGCTGGGCAGCTGCAGGGGCTAAGTGGAGTAAGCCACCTGCACTGTATGCCCGCACTGTGACCTCTGACGTTGTTTCACGCTGCAGAGGGTTGGCCATAGTGTCCCAAAGGCACCTCCCACACCACCTCTGGTACCCTGGGAACAACCTCGGCATCTCCCTGGAGGTGGGAGGACTGCTGGGGTCCGAGCCCAGGGCGGGTGTGGGTTTGCAGAGGGCCTGGGGTCCGTGCCGGTGCTGTGGCCTCAGCAGTTGGGTCCCAAGGTAGATTTTCAGCCTGAAGGCCAGGGTGGAAGATGGAAATGCCGGGGAAAGCCCCCGGCCCTGCCCTCCCGCCCCAGCCCTCCACTGCCTTGTTACCTGGAGCGCTTGGTGGTGGTGGGAGCCTCGTTCACCGTGTGCCAGCTGGGTTCCCAGCCCTGTTCTTGGTACTGCGGGTACACCGGCAGGCAGGAAAACCCAGGCTTCTCTCCACATGGTGTTTACGTCGTGGGGGGAGAGAGACTAGGGACGCACGAGTAGAGAAGATCCCTTTGGTTTATGTTAAGTGCAGCGGAGGAAACCACAGCACCCTGGGCTTGGGGATGTGGGCGTTGTTGGTCGTCACCGCGGCAGGGGATGCTCCGAGCATTCAGGACCCAGAGGCAGGGCTGCTAAACGCCTCCCACCCCAAATGCCGCTGTTGAGGCCTGGGCACCCATGTTACGGGGAGAGGTGGCTCCAGGGCGGTCAGTGAAGAGTTTGTGGTGTCGTCTCCATGGTGAGGAAGATGTGGAGACGGAACAGTCAAGGGCCCTTTAGAGGGAGGAGGAGGCCAGAGTGTGGGGAGGGCCGAGGTGGGAAGGGCAGAGTGTGGGGAGGGCCGAGGTGGGAAGGGCAGAGTGTGGGGAGGGCTGAGGTAGGAAGGGCAGAGTGTGGGGTGAGCCGAGGTGGGGAGGGCTGAGCCCCTAAGAAGGGGGCAGGGGAGAAGCCAGATGGTCCCGGGCTTCAGGGAGGAGAGAGCCAAGATGCCATCCGTGGGGACGTTGGAAAGGACAGATGCGATGTCCCCCTCCATCCTGAGTGCCGCCCCAGCTGCCCCACCCTGGCCCCACTCACTCAGTATCTCCGTCTGTCCTTCCCCCACAGACCTGTACTGTACCCTGGAGGTGGATTCCTTCGGCTATTTTGTCAGCAAAGCCAAAACCAGGGTGTTCCGGGACACAGCGGAGCCCAAGTGGGATGAGGTGAGTGGCAGGGGCTGGCATCTCTGTGGGGACCCCACCACCCCGTGCTCGTGGCTTGTCTGCTGGGGACGGCCAGCCCATTGGTTGGACCAGCTATGTCTGCACCCCCCTTTCTGCTCCCTGCTCCTCTGGCTTCTGATCGCGGTGTGTGTCTGGGTGTCAGACCCTGTGGTGTCAGCTCAGGCCCCCAGACTCCAGGGGTGATGGGAGGCCTCTGGGAGCTCCAGAAAATCTGACGTGTCCTTCGTGGGCCGTGCTTACTCCCTCCTCCTTGCAAAGCTGAGGCACGCACCTGCCGGAAAGCCAGGCCTCCCAGCTTCGGAGGTTCAGGGCCCTTTGTCCCATCTTTCCCCAGGAGTTTGAGATCGAGCTGGAGGGCTCCCAGTCCCTGAGGATCCTGTGCTATGAGAAGTGCTATGACAAGACCAAGGTCAACAAGGACAACAATGAGATCGTGGACAAGATCATGGGCAAAGGACAGATCCAGGTGAGGCCAGGGCGCCGGGGCGAGGCTGAGGGAGCCTCCAGGAGGTGGTTCCAGTTGAAAAGGAATTCTGGTCAAGGAGCCTGCTCTTTCGTGATTTTGGTTCCAAGCTGGTTGGAGGAAAGTTCCCAGGAGGTGGTTCTCCCCTCCCTGCTAGAGGTGGCTGCCTGTTGTGGCCCCGGAAGCCCAGGCGTGTGCGTGGCTCCTCAGGTGGGTCATCTGCGCTTCTGCAAGATGGAAACAACCAGCTTTGTTTTCACACGCCAGCTTTAGTCTATGGGTGGTTGTTTCCCGGAACGCCATGTTGAGAAGGACTCAGAGGCTGCGTCGGTGAACGGGAGGGAGGAATGCTGTGTGTGAGGAGCCGTGTCTGCCATTGACGGGGGACCGGAGTTAGGCACACGGACCAGGCGTTTGCTCTTCTGCCCGAAAGACTTAGGGTCCTGCTGGTTGGCTTGGGGGGAGGGGGGTCTCTGACTTGTTGTTAGGGTGGCCGGACCTTACTCAGCTGCGTTGGGAGTCTGTGGCTTCGGGTGGGGACTCTGGGTGTTAGTAGAGGCTGCACCTCGGGTTAAGGGTATTTATGCTTCTGGGTGCGGTGGCTCACGCCTGTAATCCCAGCACCTTGGGAGGCCGAGGTGGGTGGATCACGAGGTCAGGAGTTCGAGACCAGCCTGGCCAACATGGCGAAACCCCATCTCTACTAAAAATACAAAAATTAGCAGGTCGTGGTGGCGGGCGCCTGTAATCCCAGCTACTCAGTAGGCTGAGGCAGGAGAATCGCTTGAACCCAGGAGGTAGAGGTTGCAGTGAGCTGAGATCGCGCCTGGGTGATGGAGTCAGACCGTGTCTCCAAAAAAATAAAAATAAATAAAAACAGCATTTATGCCTCAACTGTGCTTTTGGCTCCCTATAAACATATATAGGGAAAAGGCCTCTGTGTGTGCAGCCTGTGTCTCTGAAACATTCTGCCAATTTTGAAGATGGCTGCTATTCACCAACCTATTAAGAGAAGTAGGCTTGGGAGCGGGAAAAGGCGTGACGTGGTGGAGCCGCTCACACTCCCGTCTGGTACCTCGTGTGGCCTCGTGCTGTGCCGCAAGTGGTCTGGTTTGGGGGTAGATTCTGTGACCATGAAATGAAGGGAGACGGTAACTGACCCGTACTGAGGTTGAGCCTCGGGCGTTGGGCGTGCTGAGCTTCTTGACAGTGGCCGCAGACGTGATCCAGGCACAGCTGGGCGCCGAGCTTCTTGACCGTGGCCCCGGACGTGATCCAGGCGCAGCTGGGCGCCGAGCTTCTTGACCGTGGCCCCGGACGTGATCCAGGCGCAGCTGGGCGCCGAGCTTCTTGACCGTGGCCCCGGAGGTGATCCAGGCGGCAGCTGGGCGCCGAGCTTCTTGACCGTGGCCCCGGACGTGATCCAGGCGCAGCTGGGCGCCGAGCTTCTTGACCGTGGCCCCGGACGTGATCCAGGCGCAGCTGGGCGCCGAGCTTCTTGACCGTGGCCCAAGAGGTGATCCAGGCGCAGGCTGCGATGGCTCCGTCTACAACAGGGAGCTGAACGATGCTTTTTAGCAGGAAGCATTTGTTCTCTGATGCATTGTCATGGCCACCGAGTTTGGTATCTGGCTCTTACCTGCAGGTCCTTGGTAGCATTGCCCCTGGGGAGCTGTGTGGGTCTCCCACTCGCTGCCCCATCTCAGGCTCCAGTGTTTGAACCAGGGGCCCCACGTGGAGGGGCCTGGCCTCTGCCGCATACGCCCCGTGTTCCTAAACACGTCTCTTTCCGATGCTGTGGGGTCTGCACCCTGCTTCTCAGTACTCGTCACTAGGGAGACAGGGCTGCCAGGCAACTGCCAGCCAGTCCTTCGTGATTTAGGAAATGGGCTCTAGAGATTCAGTCCCTGGGACCTGCTCTCTGTGGGGATAAGGGGAGGGAGCCCCATCTCCCTGTCCCTGGGCTGGGCTAGAGGGACAGGCACGGAAGGGTTCTGGGCTGGCCTGTGCAGCCCCAGGAGACGCCCAGGCAAGAGACGAGTGGTCGCCACGCCACACTCCCTGGGCCACTGGTGGCTGTGGAATAGAAGAGTTACAAGGATGTGCCGGGCAGCCAGCCCCGTGGGCACGGTGGGCCCCAGCCCCTCGAGAACTCAGCTCCCAAGGCCCGAGGGCACATTCCCCCACCTGGACTTCAGCCCCATTGCTTCCCTCCTTCTCACTCAGCTGCACAAGCCCCGGGGGAAACACACCATCAGTCACTGCAAGCCTCTTGGAGACAGGAGCAGATGGAGGCAGTGGGGGAGGGAGGAAGCCAGGTTATGTTTGGCAAAGCAGAAGGCAGAGTCTGGTAAGGAAAATGTTTCTGTGTTTAAGCTTCGAGGAATGTTAAATGCCTGGGAGTTGATATTAAAAGAAATATAAACCTTCCTGCTGCCAGCTGACCTGGGCCTGTGAGCGGACAGTTCAGAGCCAGAGTCCCCTGCAGGCCTTTGAAGTCCCCCAGCACTCAGCATGCCAAGGCCCGGCCCTGGCCCTCCGCTGCAGAACCATCTCACCAGCCTGCCTTTGGTGGGGGAGGCATGCCCCAGGGGCGGGCTGTGGCTTAGAAAGTCTCGCCCCGTGACTGCCCTCAGAGCCACCGTGGATGGCCAGGCTGGGTGACGAGTCCACACGGAGCTGTTCCCACGAACCCGGGCCCCACGGAGCCACGGAACGGTCTGTCCCCACAGCTTGTCTCTGCCTTCACTCCGGCCACACATCTAAGGAAGGGAGCTGGCACTAGCCTCTGGAATGCAGTCTTTCTGCCCGCCAGCAGGCGCTGAGGACATAGTCGGAGGTGGCTTTGAGATAGGGCCCAGCCCTCGGGGATATTCAGGGGGCCTGTAGGAAAGGCAGGAGGAGGAGGGCAGTCTCTGAGGCCCCCACTTCTCTCTAAGCCCCCTCCCAGCAGCCCATCCAGAGAAAGCAAGGGGCCCTACGGCCTAAGCGCAGGCATTTGCTGCTGTGATGAGGCCCCCACTCTGGGTCGCCTGATGGGGCAGTGGGGCAGGAGTCTCAGCGGCGGGGTGGGGTGGGGGAAGCATTTAGTGACAGACAGACGGCAGCATGCGTCACCAATGTGTGTCCAGCACTTGTGCTCCTGGAGGCCGCTTCCCAAATGCCATCTCCTCGTGTGATCCTTGTCGTGATCCTCCAGGGAGAATGACAGTCCCTCCTCCCCATCTTACAGATGAGGACACTGGGGTACTGAGGTTAAGTACCTTGGCCAAGGCATCTCTGCGTATGGTATGTGGGAAAGGCCATGTTCCCTCCTCTGTGCCATGTCCCCACGTCTCAGGCCTTTGTCAACGAATCCCCCAGCCCGGACAGAGGGCCGTGGCATGGCTAATGGCCTGGAGAAGCAGCTGAGGTGCTGCTTTATGGCATAAGGTGAGCGTCCTTTGTCTTGGAGTCCTCTGGGCAGGGGACACTTGTGCCTGGTGCCCCTGGGAGGAAGGAGAGGAGCACGTGCGGGAAAGAGCAGGAGGCCGAGGTGGGCTGATCACGAGGTCAGGAGTTCGAGACCAGCCTGGCCAACATGGCAAAACCCCTTTCCTACTAAAAATACAAAAATTAGCCAGGCGTGGTGGCACGCGCCCATAATCCCAGCACTTTGGGAGGCCGAGGCGGGCGGATTACAAGGTCGGGAGTTCAAGACCCGCCTGGCCAACATGGCGAAACCCTGTTTCTACTAAAAATACAAGAATTAGCTGGGTGTGGGGCCCACGCCTGTAATCCCAGCACTTTGGGAGGCCGAGGCGGGCGGATTAGGAGGTCGGGAGTTTGAGACTCGCCTGGCCAACATGGCCGTCTCTACTAGAAATATAAAAATTAGCCAGGGGTGGTCGTGCGTGCCTGTAATCCCAGCACTTCGGGAGGCCAGGGCGGGGGGATCACCTGAGGTCAGGAGTTCGAAACCAGCCTGGTCAACGTGGTGAAACCCTGTGTCTACTAAAAAAACAAAAATTAGCCAGGCGTGATGGTGGGCACCTGTAATCCCAGCTACTTGGGAGGCTGAGGGAGGAGAATCACTTGAACCTGGGAGGTGGAGGTTGTAGTGAGCTGAGATTGCTCCATTGCACTCCAGCCTGGACAAGACAGAATGAGATTCTGTCTGGGGAAAAAAAAGAAAAGAAAACAGCAGGAGGGGTACTTAGCATGCGTCTGTGAGGTCCCCAGCCCAGGAGGGGGTCCTGGCCTCCAGGGACCCACTGTCAGATTGGAAAGACGAGTATATTGGTCCATGTTCTCCAGTGAGAAGAATGCTAGATGTCAGCCACAATAGCCTACACACATAAGCGAGCCCAGGACGAGCCCAGCACGGTGCTAAATGCTTCCATCTGCTGTCTCAGGAGATCTTCCCAGGACCCTGTGGGAGAGGAATATCATCACAGCTAGAAAGATGAGGAAGCTGGGGCTAAGGAGCCCGGCCAAGGCCATGTGCCCAGGAGTGGGCCAGGGCGGGCAGCTGGCTGCAGAGCCCATTTCTAGATGTCCTGCTGCCTCCTGCTATAAGAAGACGGAAGATTGTCCTGCTGTAAGAAGACGGAAGATTGTCCTGCTGTAAGAAGACGGAAGATTGTCCTGCTGTAAGAAGACGGAAGATTGTCCTGCTGTAAGAAGATGGAAGATTGTCCTGCTATAATAAGATGGAAGATTGTCCCGCAGGAATTCAGAGGCAGAAAGGTCACCATGGGCTGGAATTAGGGAGGCTTCAAGGAGGAGGTGGAACGAGAGCGATTTGGAAGCCCTGGGTTTTTTAATTCCAAAAGCAATGTTTGTATGAGAAAGAAAATTGCAGTAGAAGCAAAGAGACTTGAAACCTAATCAGAAACCATCCTTCCTCCGGCTCCTCCGAAGCAGCCAGTTTATTCTGTGCCTTTTCCCTTCTTGAGGTATACACATTTTTATGTAGATTTAATCAGGGCCTGTTTTGTCTGTTTTTCTGTTTTCATGGATTATTATAAACCTCCTTTTCTCTAGAGCTGTATGGAGTCTTCTTAAGCACCTTTTTGGATACTTTGTTAAAAGTACTTTATATTCTTTGTAGAAATCTTGGTATAGAGCGGCCAGCGCAATTGCTATGCTAAGGCTCTGTGTTATTCCAGCAAGGTGCGCAGGCTCCGCTTCCGCAGAAGGGAGTAGGGTGGGAGTTCCAGAGGACAGACCCGCCTGGCAGGGAGGCACGAATGTGAAGGGAGGGTCCCAGGAAAGTCAGGAGCCTCAGCAGGGGTGGCGGGGAGCTGCAAGCAAGGCCAGTAGAAGGAATGAATAAAAGGAGGGGATTCCTGGGGGTTTGGCCGGAAGAGGTATTTTTTTTTTTTTGAGATGGGGTCTTGCTGTGCTGCCCAGGCTGGAGGGCAATGGCGCAATCTCGGCTCACTGCAACCTCTGCCTCCCAGGTTCACGCCATTCTCCTGTCCCAGCCTCCCGAGTAGCTGGGATTACAGGCGCCCACCACCATGCCCAGCTGATTTTTATTAGTAGTAGTAGAGACAGGGTTTCACCATGTTGACCAGGCTGGTCTCAAACTCCTGAGCTCAGGTGATCTGCCCACCTCAGCCTCCCAAAGTGCTGGGATTACAGGCGTGAGCCACGGCACCCGGCCTGGAATAAATCTTAGAGGGCGTTTAATCCAATCCTGTTTTCCGGAGAGAAGGAAATGGACACCAGCAAGGGTGAGCGAGGCAGCTGCGGTCACAGAGCTTGTTAGTGGGTGAACAAGGGCCCCAGACTCAGGGACCCCATCCAGGTCCGCTTAGCTGGGAGCCCCCCCCTCCACCGGCTCTTGCCCCTGCCCCCGGCGTAGTCTGCCCTGGCTCCTGGTCCCAGGGGACTCCACTGTGTTTATCCTACTCTATTTCCAGCCTTGCCGCTCCAGCTGCAACCTACCCGCTAGCTGATTAGCATATTCCCAGGGTCCGGCCCTTCTTGGCGGGCTGGGCCTGAGGAGAGCGCTTTCCCTTGGGGCCCCACAGCTCAGCTTCTGCCAGCGTCCCCAGACTGGAGAAGGGCCTGAGACCAAGAAGCTACTTAAACCTGAGGGGCCCTCTGCACCCCCTGCCCGCCCCCCGGCCCTGCGTCATTCCCTCGCTCACCGCAGGCTGGGGACAGCCCCCACCCCACAGTCCACCTCTGCTCCCTGTGCCTGGGAGGCAGCTCCACTTCCCCACGTGCCTGCCAGGGCAGCCCCTCCCTGGGCACAGCAGCGCTGAAGACCCTGTGGTGGGAGGGGCAGGTTCCAGGCCAGGAAGGGAGTGTGAGCCACCGCGTCCGGCCTTTATTCTTTTTAAAGAAAAAATAGTGGTAGAAGCCAGGCATAGTAGCTCACGTGGTGTAGCTGTGGACTACTTGGGAGGCTAAGGAGGCTAGAGTGAGCTAAGGATTGCGCTACTGTACTCCAGCCTGGGTGACAGAGCAAGAGTCTATCTCCACTGAAAAAAATAAAAAATAAAAGATTGTAGTGAAATATACATAACATAAAGTTACCATTTTAATAAATTTTAGGGGCCGGGCGCGGTGGCTCACGCCTGTAATCCCAGCACTTTGGGAGGCCGAGGTAGATGGATCACCTGAGGTCAGGAGTTCAAGACCAGCCTGGCCAACATGGTGAGACCCCATCTCTACAAAGATTAAAAAAAATTAGCCGGGCGTGGTGGTGCACGCCTGTAGTCCCAGCTATTCGGGACACTGAGGCTGGAGAATTGCTTGAACCTGGGAGGCAGAGGTTGCAGTGAGCCAAGATCATGCCACTGCACTCCAGCCTGGGCAATAGAGTGAGACTCCATCTCAAAAAATAATAATTTTTGGGTGCACAGCTCCGTGGCCATAGGTGGATTTGGTGCTGTGCAGCCGTTGCCAGTGTGCATATCCAGAACTTGTTGGCCCTCCCCAGCCGAAACCCCATCCCCATTAAATCATAACTCCCCACTCCTGCACCCTTAGCCTCCAGTAACCACCTGCCTGCTTTCTGTCTGTACGAATTTGTCCAGTCTGGGAACCTTACGTAGGTGGAATCAGACAGCATTTGTCCTCCTCATGTCCTTGAGCTTCACCCATATGCCGTTGTGTGTCTGAATTTCCTCCCTTTCTGAGGCTGGATACAATTTCCCTGGATGTAGATGCCACGTCTCTTTATCTGCCCGTCCGTCCGTGGATGTAGGTGCCACGTCTGTTTATCCGTCTGTGGATATAGGTGCCACATCTGTTTATCCATCCATCCGTCCGTGAATGTAGGTGCCATGTCTGTTTATCCATCCATCCATCCGTGGATGTAGGTGCCACGTCTATTTATCCATCCATCTGTGGATGTAGGTGCCACGTCTGTTTGTCCTTCTGTCTGTCCGTGGATGTAGGTGCCACGTCTCTTCGTCCATCCATCCGTCTGTGGACGTAGGTGCCATGTCTGTTTACCCATCCATCCGTCCATGGATGTAGGTGCCACATCTGTTTATCCATCCGTCCGTGGATGTAGGTGCCATATCTGTTTGTCCACCCACCCGTGGATGTAGCTGCCACGTCTGTTTATCCGCCTGTCCATCTGTGGATGTAGCTGCCATGTCTATTTATCCATCCGTCCGTGGATGTAGGTGCCACGTCTGTTTATCCATCCGTTCGTGGATGTAGGTGCCACGTCTGTTTATTCATCCGTTTGTGGATGTAGCTGCCACGTCTGTTTATCCATCCATCCGCGGATGTAGGTGCCACGTCTGTTTATCCATCCATTCATGGATGTAGGTGCCATGTCTGTTTATCCGTCCGTCCGTGGATGTAGGTGCCATGTCTGTTTATCCGTCTGTCCGTCCGTCCATCCGTGCACATTTGGGTTGTTTCCACCCAAAACGCTCTTGCCTTTCGTTGAGAAAAAGAACCTTGTCCCTGAGGATGGAGACAGCACAGCCTCCTTCTCTCCAGACCCAAGCTCTGTCCCCCACCTGCCTCCCAGCTGTAATAGATGAGCAGGACCCGTGACCCTAGGGCATGACTGGTCACTATTAGTCTCCTGTAGTTGAAGCACACAGTTGGGCCCCCTGCCTCGGCCTTCTCTCCCCCTCCCGGCCAAGTGTCCCTGCCCCTTGACCCCTTCACCCTTCTTCCTGGGTCAGCTCTTTCCTCCCCTGGTCAGTGGTTTAGGTGCATCGAATGCAGACGCAGTCACCCTGAGGCCGCGGGAACAACCTCTGGTCCCTTGACTTCTTGGCATCTCAGTTTCTTCTTTTATTTATTTACTTATTTATATTTATTTGAGATGGAGTCTCTCTCTGTCGCCCAGGCTGAGTGTAATGGCGCAGTCTTGGCTCACTGCAACCTCCGTCTCCCGGGTTCAAGTGATTCTCCTGTCTCAGTCTCCTGGTTAGCTGGGATTAAAGGCGCCCGCCACCATGCCCAGCTAATTTTCGTATTTTTAGTAGAGACGGGGTTTTGCCATGTTGGCCAGGCTGGTCTCGAACTCCTGACCTTGTGATCCACCCGCCTCAGCCTCCCAAAGTGCTGGGATGACAGGCGTGAGCCACCGCACCCGGCCAAGTTTCTTTATTGATTCAGTGGGGGTAACTATTCCTACCCCACCTTCAGCACTGGCTTAAAGGATCTCACATACCTGGAAGAGCCAGTCGGTGCTGTGACGTGTGCGTCCACGCTTTCACCTGTTCACTCACTTGTTTCTGTTTACGATACATCCTCTGAATGGCAGGCCCTGGGCTGTGGGTACAAAGAATGACCAGGACCTCACCGTCTGGTAAAGAAAACAAGAGAACTTAGGCCAGGCACGGTGGTTCATGCCTGTAATCCCAGCACTTTAGGAGGCCGAGGCGGGCGGATCATGAGGTCAGGAGTTCGAGACCAGCCTGGCCAACATGGTGAAACGCCGTCTCTACTAAAAATAGAAAAATCAGCCGGGCGTGATGGTGCGCTCCTGTAATCCCAGCTACTCGGGAGGCTGAGGCAGGAGAATGGTGTGAACCAGGACCCAGGAGGTGGAGGTTGCGGTGAGCCGAGATTGCGCCATTACACTCCAGCCTGGGCTACAGAGCGAGACTCTGTCTCAAAAAAAGGAAAACGAGAACTTGGATCGTTAGCCAGTGTTGCCGGGGTTTTGAGGCCAGACAGATCTTGCGGGGCTGAGTCTAGCTTTCTCCATCGTTAGTTGGGAGAACAGAGCGAGTATCTTTGCCTCTGAGCCTCAGCTTCCTGACCTGTCAGATGGGCTGTAAGAGGACTGAATGTGAGGGTCCATGAAACCCTGGACCCGGGGCCTGGCATGGAGTCAGTACGTGGTTTGCCCTAAGCTGGCGGGTTCAGGCACCCTGTCCCCCACCCCCTTCCAGTGGTTCTGGGTGTCACTTGTCCAGCAGCCCCCTCCTAAAGGCTGTCACCTATAAGTGGTCCCCTGGGTCGGGGCCTTTGGCTGGCCGAGGCAGCATTATTTTCTTAAGCTGATGGGGTCAGACTGGCTTTGCTGAACCAACCTCATAGCAGGGGCGGGGAAGTCAAGGCTGGGGCCCTCAATGCCGGCTGGCCCGAGGTTTCCCTGCCATGACCCAGCACGGCAGCTCTGAGCTTGGCCTGGTGTGGTCGGAAACAAGGGGCCTTTGTCAGCGGCTGGGGAGCAGCTTCTGGTTTCAATTACTCTGGAGAGCACGAGGAAGCTTGCAGAGAACGTGGGGCCGGAGCCCGCCAGGGCAGGAGTCAAGGGCTCCCCTGCCCCACTTCCCTCCCTCTGACCCCCAAGGGGTGTCTTGTCCCCATTCGACCCTGCCTGAGGGTCCTGCGCGTGCGTCCTGGGGGCCCTGGGTTGTGAGCCCAGAGCCCCTTCCAGCTCCGGCCCCCTCTCGTTCTTCATAGTGGTACTGGGACCCCTCCCAGGAAGATGATCGACGGCCGGTAACGTGGGTCCTCAGTGCTTCCCCGTTCCAGGCCTCACGCGTGGGCCACACTGACCACAGCCGGGCCCCTGGCCCTGAGGGAGGCCTTGATTCAACTGGGAAGGAACACAGGCCTTTCCCTTTGGTTCCATCTCTCCCGTCCCCAACCCCTGCCCTGGCACTCACAGCCCCCATAGCTCCCTGTCGTGGGACACCGGAGTGACCTCTCCCTGGAAGATCAGCCCGCGTCGGCGCCCGCCAAGGCCAGGAGTGCATGTCAGGCCCCGCCTCGGCTCCTGGCTTAGGAGTTCCGCCTCCCTGCTGCTTGCCACCCTCACAGCTGGCCCACGTGGGGCTCTTCCCTCTGCCGCCACCCCCACCCCTGTGCCAGTTCCCCAGGCACATAGGGACCGTGGAGGCTGAGCCCCAGGCCTGGTTCTACTTCCTGCTGACTCTCCACTTCCTCCCAGGGCCCCGTGACTGCAGCCATTGTCCTGCTCTGGCCCTGCCCACCCCAGCTGTTTCGGGCACATTTGTTCTCCAGCCCAGACTCCCACCTGCTGTCCCTCTTCAAGGCAGGTCTAGACGCCTGGTTCTCCTTGGAGAGTGGGCAGCAGAGACTGTCCTGGGTGGGGGAAGTCGGGGGAGGGTCCCTCGAGAGTGCCTGCCCTGCCGTCGAAAGCTTTTCCAAACGTGGGGCACGAACCTCTCTCGTCAGCCCTGCTCAGCTGCCTCCATCGCCCAGGTGTTCCTGATTTTGGGAGCCTGGACTCTGCCCAGTGGATTCTGGGCAGGAAGCATCCAGCAGGAAGCAGATGGAGGTGTGAGTCGGCTCCCCCCGCTCCCCTCCACCCCTGGGAAGTGCCGCCTCAGCAGGCAGGCTTGGCGCCCGCTCCCCCTGACCCGCCTCTGAAGGGTGGGCACCATGCAGAGAAGCCGGTCCAGACAGGACCTCAGGAGCCGATGCAGTCAGGCCCTGAGAACATCCAGCCTCCCGACAGACCAAAAAAAGGTGTTCTCAGCTCTGGGTGCCGGGCTCCCAGACTCAGAGGCACGGGACCTGGGTTTGATCTTAGCCGGCCAACCTCGGGTGACCCTTCAGAGAGTGTCCTCTCGGGTCCGTGGCATTCAGCGAACTCGCCGAGGCGAAAGCCGCAGACATAGATTCCTCCCCGTGAGCCGCTAACCTCCCTGCTGGCGGAGGCTGCTGCTTCCTCCTAGGAATCCAAAGGATCAGCTCCAGGGTTGTCCCACTTTCCGTGTTTTCTGAAAGCTTCAAGAGAAGGATGCCACAGAAGGGTTGCCAGAGAATTTCTTGAGTTAGGGCTGAGGCTGCAGATGAATGCTGAGCGGGGGTCACCTTTAGGGTGGGCTCTGCTGGCCTCCCTCAAGCCTGCGGCCACCGCAGACTCACAGCAGCCCCTCGTGGCCAGCCCCGCCCTTGCCGTGGCCTGGGGGCGTGGACATTGGTGGTGCTGGGCGAGGGTCTAAGCCCCAGTGTAGCCTGTAGCTTTGGGCTGGGGCAGGGAGGGATGGGCACACCGTGTTCACGCCCTCGGAGGCAAGTGCTGAGCTGCCCTGGCTTCAGGAAAGACCCTAGCGCGGCTGGAGACGCAAGATGACCCAGACACACCCGCCTGACCCACTAGACAGGTGCTGTCCCCTCTCGAGGCTGCCAGGGCGAACCCACAGCCACTGAGCAAAAGCCCTGAGTTTCCCAAAGGAGGGAGAGAAGCAGAGACACGACTGGAGCTGCAGGTTCAGCGTCTGACCCAGAGGTGTCCTTACAAAGCCCCTAATCTCTCAGACCCCCACGTCCCCCACCCCGAGGGAGAGCGAGGCCTTCGGGAGAACTGCCTCTAGGAGCTGCTGGGAACCTAAGGTTTGAGCTGTAGATGCCTGAAAGGAGGGCGGGGCGCTGAGGTGTGCCTCAGATTCTGCCTGTGGGGCGTGGGAATTCCGGGGAGGGACGTGAGCCCCAAGGCAGGCGAGGGGTGGTGGAAAAGCAGGTGTGAGCCAGTGGGCCCCACGTCCCCTCTTCAGCCAGGGCGCCTGCTCTCTCTGCTTCTGCTTTTATCCGACGAGGTGGGCAGGGAGACGTCGGCATAAAATTTCATTTGGAAAAAACGGCAGGGGTGCGTCCTCAGCAGAAAAGAAATCTCACCGGAGACCATGTGTCTGTTCCGAGCTCCTGATTTGACAGCTGTGGAAACTGAACCCAGAGAAAAACACAGCCGTTGAGTCCACAGGTCCCTGGCTCCCAGGGCTTTGCTTCTGGCCACCATGAGCTCGGAGCTTGGGTGGAAGGGAGGTGTTCGGGAATCCAGAATGAAGAAAGAGCAGGGAGGCTCGGCGACCCCATCCCACCTTCAGGCCTCAGCCCCTCCTGCCTCAGGCTGCAATTTATGGCTGTGCTGGGAGACCCGGCCACACCCCCTCCTTCCCGGGAGGAGGAGCAGGCAAGCAGCCCAGGGGGGCTCCAGCGGTAGGGACAGCATACTGAGGGGCCACGCCCTGCCCACTCTGTCCCTGGGTGAGTTTTGTTCTAGATAAGCAAGATGTTCCCAAAGGCTCAAGTGCATTTTTCACCCTTTTCCATGACCAAATGTGCTGTGAGAATCGCTAGGGTTTGCCAGGGACGGGCTGTCGGGACACTTCTCCTGCAGCAGACAAGCTCTTGGGCTGTTTCAGCCTCTCCTCCGTACCTAGAACCACCGAGCACCCTGGCGACACCAGCCTGACGTGGCCAGAGAGAGGCTGGAGGTCAGGCAGAGGGAGGCTGGAGCTGTGTGAGAAGCAGCACGTACTCGGGACTGCCCTATGAGCCGGCACAGGCCTTTGGGGAGTTGGGAGGACAGCAGGTTACCTTGGGCAGGCCTAGGTCTGGGCCGTAGAGCAACTGATTTCATCCTGACTGCCTTCTTCCTTACACTGTGCCCATCTTCAACCTTGAGCCCACCCTGGACCCCTCTCCCAGCCCCACCTGGATGGATGGGTGGGTGGGTGGATGGATGGATGGATGGATGGAAGGATGGGTGGGTGGGTGGATGGATGGGTGGATGGATGGATGGATGGGTGGATGGATGGAAGGAAGGAAGGATGGAAGGAAGGAAGGATGGAAGGAAGGAAAGAAAGAAACAAACATAGCTCCTAGGGTCTAATCTGCCATTGGCTGCTGGGTGACTCCTGTCCCCAGGCTGAATGCAGGCTCTGAACATTGCAAATACCCAGAGGTATCCGATGGGTGGGGAGAAAAACCTAGAGTGAGTCTCAGTGTCTCATTCTGGGAAGACATTTGGCCTTCCAGTCCGCAGGTTTTGGTTAGGGTCGGTACAGGAAATGGTCAGAACACACAGTAAGAATGCAGTGACCACAGAGCCACCGAGTTGGGGGACACTCCCGTCCCCACTCCCCCACAGCTGTCCCCGGAACGTGCCATCCTCCCGCCCAACTCGCACGCCCTGTGTGGGCGCTGGGCACCCCGGGCTCCCATGCTCGGCCTGCTTGTCTCTCTCTCATCCTGGAGCCTGCACCTGTCTTTGGGCAGGAGCCACTGGCAGGCTCTCTGCAGCCCCCAAAGCCTCGGGTCCGCCCTGCTCTCCTCCAGCACCTTCTTGCCCCCCAGCCTCGGGTCCGCCCTGCTCTCCTCCAGCACCTTCTTGTCCCCCAGCTCTGGTCCTCTGATGCCCAGCCGGTGCCCTGATCCTCTGGTGCTGAGAGAGGGAGTGTTCTTGGCAGACCTGAGCCACATCCCCTCGGTCCCCATCCTCAGCTGGGTGCCAGGCTCCTCCTGGGCTCTGGACTCTCTGGGCGGCCTCTTGGGGCTCTCCCCGCCCCAACTGGCTCCCAGGCTATCCCCACTGGGGCGCCTGTGGCCTTGGTCTAGCTGGCTGCTCAGAAACCCCCTCTCCTGGAGTCATTTGCGCTAGCGGATAGGACGAGGAATCGGGGTTCAAGTGTGGGCTGGGGGAGAGGAGCGTCGTTCTGGTGGGAAAAAGGAGGTCACTCCAGGAAAGCGGCAGCTGCATTTCTAGGTTCTGAGGCAGAACCTTCCTCCTGGTGCTCACAGGCTGGAGGATTTGCCTGGAAGCCGTCCCCACCCCCAGCTGTCACCGAGGCAGCCCCACTGCAGCCTTTGCCCCTCCCGCTCGCACAGGGCAGGATGTGACCTTTTTTCCTCGTTGATGCCGCCACTGAACACCTTAACCCGATTTTACCTCAGTCACAGCTGTGCTGGGTGGCATGACCCCCTCCCTAGGTGTAATGCGGGGTCCCACCCACGTCTCCCCGGGGACAGCCCCTCTCACTCCCCTTGCAGAGAGCCTGGGGAGGGGCTGAGGGAGGATGGGATGGTCCACTAGGAATGTTTTTAATTCCAAAGGCAGTGACATCTGTTCGTGGGGGCCTTACCACCAGGCTCTGTTTATCCAGCCGGGGGAGTCTTGCAGGTCGTCTGAGGAGGGCTCTGGCAGGTGTGGGGGATGGAAGGGGTGGGGGGAGCAGGTGTGGGGGATGGAAGGGGTGGGGGGAGCAGGTGTGGGGGATGGAAGGGGTGGGGGGAGCAGGTGGGGGTAGAAAGGGTGGGGGGAGCAGGTGTGGGGGATGGAAGGGGTGGGGGGAGCAGGTGTGGGGGATGGAAGGGGTGGGGGAACAGGTGTGGGGGATGGAAGGGGTGGGGGGAGCAGGTGTAGGGGATGGAAGGGGTGGGGGAGCAGGTGTGGGGGATGGAAGGGGTGGGGGAGCAGGTGTAGGGGGTGGAAGGGGTGGGGGGGAGCAGGTTTAGGGGATGGAAGGAGTGAGGGAGGAAGGAGAGTGGCCCCTTCCCAGGTGGTTGGGATAGCCTGAGCTGAACCCAGCAGAGATGAGGAGGGGTCCGTGGTGGGCTGCAGCGACTAGAATTCAGACTTCTGCTTTTGCTGGGGACATCTGTCTTGCACAGATCTTCTTCCACCCAAGACCATTGACTCCAGGAAGCAATGAGTCGGGCTTGGGGGAGAGAAGGCAAGTCTGCGCTGTCCCCAGAGGAAGCCCCCAGTCCATAGGGAGGAAGGGAAAGATGAGCGTCTCAGGGGAAGACTCCCAACTCGGCTACCCATCTGCGAAGGCACTTATGTCACCATGGAGACCAGCTGGCCATCGTTCATCCAGTCCGAGCTTGCTTTACCTAGACAAGTATTGAGCCTGTGGTACCTAAGACAGATGAGTGCCGGGCCTTGGGAACGGGATTCACACGGCCCCCTTCTCCCCCACACCCGGCGGCAGGGAGGGGCGTGCATTCTCGCAGTCTGCACCCTGTGGCCTGGGACCCAGCCCGAGGGAAGGGGACCATAGGCCAGTGAGGGGCCGATTCTGAAGTTAAGTCACGGCACCAGGAGCACTGTGGCGCAAACGTGGAGAGCAGTTATAATGGCATCCTACCAGCCAGTTACATGACAGCCATTGCACGTTTGCTGGAGGGAGGTAGAGTAAAGCTGGGACCCAGTGAGGGTGGATGGCCTTTCCCTACAGCCCCGAGGGCCCCACGCTGACCCCTCTCCTCCAGGAAGCCTTCCCCAGTTGCCTCCAGCTGGAAATTGTATCTCTCGATGTTCGTGGCATTTTGTCTGTCCTGTTCTGAGGCCGTAATATGGGATTTTGTGCGGGTTTTGTCCATCTGGGCGTGGTGCCTAGTAGGTGCACAAGTGACCCGTGCCAAATGCACAAATGCTTGTCTGCCTCCTGTTGATGGACATCTCTGCTTTCTTGGCTGCCCCTTTGTCAAGCACTGACTTTTGATTCGTCTCTGTGATGCCTTAACCCCCACCCCAGGGTCGGGCACGCAGCCAGGCCCTCAGTCACTACCTCTAGAGTGACATGAGTGGGGCCAGGTGCAGTGGTTCATGCCTGTAAACCCAGCACTGTGGGAGGCTGAGGTCAGGAGTTTGAGACCAGCCTGGCCAGCATGGTGAAACCTCGTCTCTGCGAAAAATACAAAAATTAGCCGGGCGTGGTGGTGGGTGTGTGTAGTCCCATCTACTCAAGGGGCTGAGGCAGGAGAGTTGCTTGAGCTGGGGAGGCGGAGGCTGCAGTGAGCCAAGATTGCACCACTGCACTCCAGCCTGGGCAACAGAGCAAGACACTGCCTCAAAAAAAAAAAAAAAAAAATGACATGAGTGGGACCAAGCAGTGGGGCCTGAGGAGTGAGCAGAGCCTTCCTGGAGGAGATGGCTTTGTGGCTGTGTGAAGGGGCTGTCTGGGTCCTCCTGGAGCCCTGGAAGGGGCAGGCGAAGGAGGGGTGGAGAAGGGTGACTGAGGCCTCAGTTAGGGGACACAGGCATGTTCCTACCTCCGTCCGTCTCTCCACCTCCCCCTCAGGCGGTGCTGGTGAGGCTGTTGTGGCTCAGCCCCCACTTAGCAGCTCAGGTTTGAGGAAGTTCCGTGTGCACCGTCCAGGGGTGCGTGTGACGTGTGAGCCAGGAAGAAGTGGAGCTGGTCTGGCCGCCCCTGCAGGGACAGTGAAGACTGAGGCCCGGTTCTAGCCCAGGCAGGACGCCCCAAGGCCCCCCTCCACCAGCCAGGTGGAAGATAGTCCAGGGCCAGATCCTGCCACACTAGGGCATCACAGTGAGTGACAGGGGTGTGGGCTTTGGAGTTAGCCAGACCTCCGTTTGTGTTCCAGCTTGTCCTGGCCTTGGACACGTAGCTCAGCTTGTCAGAGCCCTTCGTTTCCTCAGAGGTAAAGCGGGGATGCTGGTACTGACTTCATACAGTTGGGAGGGGTAAGTGACTTAATCCATGATGCCTGGTCCCTGCCAGCCTTCCACGAAGGACAGCTCTGACTACGGCTGTCTCTGCAGGGAAGCCACCTATTCCTCAAAAACACCAAGGCCTCTGAGGAGAAATCCCGACACCTGCCTGGCTGGTGACGCCGGATGCCGAGGGCTCGTCTCTGGGCCCCGACCCACCTGCCTTGGGGTCAACCAAGAAATGTCCTGACCCAGCTCTTTTTCCTGAATCCAAAGCATCATCCATGTTTGAGTAAGGCACAGTGCTTGTGAGCACCAAGGGCTTTGGAGGGACCTCCCCATCCTCACTTGGCACTGTGTAACCCTGGCAAGAACTGGACCTCCTGACCCCCTGTCCTCACCTCTCTAGAACAGGGCAGTAACACCAACATGACAAGAATGTGAGGCTCACATGCAGTCGGGCGTTTGAAAGACCTGGTTCGCGGTTGCCACGGTGCAAATACTGGTTTCCTTTCTGTGCCGTGCTGGGGTCTGCAGAGGTCCGAGGCCCCAGACACCCCTGGGTTTTGCATAGTTAAACATTTGGGATTCAGCCTTTCTCTTTTCTCTGAATACCGTACTCTAACTTGCACTGTTACCTTGAGACGTAATTTGTGTCCTAGTCTCTGCGGTTAGAAAGTTCACTAAATAAATTGAAGGTCAAGAACAAGTTCTTCTCTCTCTCAAGGCGCCCAGCACGGACACGGGTGGTTGCCCGTGGCGTCCTCTGCGCCCAGCACGGACGCGGGTGGTTGCCCGTGGCGTCCTCTGCGCCCAGCACGGACGCGGGTGGTTGCCCGTGGCGTCCTCTGCCCCTGGCAGCGGAAACCTTTTTTGGTGAGGTGCAAAGGGCCATGGTTCAAAGTGACCCCTCAAGAGGCATCTCTGGCTGGACGTGTGACCCGCGTCGTTTCGGGCTTTTGCTCCTGTCCCTGAGCAGATCAGTGACCCGATTCCCACTGGGATTCCCACACTAGGGGTCTCCTTTATCCTTACATTTCTCACCTGAGGAGGCTTCTGAGTGCCGGTCCACAAGGGTCTGGCCGGGTCACCAAGCTGGCTCTGAGGAAGGTGCCTGGGGCAGAAGTTGGGGGTGGGGAAGTGCGACCCCAGGGCAGTCAGAGTCTTTTGCCCGGGGAGGAGGGCAGCTGTTTGTGGCCAAAATGCAGCCCCCGCCTGGCCCCCGGCCCCTCCGCTTGGCCCCTGGAGCAGCCCGGTGGGCAACACGGGGACCCAGCAGGGAGGGACTGGGGTGTGGGGCTGGTGTAAACTTTATTGCGAGGGAGGGCGGCGGGGTCGGGGAGGAGCAGCGCCCTTGCCAGGGATGAAACCCGGGGTTGGGGCTTGGAGGGGCGGCCCTGGGCCTGGGAGGCGGCGCTCAGCCTGGGCTGCAGCCTCGCGGAGGGCGGGGAAGGAGGGATGCGGAGGAGGGAGGAGGGAGGAGGGACGCGGACGGAGGGAGGGAGGGAGGGGAGCGCGGGGAGGGAGGGAGGGAGGGAGGCGAGCGCGGGGAAAGCCGGCGGGACTAGGGAACTAGCGGGACTGGCAGCCGGGACTGAGCGCTCCACAGGCGCCTTCTCTCCAGCGCCGCGTCCCGTCCCCCCCGGCATGACCGACGTCCTGCCCCAGCCCGACTGCAGCCCGAAGGCGGGGCGCGAACCCCTGGCGCTGGAGGAGTCGGGGAGCAAGCGCCCCCCCAACACCGGCGCCCGGCTCTGGGGCCGCGTGCGCAACAAGCTGCTCCGAAACAAGGTGCCCGCGGGGGCTGGAGGTTCCGGGGGGTGGGGGCTCGGGGGCGCTGCGGGGCTCGGGGGGCTGCGGGGGCTGCGGGGGCTGATGGGGTCCCGCTCCCGCCCCCTCCGTGGAGTCCCGGGACAGAGCTGGGGTCTGTGCGCGTCCCTCTAAGTGGCTTGAACTTGATGGCGAACGCTGGGGCCGCCCCCACCCGGACCCTGGCGCTCGGGCATCTGCCCCTGCCTCGGGAGAAGGGAGGTTTCTTCTCGGCAGGTGGACCCTGCTTTCCACTCCGGGAGTGCAAACAGCGCACGGGGAGACGCCTGCCTCTGGGTCTATGTCTTGCCGCCCTGTTCAGCCTCTACCTGATCCCTGCATCCAGCGGGCCTTGCTGGCTGCCCCTTTGCTGAGGGGCGCCGACCGCAGCACCGTCTGCCGTGTGAGGTTTCTCTGTGCAGGATTGTGGGGAGGGGAGATGCTGCCGGGTCTGGGGGCTCGAGGCTTCCCTTCAGGGACCACCCATCTGACTGTGGGCCCAGTGCCCGCCGGGCACCAGGCGTTCCGTCCATGTGCCAGGGCAGACCGCCGGTGCCCCTGCAGCCCCAGACCTGAGTTGGGATTAAAATCTGAGATAGAAGCCGACTGTCCTGCAGCTGGGCAGGCTGCCTCGGGGCTGGCTTGGGGCCCTGGCATCAGGCACGTGAGGAAGAGCCAGACCCAGCGCCCAGCGCACAGGAAGTGCTCGATAACTCTGCAGATCAAATCAACTGTCCGAGTTAGCTGTCTCAGAGTGCCAGTCCGGCTGGCCAGGGCTGGGCCCATCCATCAAGAGAGCAACAAGGGAGGCCTTGGCCAGTCCGTGGTGGGGATCTGCAGCTCCTCCTGAGGCTCACAGGACCTCTCTGCAGGCTCTTACTGCCAGCCGGCATTGAGGCTCCTGGCATCAGCCAGGACGAAGTGATCTTGGGCTCACTGGCCCCTCGTTTTGTTTCAGCTCCTGCCATGGGGCATACTTGACCTCCCAGAGGTGACATCAGCCCTGGAAAGTGCTGGGCAGGGCAGCAACTTGAGCTGTACTGCACTGGCCCCTGTGTCACCTTCAGCCTCCCTGGGGACTGGGCTAGCAGAGCCCTGCTGGCCCCAGCTGCTGCCAGAGCCCCTCTGTGCTGAGGCAGCTGTCTGTGCCCGGCAGCGTGGACTCATCCCCTCCCCAGCCCCTGCTGAGGCCAGCAGGCACCAGCCCAGAGCTCACCATCCATCCCCAAACGTCAGGGTTGGCAAGAAACTGACCTGGCAGGTTCCGGGTCCAGCGCCAGCCAAACAGGGCGCTTCCAGTTTACCTGCCCCTTTGAGGAGGTGCCTGGTGGGCAGGGGGCAACTTTTAAACCTGAGGTCCCAGACTTTCAGTTCTTTCCCTATGCATTTGTGGCCGGCAGAACTGAGAAGCCCCTTCAAGAATTCCTTAGCTGGGTTTGCCTCTGGCAGTGCCTGGTGGCTCCGTGTCTGATGGGGATCTCTGGGCAGGGGTGGTGGCCAGGCAGACGCCGGGCTATTGAGCTGCTGAGCAGTTGGCGTCAGTGCAGCTCAGGGTGGCCCCGGCCCTGGGCTGCTCTGTGTGACGAGCGATTCCATCCCCTAACGTGTGCTGTGTGCCACAGTGTGTCCGTGTCGTGGACGCAGGGGTCAGCGCTGTGGCGGACGGAGGGACGTCTGCCACAGTGTGTCCGTGTCGTGGACGCAGGGGTCAGCGCTGTGGTGGACGGAGGGACGTCTGCCACAGTGTGTCCGTGTCGTGGACACGGGTCAGCGCTGTGGTGGACGGAGGGACGTCTGCCCTGTGCTTCCCACCTCACTGTGCGCAGGCCAGCGGGTGAGCAGCAGAGTCAAAGGGCCAGGCCTCTTGCTTTCTATCCTCAGCCACATTAACCTGGCATTTTCCTGCAGGAGCTTCACAGTTGGGCCGAGGGGCTGGGACTAGGCAGTTTCGTTTCGGTGGGGTAAGGGAAGGGTGCCTGGTACTGCCCAGACTGGCAGGAGGGATTGCCTCATTAACTCCTCGTTAACTTTGCCCTGAGTGATGCTGTGGGTGCGAGAAACACCGGTGGCCCTCCTGCTTCCACTGACCTGAAGGTTCATTAAAGGCTGGAGGCGGGGCGTGACTCATCCAGGGCTGGGATTAAACAATCTGTTCAGATGGAAAGGTCTCATGATCAGAACTGAGCCTTTAAATAGTGCAGGGCCTCTGGTTTCTGGGGGAGAGGAGGCAGGGACACTCACGGAGGATCCTTTGGGTACCAGCGGGGGTCCCTGTGGTTGGGCTGTTCTTGTCACCGGAGGAGAGTTCAGGGGCCAAAGCCTCATTCCAGCCCCTGACTTGGCAGTCAGCTTTTTGTGCGAGTGTTTAGCTGGGAGACACGTGGCATCTGGGTTTGTGGGTTCAGCCAGGGCTCTCGGTATTGAACTTCGCGTTTCTACTTTTCTTTCCTTTTCCCTGTTTGTTTTTTTTTTTTTTTGCCTCAAATCACACTCAAGTAGACCAGGCCCGGTGCCTTCCTCTCCCTCCCATCCTTCCCTCTTCTAGATTCTTGGTTGAGCTTTGGATGGGAAGGGGCTGAATTCTAGATTCTCGCTTGAGCTTTGGAGGGGAAGGGGCTGAAGGAGGAACCCCCCCACCCTGCCCCCGCAGCATCCCCTTGTGGGAGCCGTGAGGAGGCTAAGAGGGCCTGAAGGGAGGCCGGTCCAGAAGCATTTGTCTGTCGGGGAAGTTGAGGCCCTTATAGAGCAACCAAGTCCAAGACGCTCCTGACCCAGACCAGGCCAGATGCTGGCCGGCGGTGGGGACTCAGGCTGAGCCGGCAGGGTGTAAGGAGATTGAGTGCAGCTTCAGGTGACCTTGTCTCTGCCCTGAAGCACAGCCATGTGGGTCTGAGAATCCCCTACTTCCAAAGAGCTCCTCTTAAGCTGGACACCGGCACTGCTGACCCCCACGGTGAGTCCCGTGTTCTGTGATGGGAGCTGCTGCCTTTGCTTCAGAGAGGATCAGAGGTGTTACCTGAGGAAGGGCGGGGTGGAGAGCCCCTCTTGGGCCATTCGGGGAAGCTTCAGGCTCATGATGGTCTTAGAAGAAGGTCCCTTTCTTGGATCACCTGATGTCAGGAGTCCAAGACCAGCCTGGCCAACATGGAGAAGCCCCGTCTCAACTAACAATGCAAAAATTAGCCAAGTGTGGTGGCTCACGCCTGTCATCCCAGCACTTTGGGAGGCAGAGGCGGGTGGATCACCTGAGGTCAGGCGTTCGAGACCAGCCTGGCCAACATGGTGAAACCCCGTGTCTACTAAAAATACAAAAAAAAAAAAAATAGCCGGGCATGGTGGCGGGCACCTGTAATCCCAGCTGCTAGGGAGGCTGAGGCAGGAGCATCGCTTGAACCTGGGAGGTGGAGGTTGCAGTGAGCCGAGATCATGCCACTGCACTCCAGCCTGGGCAACAGAGCGAGACTCGGTCTTGGGGTGGGGGGAGGAAAGGGTCCCTTTCTTTGTCAGCTTGATCGCCACCGCAGGACAACCCCACCCCTCACAGAGCCTGTCGTTTATTCCTTCTTGATGGTACCAGGTGTGCAGACCACGTGCACACCCCAGAGGTTCACTCTACCACTCACTTGGCCATCGAGGGTACACAGGTGCTGGGTACAAGATACAGATATGTCTTGGGCTCGTCTACTTTATTTTATAATCCAGTCTGGGCGTCAGGAAAGATCTCGCAGCCTTCTGCAATAGAAGTCTGGCCTGGCCCGGCTGCCCACCGCCCTTCCTTGTTTCCCGGTGGGAAGAAAGCTTCATCGTGCGTCTTCTCTGTTCACACACACCCCCATAGCGACCCCTCAGCCACAGACAGGGGACTACAGTGCTGCCTCCCCCGAGAGCTGGAGGCCCCTACACCAGCCCACCTCTTCCTGGGCCTATGTGTGGGTCCTGACTGCGGCCAGGCTGGCTGACAGGTTGGCAGTGGGGTCGGGCGACCCTCCCTCTTTTCCACAGCACTTACCCACCTGCCGAGTGGGCAGACCTCACTGCTGGGGCCTCATGAGTACTCTCTGATCTCTCTGCCAGGCCAGCTCCCAAGAGGCTTGCTTGAGTCCGCAGAGCGGGAACCCTGGACTCTGAGAATCTGATGAAGGTTCTGGAGGCCACTCAGACACAGAGCCACCCCATGCACACACTGTGTGCGACTTCAGAGGGGGCTGCAGACATCAAGGCGGGAACCCTGCTCTGAGTGAACTTGGCAAGGTGCCGCTTCTTGGTACCTAGGGAGGGTAGAAGGGCGCTGGTCCTCCCCGGCCTCCCTGCAGGCCACAGACGGCTTGGCCAGCCAGCGGTGCTGGGCGCGGTGCCCCAGCTTTTGGATGGCTCTGGACCAGGGAGAGGAGAACCTGCCAATCAAGGGGGTTCCTCAAAGGCCAAAGCTGCCTGAGCCCAGTGTTGCTGTAGTACCCAGAGGCAATGAGGCCCCAGACATTTTGGAAGGAGCCCCCAAGCCTGCAGGTGTGGCTGGGGGAGCTGCCCCAGGCATTTTGGAAGGAGCCCCCAAGCCTGCAGGTGTGAGTCTGGGGGAGCTGCCCCAGGCATTTTGGAAGGAGCCCCCAAGCCTGCAGGTGTGAGTCTGGGGGAGCTGCCCCAGGCATTTTGGAAGCGCCCCCAAGCCTGCAGGTGTGAGTCTGGGGGAGCTGCCAGGTGTTGGCCACAGGGCGCTGGTGCTGGAGAGGCCTGGCCCTCTGCTGAGTGGCCTCGCTCACTGCCCAGGTGGTTGGGAACTGGTCAGCAGGTGCTGTTCTTTGACCTCGTTTCCCCTGTGAACTCATGCTGGGGCAGGAAGATGTTTGTGTCCTGACGGCCCCCCAGCACCTTCGAGGAACAGACAGTCCCCTGCGCCTGTGACCTGCCTGCCCCACCCTGGGGAGAAACGCAGCGTCAGTCCTGGGTCCAGTGAGCCGTAGACCCTTGGCCCTCCAGGATGGGCCCTGGAGAGGCGGGAGGGGCCCGTGGAGCTGGTCCTGGGCTTCTGTAGAGAGGCCAGGAGGCCCCAGGATCCCCACAGAGACTTCCCCAGTCCCGCTTCAAGACAGCGGAACCAGCTCCTGAGCCGAAATCTGGAGGGATCTCCTTTCTGGACCGTGACCCCAGCCGGGGCTGGTACCGATGACCGGCACAGCCAGAGCCGTGACATCCACAGCGCCCTTCCCATCCGATGCCTGGATGCCGTGGCTGTGCTCGGGGAGGCCTCCGGGGTCCCCAGCCCCTCAGGCTCATGTGGCACAAGGTGCCAGAGAAGACAGGGCGCCAGGCCGGTGGGAGTCAAGGTTTCCCATTTTTCTCGTCTCAGTCTGCTACTTAACTGCTGTGTGCCCGCGAGTACATCCCTTTGCCTCTCTGGTTCTCTGGTATCAGCTCAATGAAGGAGCTGAACAGGATGATCTCCTGGAATCCAGTTCATGTGATGATCTTGGCCATGTCTCAAGATTCCTAGTCCTAAACCTTAAACCCTGAGCACCCTGGGAGAGTCTGTCACAGGGCTGCACCTGGGCCAATGCCAGCCATTCAGTGGACACGGGAGCAGGGGGTTTAGTGGGAACACAGGGCTTCTTGAGCCCTGTCCTGAAGCAGCCCCGGCGGGGAGCCATTGTCACCTCCTTCCCCCATGCCCCAGTTGGTTCCTCTGGCCTGTGAGTATTGCCGGAGCACCTTCCACGTGCCAGGCCTGCAGGAACTAGGGACACAGAGGCGCCCGAGACAGACGAGACCCTGTCTGCAGGAGGAGTCCGTCAACAAATGAGATCCTTGCCGGTCAGATGAGTGCTGTGAAAAAAATAAACACAACTGGGTAACGCAGTAGAGAGTGACGGGGGGATGCCTGGCTTGAGAGGATCACTTTTGAACGAAGATTTAAATGACAAGAAGAATTCAGCCATAAAAAACCTGGGGGCAGTGCATTCCAGGCCAAAGAACCGGCAAGGTCCACACCCCGAGGCAGGTGTGCTCAGAGGCAGAGGGGGACAGTGTGGGGCGTTACGTGGGGTCAGGGGACGGCGGCCAGGCGACGTGGGGCCCTGCGGTTCAGGACAGGGCCTTTAATCCGAATGCAGTGGGAAGCCGCGGGGTGTTCAAGCACAGTTCTGTGACGATATGTTTTGAACACGTACTGTACGAGGCATCATTCTTAGCCTGTGACGCAACTGAGGTGACACTTACAAGGTGCTGTTATTCACACTGTTTATTTATTTATTTGTTTGGGTTCTTTTGTTTTTGTTTGCTGTTGTTGTTTTGAGACAGAGTCTTGCTGTGTCGCCCAGGCTGGAGTGCAATGGCGCGATCTCGGCTCGCTGCAGCCTCCGCCTCCCGGGTTCAAGCGATTCTCCTGCCTCAGCCTCCTGAGTAGCTGGGATTACAGGTGCCCGCCACCACGCCCGGCCAAGTTTTGTATTTTTTTTTTTTTTTTTTTGAGACGGAGTCTCGCTGTCGCCCAGGCTGGAGTGCAGTGGCGCAATCTTGGCTCACTGCAGGCTCCGCCCCCTGGGGTTCACGCCATTCTCCTGCCTCAGCCTCCCGAGTAGCTGGGACTACAGGCGCCCGCCACCTCGCCCAGCTAATTTTTTGTATTTTTAGTAGAGACGGGGTTTCACCGTGTTAGCCAGGCTGGTCTTGAACTCCTGACCTCAGGTGATCCACCCGCCTCAGCTTCCCAAAGTGCTGAGATTACAGGCGTGAGTCACTGCGCCAGGCCTAAATGTGTTTTGAATTTTGTTTTACATTTTTAATTTTTTTTTTTTTTTTTTTTGTGGGAGTCTCACTCTCTCGCCCAGGCTGGAGTGCAGTGGCACCATCTCGGCTCACTGCAGCCTCCATCTCCCAGGCTCAAGCAATCCTCCCACCTCAGCCTCCCAAGTAGCTGGGTCTACAGGCATGTACCAACATGCCTGGCTAATTTTTGTATTTTTTGTAAAGACGAGGTTTCGTTATGTTGCGCAGGCTGATGTTGAACTTCTGGCTTCAGTGGATCCACCTGCCTCCGCCTCCCACAGTGCTGGATTACAGGCGGGAGCCCCCGTGCCTGGCCCAGACTGTTTTTATATATGAGGAATGAGGCTCAGAGAGTGACTCAGATGAAGTCACGTGAGTGGCTTAGCCGAGGGGCGACGTTCAGACCCCGGCCACTCAGCCTCAGCGCAGGCTCTCACCCGCGGTGTCCTGCCTTCCGTGGCCGGTTGGGGTTGGGCTGCGTGCCCCAGATGGGAGCGTCTGGAGACGCCGGGCTCCTGCCCGTCAGGCATCAGTGTGGTGCCCGTCCTGGCACGCTGTGCATAGCAACAGGCAAGACGGTTCTTCTCGACGACGCCACTGAACGTGAGACTCGGAGCAAGGCAAGGCCTGGGAGGGGCCGCTCAGAGCTGACCTGGGCCCTGGAATTGCTGGAGCCCCTCACGTCCCCGGCAGCAAGCTCCATGCCCAGAAAGTGTTCTGGGCCCGGGCAGGGAGGGTGAAGCTGGTATCAGAGAAGGCTGTTGATGCTGCTTTTTTTTTTTTTTTTTTTTTTTTTGAGATGGAGTCTCGCTCTGTCGCCCAGGCTGGAGTACAATGGCACAATCTCGGCTCACCGCAACCTCCGCCTCCTGGGTTCAAGCGGTTCTCCTGCCTCAGCCCCCTGAGTAGCTGGGTTTACAGGCATGTGCCACCACGCCGGGGTAATTTTTGTATTTTTAGTAGAGACAGGGTTTCTCCATGTTGGCCAGGCTGGTCTCGAACTCCTGACCTCAGGTGATCCTCCCACCTAGGCCTCCCACAGTGCTGGGATTACAGGTGTGAACCACCGCGCCCAGCCCTGTTAATGTTTCTTAACCACTCCAGGTCCAGCTCGAGGCTTCAGAGCCCATGGAGGTCTGACAGGTCCTTGGCCTTCCCGTGGCCTCCAGCGTGAAGCTTCCTGGTCAGGACCACAGAAGGCCTCTCATCTTGGACTTTGACCTCTGAGGGCGCCCCTTTCCTTTCAGGACAGGGCCTCCGTGTTGCTTTGGCCCTGGCCTGTTCCTTTTCTCAAGAGGGCCCCACTGCCCCTGCCCTTGCCACTCTGGCATCCTCGACCTGCCCTGGGCTGGGGCAGGGCCGGCTTCCTGGCTGGTATTTGTAGCCCAGTTCTGAGCTGAAGCTGAAGCCTCCAGGCTGCCTGCACAGGGAGGCAGTGGTGGGGTGGGCTGGCCCTGAGGAAGACGGAGCCCTAGGCCGCTGGGGGAGATGTGCCTGGCTGTGGGGCCTCCAAGAGCAGCCCAGGTTTGGATTTTGTCTGCTTCTCCTCAAGGTCAGCCATGCCCAGCCCGGGGGCTAAAAGCAAAGTGGGTGCCAGGGCAGGCAGAGGCTCTGGAGTGGACGTGGGGCCGGCAGAGGCGCTGGAGTGGACGTGGGGCCGGCAGAGGCGCTGGAGTGGACGTGGGGCCGGCAGAGGCGCTGTAGTGGACGTGGGGCCGGCAGAGGCTCTGCAGTGGACGTGGGGCCGGCAGAGGCGCTGGAGCGGACGTGGGGCAGGCAGAGGCTCTGCAGTGGACGTGGGGCCGGCAGAGGCTCTGGAGCGGACGTGGGGCAGGCAGAGGTGCTAGAATGGACGCTGGGGAAGGCAGGTTGCTGCGGGTGCTAAGAGGCTAGCCTGCCTTGGACAAAAGCGTCGTTCAGAGCTGCTAATCCCCTTCCTCCCATGAGGCTTGGGGAACTTCGAAGTTCTCTGGTGTTGGAGGGGAAGCCAGCCGAGGCCCTGGGACACGGCATCAGCCCGAGCCTATCTGTGGCTGGCCTGGGTATGGCAGGTGGGCACACCTTGGCTGCAGGACACCTTGGCTACAAGGGAGCCTGGCTGACCCTGCAGGGTGAGGGCTGGAGAGGCGGAGCCTGCCTGGCCTAGCAGTGTGGATGCCAAGCCATGGGAAGATGTGTGGAGAGTTTATGGAGCCTGGCCCGGTGTCCCCAACCCAGCTGCTGAGCTGGAAGCCAGGGGTAGGTCCTGGCAGCCCCTCCCTCTCTGCCCTGCCTCTCTCGGAGTCGCTCGGAGCAGTCACGTTGACGGAATCCTCCGGCGCCTCCTCGAGGGAGGAGAGGCAGGGTCTTGGCAACTCCCGTCTCCCCCGTTGCCAGCTTGCCAGCCCCGCCGTGCCTCTCACGCCTGTGGTCTGCCCCAATGACAGGCCGGCTTCGGTGTCCCAAGGGGACCCAGCCCTGAGCGTGGGGCTGCCCTTGGGGGAGGGCAGGGGAAAGCCAGCCCGGGCTGCCACCGTGGCCGCTGGCCTGGGAGCCCCAGGAAACGTGCCCACCCTCAGACCCGATGCCTGGCTCAGGGCCTGGGCTCCGCGGCCCCTCCAGGGCAGGCGTGAAATGTGCCCACACAGCTCCACCTTCCACGTGGTTCCCTGTCCGGGGGCCACTTGCACTGAGGTCCTTCTGGAGTCATTTTCTGTTTTTTTTTTTTTTTTTTTGAGACAGAGTCTTGCTCTGTTGCCCAGGCTGGAGTGCAGTGGTGCTATCTTGGCTCACTGCAACCCCTGCCTCCCGGGTTCAAGTGATTTCCGGCTAATTTTGTATTTTTAGTAGAGATGGGGTTTCGTCAGGTTGGCCAGGCTGGTCTCGAACTCCTGAGCTCGAGTGATCCGCCCGCCTCTGCCTCCCAGAGTGCTGGGATTACAGGCATGAGCCACCGCGCCCGGCTGGGAGTCATTTTCTAGCGTTCCTGTCCCACCTCTCAGGAACAGATTTACCACCTTTGTTGTGAAGAAGCATTTTTTTTTTTTTTCTGCCGCCAGGCTGGAGTGCAGTGGCACAATCTCAACTCCGGCTCACTGCAACCTCCGCCTCCCGGGTTCAAGCGATTCTCCTGCCTCAGCCTCCCCAGTAGCTGGGATTACAGGCACCCGCCACCACGCCTGGCTAATTTTTGTATTTTTAGTAGAGACGGGGTTTCGCCACGTTGGTCAGGTTGGTCTCGATCTCCTGACCTTGTGATCCGCCCGCCTCGGCCTCCCAAAGTGCTGGGATGACAGGCGTGAGCCACCGCACCTGGCTGAAGAAGCACTTTTTTTTATGAACCTCTGCAACCCCCTCTGAGGGAAACCCTCCCGCATTCTGGGATGCCGGGGCTCAGAGGGTGGAGGGTAGAAGAGCGCCAGCCGTGAGAGGCAGGATGGGGCGGCCCCCGAGGGCAGGGCTGTGCCTGGAGGCAGGGCTCCTCGGGGGGTCAGCTCCTGGGCGGTGGGAGTGACCGAGTGGGCTCCTGAGGGAAGCGGCTTTCAGGAAGGAGGCGGAGGCCTGGGAGCTCTTGGGGCCCTGGCAAATGTGGTCTTCAGATTCCCGTCGTCCAGTGAGCCCCTGGATCACGTCCTGAGTGGCGTCCACTGAAGGCTGCTTGGGACCTCTGCTCCCCCCTCCACTGAGACCCCCAGTGGCCAGTTCTAAGTCCCACCTGCCTTGGGCAGGGCCACCACAGGCCCCTTACTGTGGATTAAAGGGCCCTGGGTGAGGGCTTGTGGGAGGGGAGGTGGTGGAAACCATCTCCGAAGACCTTGGGGCGAGCTGCGTGCTGGAGTGGAGAGTGTGGCCCAGCAGGCAGGAGCACTGGGTTGGAATGGGGGCTCTGCCACCTCCGAGGGAGCAGGAGTGGAGACCGGAGGGAGCGTGCCCCTGAATCCGAGCACGGGGAGCTGGCCGGGAGCAGCCCTCCGGGCAGAGGCAGGAGAAATGGGGTCACCTGCCCCAGGGGGTGAGAGGTGAGCCGAGAGGAAGGGCTGAGACCCTCAGGGGCATCCCCAGGATGTTCCTGAAACTCAGCCCTGGAGGACGCTCAGGTGTGCGTGGAGCACCCTCTGCCCTGGAGCCTCAAATCCTCTCCCCGCTGCGGGGCCACTTTGCTGATTCCTGCCCCAAACATGAGGTCACTTCGGTCCAGAAAGGCGAGGCGACCTCCACCAGCCACCTACGGGATTCTTGGCAGAGAATCCACGCTCACCTTCGGGTCTTCACTCCTGCTCCCTCGGAGGTGACGGAGCCCCATTTCAACCCGGTGCCCCTGCCTGCTGGGTTTTCGCCGCAGGGGACCTGGTCGTCTCCTGGACATGAGCCCCCAGCGCCAGCGTTTCTCTTTGGGAGAGGCCTGAATGCGCAGTCATGATTTGACCAGGCGAAGTGCCCAGACAAAGAGAAAACAGTCGGCCGGATGCAGGGGCTCACGCCTGGAATCCCAGCACTTTGGGAGGCCGAGGCGGGTGGATCACCTGAGGTCAGGAGTTGGAGACCAGCCTGGCCAACACGGTGAAACCCCGTCTCTACTAAAAATACAAAAATTAGCCGGGCGTGGTGGCTCGTGCCTGTAGCCCCAGCTACTCGGGAGGCTGAGGCAGGAGAATCGCTCGAACCCGAAGGTGGAGGTTGCAGTGAGCTGAGATCGCGCCACTGCACTCCAGCCTGGGCGACAGAGTGCGACTCCGTCTCAAAAAAAAAAAAGAAGGAAATAGTTGAGCTGCTCTCAGTGACCATGTACGGCCCAGTCGTCGACCCCTGGCCCAGTCGTTCGTCCGCCTTTTGGCTCCACGATGTTTTGCAGCCTGTTTCTGTCTCCTGCCTGTGGCCCACCTTGGGGAGGCCCCAGTGCTCGTGTGCCCCTGGTGGTCTTCCCAGCCTGACCCTTCACGAGCTCCCTCTGTCTCCCTGCTTCAGGTGATCAGACATCCCCCAAGTACCTGCTCCCCTGGGCCCATGGAAGGCACCTGTCTGCTGGGACCAGAGGGTGAGCAGTCAGGTGTCCCATCCACCAACGTCCCAGGGGCCAGCCCCTCCACCCCGGTGCTAATCTCATCAGGAAATAGCACAGTCCACATTTCCCAGGAGTTATAAATAGCCAGCGCAGTTGCGGGCAGCAGCGTTTCTCTGGAAAATGTACGCTGTGCCTCTCCCTCCCTCCTCTGTGTTTAAATGATATCCTGAAATAGACTTGGTTTCTGGAGGCTGATAGCCTCCTGGGAAACAGAGCGTCGTTGTCAGGGCACCGTGGGGCCAGGCAGGCCTCTCTGAGCGGATACCAGGGCCACACCTGCAGCAGGCACCAGGGCCACACCTGCAGCAGATACCAGGGCCACACCTGCAGCAGGCACCAGGAAGATGTCAGGGCTTGAGGGGCTTACAGCTTAGGAAAGTGCCCCTGGCCCAGGCCTGGCCTCAGAAGGGGCTGGAGTGTGTGAGACAGCAGCAAGTGTCGCCTGGGAGGCTGCAGAGGGTAGATCTTAGTGGAGCAGGAAGGCAGAGAGGACCCAAAGTTTCCCACTGTGACCTGGGGCTCTCCGAGAAGGCTCTCTGGAGGAGGCGGGGCGAGAACTGGGCCTTAGCATCAGGAGGTGCAGTCCTGGGTCAGATGTGCCCAGGTTGAACCTGGCAGCTGGAGCGGAAGTGATGGGCACGAGGCAGCGGGAGGGCTGTACTGGGGGTGGCCTCCCAGCACCAGGTCTGCCCACCGGGTCGGGACACACACCAGGAGGCCCGATGTTGCCTTTCTGAGGAAGCAGCAGTTACAGCAGCTGCGGGTCATGGACTTCACACATTCTGCAGTTTCAGCAGAGAGGGTGCTGGGGGCCTTGATTTTGAACCCCAGCTCTGACTTCCTAGGTGTGCACTGGGTAAATTCCTCACTCTCGTTAAGCTGCAGCATCCTCATCTGTGAGATGGGAGCGGCTATGAGAGCTTAAACCGCATATGTCTGCTATCATGATCATGAACGCAGATGCTGTGTGTAGAGGATTCATCAGTGTCAGACTTGCAGGAAGAGCTCGAGATAAGTCCGTTGCTCTCACTCTTCCATAACAGCCCTGTGAGTCAGGTGTGGATGCCTCCATGAGGAAATTGAAGTTCACGGAGGTGAAAGGCCTTGCCCGAGTGCGCACGGTTGAATGGGAGACTCAGATCAGCCTGCCTCCAAATCCTGCACACTCCCCCCGACCAGGTTGTGTCCAGGTCCCCCTGAGACTTGGGAAGGGACCATTGGCTCAGCTTCCTGCAGAAGCTGCCAGGAGGCACCCAGTCGTGGGAAGCTGGGGCGGAGGAGGGGCTGTGGGTGAATCGGACCAGGGGCCATGGAATTGGCCTGAGGCTTATGCTGATGTGTGGAGAGACCTGCCTCAAGAAGGGGTGGTCTCAAAACATCGAACTGCGCCCCATAAATACATACAACTGCAATGTGTCAATTAAAAAATAAGGGCCCGGGCCAGGCGTGGTGGCTCACGCCCGTAATCCCAGCACTTTGGGAGGCCGAGGTGGGCGAATCACGAGGTCAGGAGATCAAGACCATCCTGGCTAACACGGTGAAACCCCGTCTCTACTAAAAATACAAAAAATTAGCCGGGGGTGGTGGCGGGCGCCTGTAGTCCCAGCTACTCAGGAGGCTGAGGCAGGAGAATGGCGTGAACCCGGGAGGCGGAGCTTGCAGTGAGCCAGGATCGCGCCACAGCACTCCAGCCTGGGCGACAGAGCAAGACTCCGTCTCAAAAATAAATAAATAAATAAAAAATAAGGGCCCACACAGTGGTACATGCCTGTAATGCCAGCTCTTCAGGAGGCTGAGGCAGGAGGATCACTGAAGCCCAGGGCAACATAGCAGCCTGGACGGCACAGTGAGACCCTGTCTCTAGAAAAATAAATACAGGCCGAGTGCGGTGGCTCACGCCTGTCATCCCAGCACTTTGGGAGGCCAAGGTGGGCGGACCACCTGAGGTCTGGAGTTCAAGACCAGCCTGGGCAACATGGTGAAACCCCATCTCTACTAAAAATAAAAAAATTGGCCAGGCATGGTGGCTCACACTTGTAATCCCAGCACTTTGGGAGGCCAAGGTGGGTGGGTCATTTGAGGTCAGGAGTTCGAGACCAGCCTGGCCAACATGGTGAAACCCTGTCTCTACTAAAAATACAAAAATTAGCCGGGTGTGATGGTGCGCACCTGTAGTCCCAGCTAATTGGGAGGCTGAGGCAGAAGAATCGGTTGAACCTGGGAGACGGGTTGCAGTCAGCCGAGATCACACCACTGCACTCCAGCCTGGGCAACAAGAGTGAAACTCTGTCTCAAAAAAAAAAAAAAAAAAAAAAGAGGGCATGGCCGCTCCAGAATGTTTCTTCCAAGGGTAGCATCTCAGTTGACAAAGAGCATTTGATTCCTCCACCCTGTGTGGCTACTGCTGGGGGACAGAGCTGGGGACAGACCCAGGCCCGGCTCCGTGTCCAGACGAGATGAAGGAACTACGAGGGACAGCCTGTGTGATCCAGGAGGGTTTGCAAAGAACAGAAGCAGCTTAGAGGGGAGAGAGGTTTCGGGAAAGTAAGGCCAGAGCTGGGGCTTCCTTTGAGACCCTGTAGGACCCCTGCCTCCAGCCGGGCTGGTGATGGCCTCACGCTTCCCGTGTGTGAAGAGGTGCCCGGAGCAGTGGTTCTCCCTGAGGGGCACTTGGTTCTCTGCACACACCCAACTTCTGTCTCCTGTTCTGGGTTCCATCCCTTCTCTGGGCAGGGCGAACCCAGTGCAGACCCAGACCCCGTCGGAGGCTTGGGTACCACCTGCCCCCAGCCGGTGTGTGGGTGATAGATGTGGGAAGGACCTACATCGAGCTGCAGGAAGCCCAAGGCTGACCCAGATCCAGTTTCCCTTCCGTGATGACAGTGGCCTGTTATAGCAACTGCGTTCAAACCGTGGCACGCACACCTCAGAGTGCACAGAGACGTTCTGAGGGCGACGTGGGCAGGAGAGTTTTCAGGAAATCAGTTTGCAGATTCTCAGCTGCCATAGGTGCTATTGCCAGAAAGCCATCTGCCTGAGAGCCAGCATCTCGCCATCCTGTCCTCTGCAGAGGAGAGGCCTGAGGCTGGCTGTCGGGGCTTGGCCCGGGGTGCGCAGACCTCCTGGGTGGGGAACAGAGGGGCTTTTAGAAATGTTGGGGTAGGGGCCAGGCATGGTGGGTCACACCTGTAATCCCAGCACTTTGGGAGGCCGAGGCAGGTGGATCGCCTGAGGTCAGGAGCTCGAGACCAGCCTGGCCAACATGGTGAAACCCCATCTCCACTACAAATAAAAAATTAGCTGGGCGTGGTGGCAGGCACCTGTAATCCCAGCTACTCGGGAGGCTGAGGCAGGAGAATCACTTGAACCCGGGAGGTGGAGCTTGCAGTGAGCCGAGACTGCACCACTGCACTCCAGCCTGGGCGACAGAGCGAGACTCCGTCTCAAAAAAAAAAAAAAAAAGAAACGTTGGGGTCAGTGTTCAGAAAGTAAAAGACTCTAGTGGCCACTTAGAACCTTTCAAAAGTCAGGTGGTATCCAGTTCTTTGCCTTCCACAAAACTGATGGAGGACTCAATTTTCAACTGAGAGATCATTTCAAGTAATTTTCAGTAATAGGTATATATGCGATTTAAGGCGGATAGCATGGAGAGAGGTTAAAGAATGGTGTAACGCGGCTGTGATAAAACTCTTTTCGACCTCATCTACTTCTTTATGTGAACAAAATGTTTCATTGTTCACATATTTCTTGTTCATTTTAGAGACATGGTCCTACATTGCCCAGGCTGGTCTCGAACTCCTGGGCTCAAGTGGTCCTGTGGCTGGGAGCCACAGCACCTGCACATCTTTACAACAAAACCAGAAACATGAACCAAATTGATGCTGAGCCTCGTTTCACTCTAGCAAAAAATAATACCCTATAGATACGCGAACTAAAGCAAAAAATGTTCCGCCCATCTCATTGAGAGAGCATTCCACCAAAAAGTTACTCTGCTACTTAATATTTATTAAAATGTATAATGAGGCCAGGCGCGGTGGCTCACGCCTGTAATCCCAGCACTTTGGGAGACCGAGGCGGGTGGATCACCTGAGGTCGGGAGTTCGAGATCAGCCTGACCAACATGGAGAAACCCCATCTCTACTAAAAATACAAAAAATTAGCCGGGTGTGGTTGTGTGTGTCTGTAATTCCAGCTACTCGGGAGGCTGAGGCAGGAGAATCGCTTGAACCCAGGAGGCGGAGGTTGCTGTGAGCCAAGATCGCACCATTGCACTCCGGCCTGGACAATAAGAGCGAAACTCTGTCTCAAAAAAATAAATAAAATGTATATAATGTGTCGGCTTACTTTTTTTTTTTTTTTCTTGAGACAGGGTCTCACTCTGTCGCCAGGCTGGAGTGCAGTGGTGTGATCTTGGCTCAATGCAACCTCCACCTCCTGGGTTCAAGCGATTCTTCCATCTCAGCC
This sequence comes from Homo sapiens, assembly GCF_000001405.40. NCBI lineage: Eukaryota > Metazoa > Chordata > Mammalia > Primates > Hominidae > Homo > Homo sapiens. The sequence goes on along the minus strand of NT_187613.1, from coordinate 54,562 downwards.
TCCCAAGTAGTAGCTTGGACTACAGTGCCCGCCACCACACCCGGCTCACTTTTGTATTTTTAGTAGAGACAGGGTTTTGTCATGTTGGCCAGGCTGGTCTCGAATTCCTGACCTCAGGTGATCCACCAGCCTCAGCCTCCCAAAGTGCTGGGATTACAGGCGTGAGCCACCGTGCCTGGCTGTCTTTTTAATTATGTACTGCCAATCATGGTACTAACTAATCCTGAATATATTTTGAATATTTGGAGCCTTGTGGTCTCTGGAAATTTTTGTTTTCAATGTATACAGATTTTTTTTGTGGAAGCAAAATGTAATGGTGAATAAAGGACTTGAAAATATAAAAATATAAACTAGGACAACATTCTTTAGGAGAAATGGAATAGAAACAAATTCAAGGAGAGAAGATCCAGGAGCTCTGTGAGGGAAAGAAGAGCTTGTTTGTGTAGTTTTTTGTTGTTGTTGTTTTTTTTGAGACGGAGTCTCACTCTGTCGCCCAGGCTGGAGTGCAGTGGTGTGATCTCCGCTCACTGCAACCTCCACCTACTGGGTTCATGCCATTCTCCTGCCTCAGCCTCCCCAGCAGCTGGGACTACAGGCGCCCACCACCGCGCCCGGCTAATTTTTTGTATTTTTTTTTTTTTAGTAGAGACGGGGTTTCACCGTGTTAGCCAGGATGGTCTCGATCTCCTGACCTCGTGATCCGCCTCCCTCGGCCTCCCAAAGTGCTGGGATTACAGGCATGAGCCACCGTGCCTGGCCTGTTTTCTTAATATTGAATTTTGAGAGTTTTATATAATAAGCCCTGAAATTGGGTAATATTAGCCCTATAGCTGTGTTCTTTTTCAACATTGTTTAGATGTTTTTTCTTTTTTTTTGAGACGGAGTCTCGCTCTGTCGCCCAGGCTGGAGTGCAGTGGCGCGATCTCGGCTCACTGCAAGCTCTGCCTCCCGGGTTCACGCTATTCTCCTGCCTCAGCCTCCCAAGTAGCTGGGACTACAGGCGCCCGCCACCACGCCCGGCTAATTTTTTGTATTTTTAGTAGAGACGGGGTTTCACCGTGTTAGCCAGGATGGTCTCGATCTCCTGAGCTCGTGATCTGCCTGCCTTGGCCTCTCAAAGTGCTGGGATTACAGGCGTGAGCCGCCACGCCTGGCCTCGTGTAGTTTTTAAATGGATGAGTGTGGGTATCACGTCGCTGGGGTATTTAGATCCCACTGAATCCATGAGAAGGAATGATGTCACACTTTTATTTTAGGATGGCAATATTGACATGATTTTGGAAATCATACTCTTTGCAACTATTTAAACTTGGAAATGTTCAGATTTTGACTTCAGAAAGTGCCAGGGAGCGCACAGTTGCTCAGAATTAGTTCGCAGGTGCACAGGCAGACGGGCGCGAAGGCCCCCGAGTTACAGAAACAGAACGTGGAACAGTCCTGTGTGAGGGTTGCCTCTGACCTCCCCTGGGGTCCGCACCTCCCTGGGCTCCAGCCCGAGCCTGGGGACTTCCCCTGTGGAGGATTTGCTTATTTGGGAGCCAATGGCTTGACCCAAGTTTTCTCCCTGAATCTTCCCAGCAATCCCAGGGAGGCAGGTTCTGTTGCAGATGGAATAACTGAGGCTTAGTGAGTTTAAAACTTGCCAGGATTCAAACCCAGGCAGCCTCCTGTGCGCGGGCTCCTGACTCTTCAACACCTCCACGTGGATGGGCTGGTTCCCTCCTGATGGACTTGAGCGCCTCCTAATCAGGTGCTTACCTTTTGTGAGCCTCAGTTTCTGCATCTGTGAAATGGGGTAATAATACCCATGTCCCGGGCTGGCAGCCAGGAGTGCCTAACAGGGTGTGCCCTGCCTCCCCCACGGTGGGTAACAGAGTGTGCCCTGCCTCCCCCACGGCGGGTAACAGGGTGTGCCCTGCCTCCCCCACGGCGGGTAACAGGGTGTGCCCTGCCTCCCCCACGGCGGCCACAGGGGCCTGGGGGCTAGGGTCCCCCCAAAGGGTTGATTTCCAGGTAAACATCAGCTTATCCCAGCTGCTCACTTCCGCCTTCCTGACTGTGTAGCTGGCTCTGAGCAGTGCTGACCCACGGGGAGATCTCTGGCTTGGCCTCCGAGCTGGCACCTCTCTCACCCACATTCTCTCTCTGCAGCTGGACCCACAAACCGTGGAGACCAAGAACTGGCACACGGACGTGATTGAGATGAACGGGGTGAGCCGGGGATGGGAATGATCAGTGGCGTGAGCCGGGAGGTGGAACGTCTGTGCAGCAGGTGGGCAGCCCGGCCCTGTGGCTGCTCCTGGGGCCGCTGTGCCGCCTCGACCTCCCCGCAGCCCAGCCCCCTCTCCCCTCCTGCCCACACCCTGCCCGCTGCTGTCCTGCAGGTGTTGTGTTGAGGGAGACCTGGGTGTGAGCTAGCCCTCATTTGCAGTCTTGGGGAGGGGACCCCTGTGTTTTGGGGGCATTCCTCGGGCACTCACACCCTGGGGAATCTTTACCTGCCTCACCCCCCAACCAGATCAAAGTGGAATTTTCCATGAAATTCACCAGCCGAGATATGAGCCTGAAGAGGACCCCGTCCAAAAAGCAGACCGGCGTCTTCGGTGTGAAGATCAGCGTGGTGACGAAGTAGGTGCTGCCTCGGGTCTCCCAGTCCTGGCGTCGGTGCCCCGGGTCCCCCCCAGCCCGGGCCCCCCAGCCCTCCCCGCCGGTGCCCATCCTGGCACCTAATCAGTTACCCCCCGCTCGGCGGTGGCAGATGGCCGGTGTGGATCTAGAGTGGCCGCAGAGGCGCTCACAGGACACTTCAGAAGCACGCGAGCCAGCACCTAAACGCTGGAAGGTCTCTTGTGAGATCCCAGATCGTCTGCTCCTCGTAACAAGCGGGAAGCTCTGTCAGCCGGGGGCCTACGTTTGGGCTCGGCACCAACGGGGACTGGCGGCCCCTCGGGAAAGGGCACGTGTCCCCCGGTTCACCACCACCCTGGCCCCTTGTCTCAGGCCTGACCCACCTCCTCATGTGGGCTGCCTGCTGGGCCTCCTACAAGCATCTGAATCTGGGGGACGTTCTTTCCCTAGAGTCTCGGCCTTACCTTCCCAAGTTCCCAAGGCTTCTCCTGCCCACGTCCGTCGATGCCCCTTCGGCAGGCCTCGGGTGGGCTGGCTGGGGTGGGGTGCGGTGGCCTCTTTCTCTGCCCTGCCCCTGCCCCCGCCCCAGCTCTCCATCCCAAATGCTAGAAGCTCTCCAGGGTGTGTGTGTGCTGGGTGGGGGTTGCTACGGGAGAGCTGTCGTGGGGGCTGCCCTCCACCCATCCTCACGCTCCACCCCAGGCGGGAGCGCTCCAAGGTGCCCTACATCGTCCGGCAGTGTGTGGAGGAGGTGGAGAAGAGGGGTATCGAGGAGGTTGGCATCTACAGGATATCGGGCGTGGCCACGGACATCCAGGCGCTCAAGGCCGTCTTCGATGCCAGTGAGTCTGGGAGGCCCAGCCGGGGCAGGTGTGGCTGTGTCTGAGCAGGCTGGTGGGATGGACAGGAGAGCTCGGGGGAACCAGGAGCCTCCCTGGAGAGGAGGCTTGCTCTGCTTCAGAGTCCCCGTGGCAAGTGCTTTCTCTTGTAATCCCCTCCCCTCCAATCTCTTGTCCCTTGCTGCAGGTAAGCAACTGCAGAAACTCACAAGGGCCGACTCACTTGCCCAGGATGACCCAACTTGTAGGTTTTGGTTCTGGACTTAAAACTCAGATCTGACTCCAGTGTCTTTCTTGCTAGTTCCTGGGTGCCTGGTGAGCCGCAGGGAAAGAGCTTTGAGCCTGCACCTGCTGTCTCCAGGGCCCCAGGTCCCCTCTGGGGCAGTGCTGCCTCTGCGTGAAGCCCACCATGGTGAGGCCTGACCTTTCTGGTTTCTCCTCCCTGCTCCTGCTGGTTCAGGTGCAGCAGCCACATACCCCACTGTCAAGAAACCTGCACTGGCCAGGCAGGGATGAATCCGTGGGGAGCCTGGAGTGGAGGACGGGGTGGGGCCTGGGAACTGGCCGGCGTTGGTGCCTCTGTGCAGCCTAGAAGCTGAGGCTTTGTCGGAACATGCTTTTACGTGTGAAAAGTGTGCAATGCCTTCCAGAGAGGGGCTTAGCGATGGAGAGGTTCCAGTCGGAAGGAAGCTGCAGGCCACATGGTATGAATGTGGCTCTGAACTCTGGGTGATGGATTTCACTCCCCAAACACCCTTTCCCAAGCAGCCACAGCAGATGGCCCCCAGGCTATCTCTCCCTGTTCCCCCAACCCCGACCCACAGAGCCGAGTCACAGACACCTGTGGGCCCTCTCTACATCCTGCTCTTCCAGGGGAGACCAGAACCAGAGCTGGAGTGGGTGGGGGCTGTGTCAGGATGGGTCGGGGGTGGAACGGGGCTGCTGGCCCAGCTAAGGCTGCCTGACCTCGGCCCCACCCCTGCAGATAACAAGGACATCCTGCTGATGCTGAGTGACATGGACATCAACGCCATCGCCGGGACGCTCAAGCTGTACTTCCGGGAACTGCCCGAGCCGCTCCTCACGGACCGACTCTACCCAGCCTTCATGGAGGGCATCGGTGAGGCCCTGAGGGCTCCTAGGACTGGGCTGGGCCAGACTGAGCCAGGACTCCCTGCCCGGAGAAGTAACCAGCAGGAGAAATATCTGTGGCTTCCTTTGCTGGCTGACCTTCCCAGTGCACTGGGGCCTGTGGCTGAGGGGTCCGAGGGTGAGGTGTGGCCTGCTGGGACCTGGTGCAGACACTGGGCCCTTTCTCGCCTGCCTCTTGCCCCTGATGTCCCCATGGGCAGCCCCTTCTGCTTCCTATTTGGACGTTGGCCTCTTGCTTGGAAGCTCGAGCATCCAGGGAAGACTGCCCTGAGGTGAGTGGCCAGAAGCCAGCATCCCAGAACCAAGGAGGAGGCTGGCTTAAGCCATAGGGCACTCGAGATGGGTTGTGCTGAGCCTTCCAGCGGGACCACACACCGTCCCGTCACCTCTGCGGAGGGCCCCGGCCAGCAGGCCTTCCGCCTCCACCCACCTGGGCCAAACCCAGCCCCAAGGAATCCCTTCAGCCTTCTCTGCTCCTGGGGCAGACTGGAGCTTCAGCCCCCACGGAAGGCTGCTTGCACCCACGCTCCAGCAGCAGAAGGGGTGGAGAAAGAGAATCCACCGCTGGCAGGATATGTCCCTACTGGCTTAACCTTAGCCACACAGACCAGGGGGTGTCCTGTTACGAGACAGGGGATGCCCCAGCACCCAAGGCCTATGCAGTCAGCTGCAGGAAGGGGGTCTGCTCCCACCAGCCGGCCTCCTGGCTGAGTTACCAGTCGTGGTGGGGCCTCCTGGAGGAAGCAGCTGCTGACAGCCCACCCAGACACCAGGCCCTCCCCTGTGGGGTCTGCTCCCCAAAGGCCTGGAAGCCTGGGCTCTCTCCCGCAGGGGCCCACAGCCTCACGACCACAGGGGCCCTGGCGGGGAGCCCCAGGAGCCAAACGCCACACTGGCCCTTCTCTCCCACAGCCCTGTCAGACCCTGCTGCCAAGGAAAACTGCATGATGCACCTGCTCCGCTCCCTGCCCGACCCCAACCTCATCACCTTCCTCTTCCTGCTGGAACACTTGAAAAGGTAACGGGGAGCGGCCCCAACCCCACCTCCTCAGTCCCTCCTCATGAAAAGGTAACGGGGAGGGGCCCCAACCCCACCTCCTCAGTCCCTCCTCGTGAAAAGGTAACGGGGAGTGGCCCCAACCCCACCTCCTCAGTCCCTCCTCGTGGGCGCTGGCCTCCATCGGGCTGTCTGTGGGGAGTGAGAGTTTGCTTTCCAAGTTCTTGCACTCATGTTTTTCTGTTTTGAGAAATATTTGGGTCCCGTAACCAGTAGTAACCTCAAATATTGACCATAGAATGCTCAGAATGGCAGGGTGAGAGCCCAGGACTACAGGCAGGTTTTATAATCAGTGGGTCCCAACCTACTGGTGGTTCATTCAACGAATGTAGCCATTTCTAGATGCAGTGGGGGGTGGACAGCAGTGGGGGGTGGACAGCAGTGGGGGGTGGACAGCAGTGGGGAATGGACAGTAGTGGGGATGGACAGCAGTGGGGGAATGGACAGCAGTGGGGATGGACAGCAGTGGGGGACAGACAGCAGGAGGATACATTGTAAGCCTTGATGCAGGTGCTGCTTTTCAGTTACATAGAGACGTGTGGACTGTGTTACAGCATGGGTTGTATTGTGGGCCACAGTCAAAAAAGGTGAAACCCACTGGTCTTGGCCCACACCTCACTAGACATAGGGAAACTGAGTCCCCACACCAGGCGGAGACTTGCTTGGGTTAGTAGCAGACCTGTCCTTAGAGCCCTCAACTTCCAGATCCTAAATTCAGACCCTTCTTGCCTTCCCACCACCCTTTCTAGTCAGGTCCAACCAAGAGTGGCTAAAGTTGGTTGTACTTGTAGCAAAGTTCAGAGGTCCTCAGGCTTGCGTGGGGAGGTGGTCCCTGGGCGTCCCTTAAACCCACCTGCACGCCAGGACCGGGGAGCCCCCTCAGACTGCTCTGCGGAACAATTCTTCCCTGAGCTCAGCCCCAGCTCAGGGCCAGGCCCCCCGCTGCAGCTCAGCCACGCCAGGCTCGGGAGAGCCAGTGGAGACCTGGACGCGCCCGGGGCTGGTGTCTTGTTTTTCCCATCATGAAACATTTTTCCTCTGGTTTGGCCAGGACTAGAGCCCCAACCAATTCCGAAAGCATTTGGCAAGCCTTGTGGGGAGGAGTGGGAAGGGAAAATTCATTCGGCTTCCACCCTGGGAACTGGGCACAGTCTGTTCCCACATCTGGGCCCCTGGCTGGACCGTGTGCGCGCGTGTGGTGAGGGGCTGGCCCCGCTGCACAGCTGCCTGTTGGCATCACAGTGTTTGTTTGCCTGTTTCCAAAGCAGGCGCAGCCACAGCTCCTGCCTGGAGGGTGGGAATGATGGTATTGAGGGTGAGAGGCGCTGCTTAGGGTGGGTGGGTCTCAGCCCAGAAACATTTTTTGAGACTGAAGGAGAACCAGAGGCCCTCTGATATGTTTGCTGACCCTGGGCCTGCCTGGACACCAGCCCTGATGGCAGCTCCTGCTGTTACCCCAGGGAAGCATCGCAGAGCATCTGGCCTGTTGAGTAAGAGAAGCAGGAGAGGATCCAGAGGGAGGACAATCCTGGGTCCCACGAGGCAGACGGAGAGGCATAGGAGGCAGCCCTGGGTCCCATGAGGCAGACCCTTCCGGAGAGGCACAAGAGGAAGCCCTGGGTCCCACGAGGCCGACCTTTCCGGACAGGCACGGGGGGACAGTCCCCGGGCTCATCTGGAAGTAGGGCTGCTCCTGCCCCAGCACAGCTGGCAGAGCCCCGGGTCTAGCTAGTGACTCCTGCTGGGCTCCAGGCCCTGCCTGCCTTTCTCCCCTGCCCCACCCACCTTAACTCTTCTTTTGGGCCACTTAGCACATGAGAAAGCAACAGAGCGGTAGGTCCTGGAGGCAGCTACCGGGGTTCAAATCCCAGCTCTACCAGTTGCTGGCTGTGTGACCTTGGGCAAGTCACTTAACCCCTCTGTACTTCGGTTTCTTCATCTACACGATGGGGGTGACGATAATCATATTTACCTCAAAGGACTGCGGCGAGTGTGAGTTGTTCCAGGGAGTTTTCAGAACAGTATCTGCTCTCAGGCAAGGGAGCTGGAGTTGGCATCTGTGGGCTCCCTGGCTCTGGCAGTTCACCATCAGTTCAGGGGGACCCAGCAGCTGGAGATGTTAGCACAGAACACTGGCACATGGCTGGGGCCCTGCTCTCCTGGATGAGTCCCCTTCCCCCGGGGGAGGTCCCCACTCCTAGGAGACAGAGACGAGGTGACCCCTTCCAGGAGTCCTTCAGGAGTTCCCACAGCGAAGGCCAAGGGTCCTGGAGCTCCGAGTGGCTGCTGAGGAAGGGCTTCTTTCCTCCCCATCTTCTCCTTCTTAGGGTTGCCGAGAAGGAGCCCATCAACAAAATGTCACTTCACAACCTGGCTACCGTGTTTGGACCCACGTTACTGAGACCCTCAGAAGTGGAGAGCAAAGCACACCTCACCTCGGCTGCGGACATCTGGTCCCATGACGTCATGGCGCAGGTACCCTGGCACCGCCCGGGCCCGTGGCTGGCGGAGGGTGACGGTCCCATGACGTCATGGCGCAGGTACCCTGGCACCGCCCGGGCCCGTGGCTGGCGGAGGGTGACGGTCCCATGACGTCATGGCGCAGGTACCCTGGCACCGCCCGGGCCCGTGGCTGGCGGAGGGTGACGGTCCCATGACGTCATGGCGTAGGTACCCTGGCACCGCCCGGGCCCGTGGCTGGCGGAGGGTGACGGTCCCATGACGTCATGGCGCAGGTACCCTGGCACCGCCCGGGCCCGTGGCTGGCGGAGGGTGACGGTCCCATGACGTCATGGCGCAGGTACCCTGGCACCGCCCGGGCCCGTGGCTGGCGGAGGGTGACGGTCCCATGACGTCATGGCGCAGGTACCCTGGCACCGCCCGGGCCCGTGGCTGGCGGAGGGTGAGACCAGCCCCTTAGGAGGAGAGAGAACAGCTCAGAGTCCCCACACCTCTTCCCTCGTGGGAAGCTGGGTTGATGGGCTATGGGGTGTCACCAGGGAGGCAGGACTGTAGACACTTCTGCCCCTCCCAGGCCAAAACAAACATGTGAGCCTAGACCAGGGCCCAGAGATGCTGGCTGCATTCTCAGGAGGGCCTCAGTCTCAGAAAGCAAGCCCAGGGGTGGGGAGATGCTGGGCCCTTGTCCTCATGGGTGGAAGCTCTGAGGTTGCTTCCAAGGGCGGGAGGCTTCCCTGGGATTCCTGCAAGACCCAGAGCAGGGGCCGGACTGTGGCCGCCTCAGGACAGAGCAGAAGCTTATGGCCAGGTTGGGGAAGTGGCCCTAGGCCCCCGACCCTCTGCCCCGTAGCACCTTCCACGGCTGCAGAAAGGCAAACACACCTGGGCTCCCCAGGAAGGGGCGGTGGCCGGAGCCAGTCTAGGGAGTGGGAGGGGCAACACAGGCTGGAGTCAGCAAGGACGAGGCCTAGGACAGGGAGCCCAGCCTCCGCCTTCCTGTCTCCCCACAGGTCCAGGTCCTCCTCTACTACCTGCAGCACCCCCCCATTTCCTTCGCAGAACTCAAGCGGAACACACTGTACTTCTCCACCGACGTGTAGCCCGAGGCAGGGTGGCTGCGGGCGGGTGGTGGAACCAGCCCCTCCAGCCTGGGGTCCAACTCAGACTTGAAAGACTGCAATAGAAAACTCCCAAACCCAGCACTCCAGACTCGAGGGAAGCCAGCTTCCAAGAACTGGAATGCGTACGTCTTTTGTGCCACCTTGTACAAAGCCGGCTGCCCAGCCCCAGCCTCACCACCGCATCCCACCTCCTGCCCTCCATACCTCTAGTTGTGTCTGATGCTCCGTGCTGTTCGGGAATTGTTTTATGTACACTTGTCAGGCAGAAAAGGTAGTGACCGGCCCGGCGTGGGCACACAGACAGCCCGCTTTGTTCTTTCATTTCCTCCAGCACTTTCTTTCCGCCTGAGTCCAGCCCAAGGCCTTTTATTTTGCGCTGTGTAACTGCTGCCAGCTTCTCTCTTGGCCCTGCTCCCAGATGGCGGTCTCCTGGCAGCCTCCCCTCAGTCTTCCTCCACCCGCTCTTCCTTCCCAGCCTGCCTGCATGCATGTGCACCCTTGGTCTTCGCTCCATCGCCTTGAAAGCTCTGAAGAGGCCCTGGGTTGCCGCGGCAGCAGTGGTCTGTTTGATGCTGCCGTTTGCCGCTGCCGGCCCCTCCTCAGACTCCGCCTTTGGGAGCACACCTGCTTTGCCTTGCTGCCTGTGCAAATGTTGGACAAGCAGACACACTCACACTCGTCCCCAGCTTAGCACAGAGCTGGAGCGCCCATTTCTGGAATTTTCCGTTTGGGAATCTCCACTTCTGGGGTTTACCTGTTCGGCCTCCTGTCTATCAGTGAGGCATCTCTGACTGTTTCTTCTACTGCTTTTCAGTTCCCTTCCCTGCTGTTCTATTTCCTTTGAGTGTAAAGACTCACAGGTGACCTGCTATCGAGATAGCCAGAGGGTCAGGAGAGAATGGGGGAGGAGGCGGTCAGGCTGCTGAGGAAACACCACAGGCTGAACGGGGGAGGAATGCACATGCCACGCTGGGTGTCCCGGGTCGCGGGGAGGCAGCTCAGCTCTTAGGAGCAAGTTGTGGGGGCTTTTCAAGAGGGGCCAGGCTTCCTGGAGGGTGACTGATGTGGCCGAAGCAGGTGTCCAGGCAGGTAGGCTGCAGCCAGGAGCTCCCTGGCACCGCAGGACCTCGTGGTACTCTTGCCTTAGATTTTACACACACTCCACAGCCAAGCACTGCCACGGTCCTCCAGGACCTGGGAAGCAAAGGCACAGGCCCACGGTGGCCAGCCATTGTGGTGCCGCCCCAGCTTCTGGATACAGCCTTTTGGGTAAACACTGGGAACTCCAGAAGTTGTGGGGAGAGTGGGGAATCAGACAGCCGCCTCTAGGGGCTGGGTTCTGCTGGGGCCTCCTTGTTGGTGCTGTAGGCACCCGCCAGGGAGCAGGGACCCGACTTGCAGACGCATTGCCCGGTACTAGGAAGGAGTGAGGTGTGTTCCCACCGTACACTTCCCACACGAGCTGCGGCTGCCAGCCTCGGGCCATCAGCCTAGGAGAGCAGATGCAGCTCCAGGGGCTCGACTTATAGCCAGTTACAGCTCCCCGGCTCTTCTGTGTGGCAGAGCGTCGTTTCCGGGCCCTCAGGGCTGGGGAGCTCAGTTCCCATTGCTTGTGCTCAGGGCTGAGTCTTAAAGAAGGGTTTGCCGGCCCTAACGCTGCAGCGCGTGCGCGGTGAGAGGCCCTTTTTGAGCCTGTTTACTCCTGTGGCCTTGGGCAGAACAGTAAATACTCTGTGCACGGAGGAAAGACATGCCCAAGAGGAAGGAAGTACTGACCATCGGCTGCCTGTGAGCAGCTTAGCAAGGAGCCCTTGCTCCCTGGGAAAGGCGGTGAACTTGAGTCTAAAGATGCAGTGCCTGGCCCTTCCTAAGGTCCCTGCCTGGCATCCGAGTGTCGGTGTGTGGCACAGAAGGCTCCTGCTTGCTTCCAAAGTGATGGACAGGAAGGGGCAGAGTGAGTCACGGCCCAGACTGGGCACCTTCGCGTCTCAGCCTCAGGGAGCCCCACAGCCCCAAGCTCGCTGAGGCAACGTGAGAACAGGCTATGGGAAGGCTGCAAAGGCTGAGAAATGCAAAGGCTCATATTTATAAATCCCACCCCCAGAGTGGGGAGGGTCAGGTGCCAGACCTGGACTAAACTGCACCAAGGAAACACCCAGCAGGGTCTCCTGTGAGCCGGGGACCATGCAGCCCGAAACCTCCAGTCACTGCGCCCGGCAGGAGTCAGGAGCCAGGGACTGTGCAGCCTGGAACCTCCAGTCACTGTGCCCAGCAGGGTGGGCTGTGCCCAGCAGGAGTCAGGCTAAGAAACGCCAGGTCTGCCTGTTCTTGCTGGGCAATGGCTGATGGCTGCCAGTTTCTGCTGATACACAGGTAGGATGGGACCCTTCATGAATATCTGACTTTAATAAGTTGGTAAGGATATATTTTTTTGTCTATGTTCTGTTTCAACTTATGTAGATTATTATAAATTGATGTAAACCACGTGAGAGGAAAATGTTAATAAAAAATGCAAAGCCCCATCATTTGCACAAAACTCAGCCCTGTGGTGTGGATGTTTGTGTTCGCGGTGGTCCAGGGAAGCCACCAATGTAAATATTTAACTCTTCCAGCTGCATCCAGATGTGAGTTTCCAGGAATCTGTTTACCTAGTTCACTCCCCTTGAGCCTCCCTGTGGCCCACGGGGGCTGGGGCAGAGCTGCGGGGAGGTGGGCTGGAGCCCTCTCCTTGCTCTTCACAAAGGCCTCCGGATCAGCCAGCATCCAGGCTGCTTCTGGCTCACCTTTGCCATGTGCTGCTACAGTACAAATGTCCCACCTGGCCATCGGTGTGCCTTGAAAGTGGCATGAAGTTGTCCACTGAACAGGAAGCGTCTTCTTTTATGTAAACGCTTCTCTACGCTTTCCTTCAAAGTGGCATATCTTTGAGGCAGCCTTTTGGTCTAATCTGCTTGTCAGAGAAGCTGGGTCTCCGAGGGCCCACCCTCCCTTTGAGAGAGTCAGTGGCGTGAATATTGGCTCCCACCAGCCGAAGCAACTGGACACTGAGTTTATTCTGAAGATCAGGAACAGATGTCTCTGAAAATTGCTGTTTGGTTTATGAGCTCATACTGGCTCCCCAGCCATCGAAAACAGGAAACTATTCATCTCTCGAGTGAATAGGCAGCGTGGACAATGCCTCGCTTACTGAACCGATGGGTACTGACAGCCCTGGCGCTCATCTTTTCCAAGGCTGTTGTGAGGGCAGCATCTCTTGTATTTGGTCCCACGTGCTAGACTGAAAGATGGAAGATCCCAGGCATCCTAGGACTTTGACAGGTACCAGGTGGGAATGTCTGCCCTTGCTTCAGAGTGCTTGTAGGTGTCCTATATTTAGGGACAGCAGAGGAAACAATTTGTTCTGAGCTCTAGGGAACGCTCCAACTGGCCTAGCAGTGATGAAGCCTCCTAGCTGTGAGACTGGGAGGGGCGTTATATAGAATTCACTGTAAAAGGACATGAGCCCTGAGCAGGAACTCACATTCATTCCAAGAAAATGGCAAACATGACCCAAGGAAGGTGTTACCAGCTGGGTTTGACATCATCACTCATGTACAAACACTCGGGCCTCCAGGCCATGTACACTGAGTGTGAACGCTGGTTAAGAGTGTGTGGGCCAGAAGACAGGGCAGATGAGGAAGAAGGCAAAAAAGGAAAGGATAGAGGAATTACCGTATTATAGGAAAAAGGAGACTCATCACCACTGGCTGAAGGTGCCCAGCACTGTGTGGCCCCCACCAAGCGACCTGCCTGTGCCCCACCCAAGAGCAAAGGCCTGACTCCAGCAGTGTCATCCCCCCACAGAGCACCAGGGTAAAGCAGCACCAGTGCTGAAGCCCAACTGTAGACGGATTTTTTTTTTTTTTTTTTTAATATCCATGGCACACAACTAGGCCAAGAAAAATACCACAAGGTCAAGTCGAAAACACGACATGTTAAAACACTTCCTTGACCCTGGAGAACGAGGATGGTGGTGAACAGCCCCTCAGCGACGTCTGATCTTGGCCAGTAGCTGCTGTGACCGAGTCACCAAGATGACCACAGCAGGACCCTTCACATGTGGCCTCAAGCTCGGCCAGGTCCAGCAGTCACGTCGTGAAGGCAGTGTGTGCCTCTCGGCCGGCACAGGAGGGGCCCATCGAGTTCATGGATGGGATTTCACTGCATCCCAGGAAAAGGCTGGGCTGGGCTTCTTGAGGCAGGCCCTGGCAGATGTAATGAGCTTGGTGAGGATGACACAGTCCTCTAACAACCCTGCCTCAGCGCCCCATCCCCCGCTTCCCTGGGAGCTTTCTCATTCTTTCCCTTCAGATGTTATCTTTGGGCCACCCGGCACTATTTTTGGAATAGGGAATTTGAAAATAAAATACAAATAAACCAACCTTTTGAACTGTAAGGTGTGTGGCGGTGGGGGAGGGGAGTGTATTTTTAAAAAAAAAACAAGGATGACAGAACACAAAACAAGTGAGATAATTGGTTGGACGGCATCAGTCCGCCTTGCCCTGCCCTGGTATTCGAGACGGATAGTTGCATGGAGTTCCAAGGTAGAACAGCTTCCTGAGTGCCTGCAGAGACACTGTCACCTCTGTGCCCACAACACCAAACAACCTAGAGGGCCAGCTGTGGTCAGGCCTGAAGCTTTGTGGAGCTGAATTCCTATATGTCAACATCCTGTCTCCCGATCTGCTGTGAGAGAATCTGGCACGGGACGTCCTCTGTGAAGGCTGGCTGGAGTCCAGGAGCAGCAAAGTGTGGCTACCCCAAAGGCTGGAGGCAGAGAAGCCAGGCAGCTCCCTCAGAATACCAACGACATGAGGGAAAATGAATGTCTTCAGGCCCTGAAGCAAGGCCCTGGTGTGGTACAGAAACTGTCCTCCAGAGAGCAGCCCGGATCCGGGGCTGGCATCATCCTTCCCTGCAGGCAATTACTCTCACCGGAGGTAATAATCAATCGCAGCAGAGAAAGCAGCAAAACCTCCACAACCAATGGCCCCAGCCTTTAAGCCAGCTGTCAAACAAACAGAAAGAACATGACCTGTGGTGACAGCTGCTGGGTCACGAGGCACTCACGGAAAGTTGGCACACCCTCAGTGTCATGAAATGAGCTTAAGCACTGTAAGTCATTCAAACGATCATAGCTCTGGAAGACATCAATGAAGCAGTGTATATGATCTAATCCAGTGCGCTTTATCTAACTACATTTGTTTAGCTTTTCTCCTTCAAAGGGTATTTCTAGTCTTAGGGAAATAGCCCCTCGCAGGCAGGAAACTGGTTGAGAGAAGCAGCCCTCGGAATCAAATGAAAGCATATGGCCTTGACCCTGATTTGTTTATGGAATACATTCCTGGGAAGGTGATCAAAGCAGTACTGGAGACAGCAGAGCTTCTCAAAGAGGCCCTGGTGAAGCTGAACAATGGGACGACCGGCGGAGAAGTCAGTCCGTCATCATAAATGGTGCTTGAGGAGCAAAACCAGGTTTCATGACAGCAAATCATCCTGTCTCTCAGAAGATGAGAAAACTGGCTTTTTGCTCTGGGTAAGTTAGGGCATGACAGATGGAAAGTGGCCCAGTGATAAAACACTGCTGCTTCTAGGAAAGTCAAGTCACCAAGGCCCTCCACCACGCTCTGAATGGACATGCCAACGGGGAGAAGAGGCAGCAAATTGGTTTTCTTTTTTTTTTTTTTTTTGCAGCTGATAATCTAATATTTCTAGAATATCTGTACTTAGCATTCAATGGGTAGAAATCAGAATCCCCAAGGGCAGAAAGATATTACCATTATAATTTATATCTAAAATTAAAAGACAATTGTCTAGAATTACTGAGAAAAATGTTGGCCACACGTGGTGGCTCATGCCTGTAATCCCAGCACTTTGGGAGGCTGAGGCAGGCAGATCACGAGGTCAGGAGTTCGAGACCAGGTGAAATTGATCTCTACTAAAAAAATAAAAATTAGCTGAGCATGGTGGCGGGTGCCTGTAATCCCAGCTACCTGGGAAGCTGAGGCAGGGGAATCGCTTGAACCCAGGAGGTGGAGGTTGCAGTGAGCTGACATCGTGCCACTGCACTCCAGCCTGGGCGACAGAGTGAGATTCGGTCTCTTTAAAAAAAAAAAAGTTGTTACAACGGACGGGGGTGCTACTTGCATCTCGTGGGTAGAGGCCAGGGATACTGCTCAACGTCTTAGAATGCACAAAACAGACCCAATCCCGACAAAGATTCGTCTGGTCGAAATGTCAGTAGTGCCAACGATGGGAAACCCTCATCTAGATCCTACAAGTTTCCAAAACCGAGTTACCACAGAAACAAACATGATTTATTTGTCAGAGGGAAGAAGATCAAGTGTCCCTGGAACACTCGTGTGTTTGGAAATGACAACCTCAGCACGTTGTCCAAGGCCACAAAGAAAAAGCATTCGAGAGCCGTTTACTAACCTCTGAAACCAATAGCTCCTCCCGTGATGCAGCCACTGATGACACTGTTCTTCCAGTCTGATGTTCCCCGGTACTGTGGGCAGGGAAGTACACGTTAGAGCCAAAGAAACAAGCCAAGGCAGACCATTAAGGAGGAATACACAGGGTTGCTCGTTAGCTCATTCAGTCCCTACCCAAAGGAAACCTAATCTTTCTTGAAAATATAGTTCCTAAGTATACAGCGTGTATATATATATATATATATATATATATATATATATAGTATGCGTTCATAGATGCTTCCTGCAGGTGGCACCAGAGTGCTGAAACCAAGCCCAGCATTTGGAATGTAATCAAAATTTCTTCAAGGGGCTCTCCAATAAGTCTCGTTTAAAATCATTAGCTAACTTCTAGCCTACAAAAAGTAAAAAATAATGCAAGCCCATACTGTAAACACACACAAAGTCTGCCACAGGGACTATTTTATGGAAGTTCAACCTAGAATGTATCTGATGCTTCTGATTTGCTTTCTAGTAACAACTTTCAAATGACTTTTAAAGAGCAATTTCTCTTTAAAAGTAATGAAATGGTGGCCCCAGCAAGGATTTCTTAGAAGGCAGAGACACTTACAGATTCTATCAAACACTCAGTACAAGAAAACATGGCTCCCACAATGGCGAAATTTTTGGCATAGGACATTCCTCTCTGCCCCATGTCTTTCAGCACTTCTTTTGCAGTCGGTGTACGGTAAGGATCCTTAGGGTCAAAGCCCACGTTGGTATCGATGCCAGCGGTAAACACCCCAAATGCACCTCCTAAGACAAATCCTAGAAGCAAACACAGAGATGAAGGTGTCTTTGGCATGTTTTCTGCATTACTCTATTGGGATCATCCTGGAAGGGACCATGCTTTTGGATGACCACCGGTGCAGAGGACACCCCCCTCTTGCCACTCAAACTCTCCACTTGCCTGGAGACTTGCAATCCAGGGTCTATGTTACTGACATCATCTTCTCCGTCTCTAAGATTTCTTCCTCCTGTCATTCCCTAACATTTCTCAAGATTCCATCTTTAACCCTCTATTCTCTCTACATTCTCTCATATGTAAACCAGCCACCCTCAACTTCAGCTATCAACTTTGCAAATCACTCTCTTGGCCACTGTGACATTCACAGTAATGCTTTACTGAGCACATGCCAGTATGCCACAGCCTCATTCATTCTTCACAATAATCCAGTGAGACAGATGCTATTAGCCTCTCCTTTCTATAAACTGAGGCTCAGAGAGGTTAAGCAACTTCTCCCAAGGCCACACAGCTACCTAATGGCAAATCCCACACTGCTGCCACATCTGTCCTTCCTGAGCCGGCTGGACATGTCCAGATGGATGCCCTCTCATGACCTCATGGTCAATATGAGTTTAATAAAATCATGGGCACCTCCCCTTCAACTTAAGGGAAAAACAGAAGGACAAGTGCAGACTTCGTCTCTCCTTGCTCGGGGCTGTCTAGTCACAATGGTCTTTCAGTTTTTCAAACCTCAAACAACTGCTGCCCTAGAGTCGTCTGCATGTGCATTTCCATATGTCTGCATCCTTCCTCTGCAGTGTTCCTGCTCAACATTCTTCTCCACATAGTATAATACAGGCCCCATGAAGACCAGGCTCTTGTCTCTTTCACCTGGCACGTGATATTGCTTAGGAACAATTTGTTGAAAGAATTATTTAAGAGAATGAATTTAAGGGAATGAACGGATGAATGAAGTCACCCACGTAATAACTTTTTGTTGTTGTTTTTGAGACGGAGTCTCGCTCTGTCGCCCAGGCTGGAGAGCAGTGGCACATCTCGGCTCACTGCAAGCTCCGCCTCCTGGGTTCAAGCGATTCTCCTGCCTCAACCTCCCGAATAGCTGGGACTACAGGCGCCCACCACCACGTCCAGCTAATTTTTTGTATTTTTAGTAGAGACGGGGTTTCACCGTGTTAGCCAGGATGTCATGTAATAACTTTCAGGCCCCAACCACAGCACCGATTCTCTAACCCAATTTTCATCAGGAAAGCCGGCCTGAGGGGGCAGGAGAGGTGACGCCCGATTCACGAACGAGGCGAGGGTGTGGTCAAGGTCAAGGCCCGCAGTCCCTCGCCTCCCAGGCGCGTGGTCTTCTCGGCAGAGATCCCCACTGCCGTCCAGGCCCTCAGCCTCCCAAGGGTCCCATCGCCCGGCCTCACCTCCCACGCAGGCCAGCGCAGCCTTGAAAGCGCAGCTTTCCATCGCCTTCTCGATCATCTTCTGCTCCTCACTCTTGGCTGGACTTGGGATCCCGCCCAGGCTCCCAGGCTCCAGGAGCCGGGGCTGACGCTTGTCACCCACCAGGTACTGCAGGAGCAGGCTGTACTGCAGCGGAGCTTCGGCGGAACCCGCTGTCTCAGGGGCCGAGCCTCCGGCATTGGGGGCGGCCGCCGCCATGACAGTCGCTGCCCAAGCAACCCTCGCGTCCTTCTCCCCGCAGCAGATTCGACAAGCGTCACGTTGCGGGCCCTGAGACTAGCCACTGTGATGCAACGGCAGATTCGCCGCAGGAGGAAGCCGCGGCCGCAACGCTCCTGGTGCGCACACCAGCGAGACCGCTATCATGTTTCCAAAAAGAAAGCCTCTTGTGAAAATGGAATTGGGCTTGGACAGCTTTCCCCATGTCACAGACAAACGAGATTCAGATTCACCAGAAAGCGCCCTCACGGTCGGGGCTGCAGCGCGGTGAGTACCGGGATTTGTAGTTCTAATCCGACACCCAACTACATTTCCCAGGAAGCGTTGCGCGTGCTCTCGCGCCTCGGCCCCGCGCGGGGCTCTTACGAGCTCCTGAGGGGAGCGAGGAGTGGCCGCGCGCTCCGGGGCTGCCGTGCTCCGGATCGCCGGGAGGGGACGCGCGAGCATTGTCGCTGCCCTTTCCACCTCGTGCTGTCATCGGGCGGTGAGGCGTTAAATCCCGTGGTCCCGGAAGGTGCGGTGAGAGGTGGATGCTTTGTAGATAAGCGTGAACTTGTGCTGTAAATGCACGGACCGGGCGCGGGGGCTCACGCCTGTCATCCAGCACTGTGGGAGGCCGAGGCCGGTGGATCACGAGGTCAGGAGTTCGAGACCAGTCTGACAAACATGGTGAAACCCCATCTCTACTAAAAATTAAAAAAATAAAAAATAAAAAAATTAGCTGGGCATGGTGGTGCACGCCTGTATTCTCAGCTACTTAGGAGGCTGAAGCAGGAAACCCCGTCTCTACTAAAAATATAAAAATTAGCCAGGTGGCGGCAGGCGCCTGTAATCTCAGTTACTCGGGAGGCTGAGACAGGAGAATCTCTTAAACCCGGGAGGTGGAGGTTGCAGTGAGCCAAGATCGCACCATCGCACTCCAGCCTGGGCGACAAGAGCAAGACTCCGTCTCAAAAAAAAAAAAAAAAAAAAAAAAATCCTAACTGACAGCATTTGCTGACTTGTGTGGTGTTAATATCCCCATCATGGCTGATTTCAAACTACCAAGCGAGGTCATCAGTCAGAATTGGGAAGACGTACAGCAGCATGTGGTTACATGGTGTTTCTATCACACAGATACAATCTATGGAAATAACCTCAACAGCATAGATAGGAGTACAGTGTAGTAAAATTTTTAGGAGGGGATGAGTTTTGAGCACATATTACCTATTTTTAGTGTAATTTATTATAAATGTATAGAATGTAATTTTTAATAATAACTGTGCTTAACAACCAGCTCAAAAACTCCTGATAATTTGTTGCCTTACTTTTTAAAATTACTCTTTTGAGACAGAGTCTTGCTCTGTCACCCAGGTTGGAGTGCAGTGGTGCAATCTCCGCTCACTGCAACCTGCACCTCCCGGGTTTGAGCGATTCTCCTGCCTCAGCCTCCCGACTAGCTGGGATTACAGGCACATGCCACCATGCCCGGCTAATTTTTGTATTTTTAGTAGAGACAAGGTTTCACCATGTTGGCCAGGCTGGTCTCAAACTCCTGACCTCAGGTGACCCACCCACCTCGGCCTCCCAAAGTGCTTGGATTCCAGGCGTGAGTCACTGCGCCCGGCCAGTTAGGGCCTTTTTGTTATTGTTGTTAAACATTTACCATTATACCACTGCACTGCAAGCATATTTTGGGAACCAAGAACACTTCCTCCTCTTTGAGGAAACCAGAATTGGGGCCTGGAGGCAGAGAAATTGGGAATGGATTTCTGGTCATATCCAGGAAAATCCTAGGGGATGTTGGAGAGAGGTTTTCAGTCCCAAGAATGCTAACACTTTGGCATCATTTTGTACTCCTCGTATGAACAAAACGTGGCCTGGGAACACCTCTGGGCATTTAAGCACACTTTTTGCTAATGGCCTGAAGGCAGTGCCGTAGCAAGCATCTGCCTACTTGGGCCAGGGACTCTCAGAAGATGTTGATCGGAAAAGATTCCTCTGCTGGGCATGGTGGCTCACACCTGTAATCCCAGCACTTTGGGAGGCTGAGGCAGGAAAATTGCTTGAGTCTGGGAAGTTGAGACTGCAGTGAGTCATGATCGTGCCACTGCACTCCAGCATGGACGAGGGAACGAGACCCTGTCTCAAAAAAAAGAAAAAAAAAAGATTAAGTAAACAGTGGTCATTTTATTCAGAGGGCTGAAAAACAATTTCCATCAAGGGCTGCGAAAGGGCTGGGGTGTTCCATAGCCCAGGAGCCTCACAGGTATGTCTGAGTTGTAAGAGGAAGTGAAGTGTCCTTCTTTTAAGGGTCTTGGCTGGGCGCGGTGGCTCACACCTGTAATCTCAGCACTTTGGGAGGCTGAAGCAAGGTCAAGAGATCGAGACCATCCTGGCCAACATGATGAAACCCTGTCTCTGCTAAAAATACAAAAATTAGCTAGGCATAGTGGCTGCACCCCTGTAGTCCCAGCTACTCAGGAGGCTGAGGCAGCAGAATCGCTTGAACCCACGAGGCGGAGCTTGCAGTGAGCCGAGATGGTGCCACTGTACTCCGGCCTGGAGACAGACGGAGACTCCGTGTCAAAAAAAAGAAAAAAAAGGTGGGGGTTGGGTCTTTGGGGTCCCAGAGAAGAAATGGGTGGGACCTAAGGAGCCATACTGGAAACCATACTTTTGGGACATGTTGCCCGAGATGAGGATGGAATACCCCACCCGGCAGAAATGGAGACCAGACAGCTGCACAGTCTTATGTGAGGGTGGATTATGTGAGGTGGATTATGTGAGGGTGGATTATGTGAGGGGTGGATTATGTGAGGGTGGATTATGTGAGGTGGATTATGTGAGGTGGATTATGTGAATGTGGGTGGATTATGTGAGGGTGGATTATGTGAGGGTGGATTATGTGAGGGTGGATTATGTGAGGGTGGATTATGTGAGGTGGATTATGTGAGGGTGAATTATGTGAGGGTGGATTATGTGAGGTGGATTATGTGAGGGTGGATTATGTGAGGTGGATTATGTGAGGGTGGATTATGTGAGGTGGATTATGTGAGGTGGATTATGTGAGTGTGGATTATGTGAGGGTGGGTGGATTATGCGAGGTGGATTATGTGAGGTGGATTACGTGAGGGTGGATTATGTGAGGGTGGATTATGTGAGGGCGGATTATGTGAGGTGGATTATGTGAGGGTGGGTTATGTGAGGGGTGGATTATGTGAGGTGGATTATGTGAGGTGGATTATGTGAGGGGTGGATTATGTGAGGTGGATTATGTGAGGGTGGATTATGTGAGGTGGATTATGTGAGGGTGGATTATGTGAGGTGGATTATGTGAGGTGGATTATGTGAGGTGGATTATGTGAGTGTGGATTATGTGAGGGTGGATTATGTGAGGGTGGATTATGCGAGGTGGATTATGTGAGGGTGGGTGGATTATGCGAGGTGGATTATGCGAGGTGGATTATGTGAGGTGGATTATGTGAGTGTGGATTATGCGAGGGTGGATTATTTGAGGGTGGATTATGTGAGGCGGATTATGTGAGAGTGGATTATGTGAGGGTGGATTATGTGAGGGTGGATTATGTGAGGTGGATTATGTGAGGGTGGATTATGTGAGGGTGGATTATGTGAGGGTGGATTATGTGAGGTGGATTATGTGAGGGTGGATTATGTGAGGGTGGATTATGTGAGGTGGATTATGTGAGTGTGGGTGGATTATGTGAGGTGGATTATGTGAGGGGTGGATTATGTGAGGGTGGATTATGTGAGGTGGATTATGTGAGGTGGATTATGTGAGGGTGGATTATGTGAGGGTGGATTATGTGAGGTGGATTATGTGAGGGTGGAGTGGCTCTTAGCTTTTCTCTCTGAATCACTTTCCCCACAAGAGGACATTTATCGTCTGGCCTGGTCTGACAGATGGAATAAGGCTTGACGTCGCTGGCTGCAGCAGATGGAAACAAGGCAGGGGGCGTGGGGCCTCCAGCCGTGAGTCGTGGGTTCCCACGGGCAGCCGGTGATAAAGAGCACTCCAGGCTCCGGATGGGGTCCTCCAGGCCCAGCCCTGAGCACCGTCGGTCCCTCCCTTCTGTCTCCACAGTGAAGGGCACGTAATAGCATCATCTGTTCATCTTCATAGAGTATTGGCCTGGTGAGGGGCTGGGCTTACTGGAGGTCCGTGAGGCTGTCCTAAACCATCACTGAGAACCAGGTGGTTAAGCTGCTGAGCGCAGAGTTAGTTTCTGACTCAGAAAGGTCTGAGGTGGGTGTGAAATTTTGGATTTCCCAGGTGATGCTACTGCTGGTTGGGGACCACATTTTTTTTTTCTTTTTTCTGAGATGGAGTCTCGCTCTGTCGCCCAGGCTGGTGTGCAATGGTGCGATCTCAGCTCACTGCAACCTCCATTACCCAGCTTTAAGTGATTCTCCTGCCTCAGCCTCCTGACCCCAGCTACAGGCGTGAGCCACCACGCCCAGCTAATTTTTTTGTATTTTTAGTAGAGACGGAGTTTCACCATGTTGGCCAGGCTGCTCTTGAACTCCTGACCTCAAGTGATCTGCCCGCCTTGGCCTCCCAAAGTGCTGGGATTACAGATGTGAGCTGCCACACTCAGACCCTTGTGAACTTTTGCTAGTAATTCTTTTTTCTTCTCACAACACTCCACTCATGCCCCTCAGCTCTGTCTTTAAATATTCCTGCCCTTCAAAACTTACCTTTTCTGATTAATCTAATTGGAAGTAATGTCTTCTCTGAGCCTCTTTTTTTCTTTTTGAGACAGGGTCTTTCTTTGTGGCCCAAACTGGAGTGCAGTGGCCCCATCATGGCTCACTGCAGCCTCGATCTCCTGGGCTCAAGGGATCCTCCTACCTCGACCCTGCCAAGTAGCTGGGACCATGGGCATGTACCACCATGCCGGGGTAATGGGCTAATGTTTTTTTTTTTTGAGATGGAGTCTTGCTCTGTTGCCCAGGCTGGAGTGCAGTGGTGTGATCTCGGCTCAGTGCAAGCTCCGCCTCCTGGGTTCACGCCATTCTCCTGCCTCAGCCTCCCGAGTAGCTGGGACTACAGGCGCCCGCCACCACGCCCAGCTAATTTTTTGTGTTTTTAGTAGAGACGGGGTTTCACCGTGTTAGCCAGGATGGTCTCGATCTCCTGACCTCGTGATCCGCCCACCTCAGCCTCCCAAAGTGCTGGGATTACAGGTGTGAGCCACCGTGCCCCGGGCTAACTTTTAAAAACCTTTTTTATAGAAACTGGTTCTTACTCTGTTGCCCAGACTGGTCTCAAACTCCTGGGCTCAAGCAATCCTCCCACCTCAGCCTCCTAAAGTGCTGGGGTTACAGGTGTGAGCCACCGTGCCCCGGGCTAACTTTTAAAAACCTTTTTTACAGAAACTGGTTCTTACTCTGTTGCCCAGACTGGTCTCAAACT
Source organism: Homo sapiens (assembly GCF_000001405.40). Classification (NCBI taxonomy): domain Eukaryota; kingdom Metazoa; phylum Chordata; class Mammalia; order Primates; family Hominidae; genus Homo; species Homo sapiens. The sequence continues at coordinate 30,952 of NT_187613.1, read as the reverse complement.
CCTGGGCTCAAGCAATCCTCCCACCTCAGCCTCCCAGAGTGCTGGGGTTACAGGTGTGAGCCACCGCACCGGCCTCTTAATTAATAGGCTCTTAACTGGTTTTGGAGCCTCCTACCTTGCTCTTCTCCAAACTATTCACAGAATGATCTTCCCACACAGGACTGTGAACGTGCTCCCTGCTCTGGATTCTACTTCATGCCAGGATAAAATCTGAACTCAACGTGTTGCTTTTACAACTAGTGCCCAGGAAGACACAGGTGCTTCCGTCCAGGTTTAGTTCTTTTTTTTTGAGACAGAGTCTTGCTTCTTCACCCAGGCTGGAGTGCAATGGTGAGATCTCGGCTCACTGCAACCTCTGCCTCCCGGGTTCAGCAGTTCTCCTGCCTCAGCCTCCCAAGTAGCTGGGATTACAGTCATGTGCCAGCACGCCCGGCTAATTTTTTGTATTTTTAGTAGAGATGGGGTTTCACCAGGCTGACAAGAATGGTTTTGAACTCCTGACCTCAAGTGATCTGCCCGCCTTGGCCTCCCAAAATGCTGGGATTACAGGTGTGAGCCACTGTGCCTGGCCTAGGGGTACAAGTTATAATCCTCAGATTTGATCTGAAAAGTATTGGGATTACAGGCATGAGCCACCGTGCCCAGCCTAGGGGTATGAATTATAATCCTCAGATCTGATCTGAAAAGTATTGGAAGCAGATAGAAAAATGCACAGTGTTTTCTCCAGCACTTTACACTTCTACAAGAAAGTCAGAAAAGAGTTAGGAAAGTTGTTTAGGAACTAGAGACTAATGGCCGGGCATGGTGGCTCATGCCTGTAATCCCAGCACTTTGGGAGGTCAAGGCAGGAGGATCACTTGAGCCCAGGAGTTCAAGACCAGCCTCGGCCACATAGTGAGACTGTGTCTCTACAAAAAAATACAAAAATTAGGCTGGGTTTGGTGGCTAACACCTGTAATCCCAGCACTTTGGGAGGCCGAGGCAGGCAGATCACGAGTTCAGGAGATCGAGACCATCCTGGCTAACATGGTGAAACCCTGTCTCTATTAAAAATACAAAAAATTATCCAGGCATGGTGGCGGGTGCCTGTGGTCCCAGCTACTCAGGAGGCTGAGGCAAGAGAATGGCGTGAACCCAGGAGGTGGAGCTTGCAGGAGCTTGCAGATCACGCCATTGCACTCCAGCCAGGGCAACAGAGCAAGACTCCGTCTCTAAAAAAACAAAAAATACAAAAATTAGCTCGGCATGGTGACATGTGCCTGTAGTCCCAGCTACTTGGGAGGCTGAGGTGGGAGGATTGCTTGAGCCCAGGAGGTCAAGGCTTCAGTGAGCCATCATCGTACCACTGCACTCCAGCCTGGGCGACAGAGTGAGAACCATCTCAAAAAAGAAAAACAAAAAAGCAACCCAGAGACCAGACTTGTCCTGCTTTGCTAAGGGATAAAAGGAATAATAGAAAGAATAATAAATCACGGTGGCTCCCCAAAGTTATATATCAAGTTGGTGCCAGAAAGATCTGCACCACACTTCTGCCATAGCCAGTGAGAACAACGATCTTCTCCCCCTTTCTTCGTCTTGATCCTTGTCAGATCTCGCCTCCATATTCTGCTGTATGCACTTCTCTATCAGGTAATTTCATTTATTAGTGGATCTGCCACAAAATACCGACTTTTTAAAAAGGAAAATATAAAACAGACATTAAAGCTTATAATACAGGCCGGGTGCGGTGGCTCACACCTGTAATCCCAGCACTTTGGGAGGCTGAGGCGGGCGGATCACCTGAGGTCAGGAGTTCAAGACCAGCCTGACCAACATAGTGAAACCCTGTCTTTACCAAAAATGCAAAAATTAGCTGGTGGTGGCGGGCGTCTGTAGTCCCAGCTACTCTGGAGGCTGAGGCAGGAGAATGGCGTGAAACCGGGAGGCGGAGCTTGCAGTGAGCCGAGATTGTGCCATTGCACTCCAGCCTGGGCGACAGAGCGAGACTCTGTCTCAAAAAAAAAAAAAAAAAAAAAAGAATTACAAATGGGGCCGGGTGCAGTGGCTCATGCCTATAATCCCTGCAGTTCAGAAGGCCAAGCCGGAGGATCCCTTGAAGTCAAGAGTTCAAGACCAGCCTGGGCAGCATAGTGAGACCTCTATCTCTAAAAAAAAAAAAAGAAAGAAAGAAAGAAAATAAATTAGCCGGGCATGGTGGAGTGCACCTGTAATTCCAGCTATGCGGGAGGCTGAGGTGGGAGGATCACTTGAGCCCAGGAGTTGGAGGCTGCAGTGAGCCATGATCACAGCACTATACCCAGCCTGGGTGACAGAGCAAGACCCCATTTCTTTTTTTTTTCCTTTTTTTTTTTTTTTTGAGATGGAGTCTCACTGTGTCACCAGGCTGGAGTGCAGTGGTGTGATCTCGGCTCACTGCAACATCCGCCTCCCGGGTTCAAGCGATTCTCCTGCCTCAGCCTCCTGAGTAGCTGGGATTACAGGCATCCACCACCACACCCAGCTAGTTTTTGTATTTTCAGTAGAGACGGGGTTTCACCATGTTGGCCAGGATGGTCTCAATCTCTTGACCTCGTGATCCACCCACCTCGGCCTCCCAAAGTGCTGGGATTATAGGCGTGAGCCACTGCACCTGGCCAAGACCCTGTTTCTTTAAAAAAAAAAAAAAAGACAAGTTGTAGGTTAGTATTTCCTACCTCTTCTGCACCCTCCTTTCTCTTGTGCTACGTCTTAAAGATACCCCATGTCAGAGTGTGTGATGGGCAATTGTGTGTGCCAACTTGACTGGGCCGTTTAGTGTCCAGATATTTAACGGCAACTCAATCCTCATTTGGGCGTGTTAGCCTGACCTAGTTATAGAGCAACCTGAAAATCTGCTAGCTTTGAGAGGGACCAGAGCGAGAGAACGCACTGTAGCAGGTTCCGACTGTGATGCAAGCTGCTCTCCACGTGGGCCACGTGATCCAGCTGATCCAGTGATGCTTGAAGAGACCGTGGCAGACAAGGATGCTGTTTGCAGCCTTTGGCAGGCCCCGTAGGTGAATCGCAGAGCAAGCCTGTAGGATTTTGGAGCAAAGCTCTGCCATCCTGTGGACAGTACTCTCCTTTTGAGACACAGCTTTTGGACTGCTACTGGGCCTTCTTGGAGACTGATGCTTAGCCATGGGCCACGGAGTTACCATGTGGCCTGAGCTGCCCGTCGTGAACTGGAGGTTCTCTGACCCATCAAGCCATACAGTTGGGTGTGCACAGCAGCACCGTGCTTCACCATCTAATGGAAATAGTATACACGTGACTGGGCCCAAGCAGGCCCTGAAGGCACCAGGAAGTTAGATGGAGAAGCAGCTTCAAAGGCCCTTGGTTCCCACTGCCACGACTCCACCCTGCCTTCCCTTTCCCAGCCTGCACCTCTAGCATCATGGGGAGTCCTCCATGATCAGCTGACAGAGAAAGCGAAGACTCACATCCCAGTTTGCAGATGGTTCTGTACGACGTGCAGTCTCCGCCCGAAACTGAGCAGCTGTTGCCCTCCAGCCTCTTCCTTGGACATTCCCGAAGGACAGCGGTGGGGGCAGATCCTCCCGGTGGGCAGACGTTGGCGCAGTGCACCTGGTTGTTGGTTGTGCTTGGAAGGAGAAATGGCTGGACGTGAGAGCACACACCGATTCACCGACCGTAGCCAATGATTTGCCTGGAGAGTCAGGGACTTGGAAGGAACATGATTGGAAAATTAGTGACAAGGAAACCGAGGGAACTGAGAGAAGAGGTATGTGGGCAAAAACCGGACGATACGTGTGTCCCATGTAAATGCTCGCCAAAGGGTGGCCTCACCAGGGAAGAGTTCGAATCTTCAAGCGATAGGATGGCCCGTTCTCTGGGTGCTGCTCAGCCTCTCTCCCCCGACACCACAGTTAGTGCCCAGTGGGCTCATGAACAAAGTGGCCATGGGGGGCAGGGATAAAGGTTATTCATGGGCTCACAGCACAGACTGTTACTCACTATGGCCATCCTGGCTGCAGCCATGGCTGAAAGCCCCATCTGCCAGCAACAGAGACCAACCCTGAGCCCCTGAAATGATGCCATTCCCTGGGGTGATCAGCCAGCGACCCAGTGACCCCATTCCCTGCGGTGATCAGCCAGCAACCCGGTGACCCCATTCCCTGGGGTGATCAGTCGGTGACCCCATTCCCTGGGGTGATCAGCCAGCGACCCAGTGACCCCATTCCCCGGGGTGATCAGCCGGTGACCCCAATCCCTGGGGTGATCAGCCAGTGACCCCATTCTCTGGGGTGATCAGCCAGCGACCTGGTGACCCCATTCCCTGGGGTGATCAGTTGGTGACCCCATTCCCTGGGGTGATCAGCCAGCGACCCGGTGACCCCATTCCCTGGGGTGATCAGCCGGTGACCCCAATCCCTGGGGTGATCAGCCAGTGACCCCATTCTCTGGGGTGATCAGCCAGCGACCCGGTGATCCCATTCCCTGGGGTGATCAGTTGGTGACCCCATTCCCTGGGGTGATCAGCCAGTGACCCGGTGACAGGTTGGTGACACTGGATCACTTCCATCACGGAAGGGGCAGCATTTTGTCCTCACTGGAATAGACACTTACTCTAGATCGGGATTTGCCTTCCCTGTACGTCACGCTCCTGCCAAAACTAGCATCCGTGGACTCACAGAATGCCGTACCTACTGTCACGGTATGCCACACCGCACTGCTTCTGTCTGAGGAACTCCCTTCACAGCAAAGAAAGTATGGTAACGAGCCCATGCTCATGGAATTCCCCGGTACGACCATGTTGCCCACCATCTTGAAGCAGCTGGTTTGATAAGATGGTGGAATGGCCTTTTGAAGACTCCACTACAGCACCAGCTGGGTGGCGATGCCTTGCAGGGCTGGGCCAGAGTTCTGCAGGAGGCAGTATATGCTCTGAATCAGAACTGAGTGTAGGGTGCTGTTTCTCCCACAGCCAGGATTCATGGGTCCGGGAATCAAGGGGTGGCAATGAGAGGGGCACCAGTCCCTAGCACTCCTAGTGACCCAGCAGCAAGATGTTTGTTTCCTGTTCACGTGACCTTATGCTCTGCTGGCCTAGGGGTCGTATTTCCAAATGGAGGAATGTTTCCCCCAGAAGACCCAACAGTGGTGCCATTGAACTCCAAGTGAGGACTTCTGCTGGGCCTGTTTGGCCTCCCACTGCCTCTGAATCAACAGGCAGATAAGAGAGTTACTGTGCTGGCTGGGGTGATTGATCCTAGATTGGACCACAAGTCCACAATTGAGGTGAGCAAGAGTATGTCTGGAATAGAGGCCCCTCAGGGTGTCCTAGTAGACCATGGCCTATGATTTAGGGCAATGGAAAAACCACAAGAATTCAATCCAGGCAGGACTACCAAGGGCCCAGACCTTTCAGGAATGAAAGTTTGGGTCACCCACCAGGAAAAGACCCACAACCAGCTGAGGTGCTTACTGAAAGCAAAGGGAATACATAATGGATAGTGAAAGGTCATTATAAATACCAGCCACAACCCATGGCCAGTTACAGAAACACGGGCTGGAATGATCATGGATATTTCCTACTTGTTTTGTTAGGAATACGTTTCTCTGTGTTTATATACTGGCAAACCTCAAGATATTGCAGCTCTGGTTCCAGATTACAACAATAAAACTAATATCACAGGCCAGGCGCAGTGGCTCACACCTGTAATCCCAGCACTTTGGGAGGCTGAGGTGAATGGATCACCTGAGGTCAGGAGTTTGAGACCAGCCTGGCCAACATGGTGAAACACTGTCTCTACTAAAAATACAAACAAAATAGCTGGGCGTGGTGATACGCACCTATAATCCCAGCTACTCATGAGGCTGAGGCAGGAGAATGGCTTGAACCAGGAAGGCAGAGGTTGCAGTGAGCCAAAATCACGCTATTGCACTCCAGCCTGGACAACGAATGAAGCTTCATCTCAAAAAACAAAAACAAAAACAAAACAGCTGGGCGTGGTGGCTCACACCTGTAATCCCAGCACTGTGGGAGGCCGGGGCGGGTGGATCACGAGGTCAGGAGATCGAGACCATCCTGGCTAATATGGTGAAACCCTGTCTATACTAAAAATACAAAAATTAGCCGGTCGTCCTGTCAGGTGCCTGTAATCCCAGCTACTTGGGAGGCCGAGGCAAGAGAATGGCATGCACCAGGGAGGCGGAGCTTGCAGTGAGTGGAGATGGCACCACCACACTCCAGCCTGGGTGACAGAGCGAGACTGCGCCTCAAAAAAAAAAAAAAAAAAAAAGATGCTAATGATCATTTGAGCCTTTAGCAAGTTGAAATCATTTTGCTGGTGGAGGGTCTTGCCTCAATATTGATGGCTGCTGGTGACTGATCAGGATGGTGGTTGCTGAAGGTTGGGTGGCTGTGGTAAAAGCGCTTAAAATCAGACTGCAGCGAAGCTTGCCGTATCCATCATCTCTCCCTCTCAAGAAAGATTTCTCTGTAGCGTGCGATGCTGTTTGATAGCATTTTACCCACAGTAGAACTTCTTTCAAAATTGGAGTCAGTCCTCTCAAACCTTACCGCTGCCTTATTAAGTTGACGTTCTAACTGTCTTTGCTCATCTACAAGAAGCAACTCCTCACCTGCTACAGTTTGGTCATGAGACTGCAGCCATCTCAGCCCCATCTTCAGGCTTCACCTCTCATTCTAGTTCTCATTGTTTCTACCGCATCCGCACTTTCTTCCTTCACGGAAGACACGTGTGATGGTTGGAATCAACTTCTTCCAAACTCCTGTTAACGTTGATATTTTGATCTTCTCCCATGAGTCACGAATGCTTTTTTTTTTTTTTTTTAAGAAAAAGTCTTGCTCTGTCACCCAGGCTGGAGTGCAGTGGCACAGTCATGGCTTACTGCAGCCTCGACCTCCTGGGCTCAATCGATCCTCCCACCTCAGCCTCCTGAGTAGCTGGGACCATGGGTGTGCGCCACCACACCCAGCTAATTTTTTAATTTTTAGTAGAGATGGGATTTTGCCATGTTGCTCAGGCTAGTCTTGAACTCGTGACCTCAGGTGATCCGCCCACCTTGGCCTCCCACAGTGCTGGGATTCCAGGCATGAACCACCGCGCCCGGCCCACATCATGTGTGCTACTCTTTCTAAAGTCCAAGGACTGTGATTTATGAATCTTAAAAGTGACAAATATATATTTGTGCTGTGTGTATTTCGTATGACTTCATGTGCCTTCAAAAGCAATTTCTGAAGAGAAAATTCTAATATGTTCTACAGAATGCGATACATGTTGAGGCTCATTCCTACATATTTTAAAACAATAATAATTTTCAGAATAGCCAAGTCGATTCATGTAACATCGCTAGCTGAACACCAGTGGGGACATTCTCCTTTAGAGAACCACATACACAGAGAGCAAGATTTCTGTAGCCCAGAGCACACTGGCTAATTCTTCACAGGATGCCAAATGACTCCTTGGGCTTCTTATAACACCCACTACAATTATGATTCTGGGATCATTTCCATTGCAAATCCCCTCTTTCCACACCCCTTTAAAAGGCAGCTGTGATATTTGGCCTCTAACCAAGGCCTGCCGCATCCACAATTCTCTAAATTTTATTTATATTTCATGTGCAGTGTGTTCGAACTCTCCCTTCCCCAGGTGCCAGATGCTGGTTTGGACACACTCCAGTGGAAAGTGCTTTCCTGTTAAATAAGACAAGTCACACATGGAAGAAACCTCCTCTTTATATCAGACTTGCACCAAGTATACCAAAGTTAATACTCGAATATTTGCAATATTTGCAGCCCCCCAAATTCCCTCTTCACCGGCCTCCACACCAAATGCCTCTTGCCCTTTGGCTGCCGTAGCAGGTAAATGCTGATAGCCCTTTTACATTTCTGTAGTTTTCATAATTTTGAAAGTGTCAGAGTGTAGGACTCTAACACTCTTTCAGTAGTGCCTAACCCACGTACCCAGTGCATGGGCCTTTCAGATAAGATTTGGATGAGATGATAAAACATTGTAACCCATTTACAGGATTTCAAAAGATGTCTAGTAACTATGTGTGTGTGTGTGTGTGTGTGTGTGTGTGTGTATATATATACTTTTTTTTTTTTTTTGAGATGGAGTCTCTCCCTGTCGCCCAGGCTGGAGTGCAGTGGTGCGATCTCGGCTCACTGCAAACTCCGCCTCCCGGGTTCATGCCATTCTCCTGCCTCAGCCTCCCGAGTAGCTGGGACTACAGGTGCCCGCCACCTCGCCCGGCTAATTTTTTGTATTTTTAGTAGAGACGGGGTTTCACTGTGTTAGCCAGGATGGTCTCAATCTCCTGATCTCATGATCTGCCCGCCTCGGCCTCCCAAAGTATTGGGATTACAGGTGTGAGCCACCTCACCTGGCCTAGTAACTTAATATATATGATATGAGTAGCTTTAAATGTTTTCACCAAGGCCGGGTGGTGGCTCATGCCTGTAATCCCAGAACTTTGGGAGGCTGAGGCGGGTGGATCACTTGAGGCCAGGAGTTTGAGACCAGCCTGGCCAGTATGGTGAAAACCCCGTCTCTATTAAAGATACAAAAAATTGGCCAGGCTTGGTGGCGGACGCCTGTAATCCCAGCTACTCCAGAGGCTGAGGCAGAGAATTGCTTAAACCTGGAGGGGCGGAGCTTGCAGTGAGCCGAGATCGCGCCACTGCACTCCAGCTTGGGCAACAGAGCAAGACTCTGTTGCAAAAAACAAACAAACAAAACAAAACAAAAAAATTAGTGCATGCCAGTAATCCCAGCTATTTGGGAGGTGGTGCATGCCTGTAATCCCAGCTACTCGAGAGGCTGAGGCAGGAGAATCACTTGAATCTGGTAGGCAGAGGTTGCAGGAGCTGAGATCGCACCACTGCACTCCAGCCTGGGCAACAGAGTGAGACTCTGTCTGTAGGGACCAGCCCCACAGGGTCAGTGGGTCTCTCCCCGTGTGCGGAGACGAGAGAGTGTAGAAATAAAGACACAAGACAAAGAGATAAAAGGCAGCTGGGCCTGGGGAACCACTACCACCAAGTCGCGGAGACCGGTAGTGGTCCCAAATGCCAGGCTGCACTGATATTTATTGGATACAAGACAAAGGGGCAGGATAAGGAGAGTGAGCCATCTCCAATGATAGGTAAGGTCATGTGGGTCACGTGTCCACTGGACAGGGGGCCCTTCCCTGCCTGGCAGCCGAGGCAGAGAGAGAGAGGAGACAAAGAGAGAAACAGCTTCCACCATTATTAGAGACTTTTAGTACTTTCACTAATTTGCTACTGCTATCTAGAAGGCAGAGCCAGGTGTACAGAATGGAACATGAAGGCGGACTAGGAGCGTGACCACTGAAGCACAGCATCACAGGGAGACAGTTAGGCCTCCGGATAATTGTGGGCGAACCTGCAGTCAGGCCCTCCACAAGAGGTGGAGGAGTAGAGTCTTCTCTAAACTCCCCCCGGGGAAAGGGAGACTCCCTTTCCCGGTCTGCTAAGTAGCGGGTGTTTTTCCTTGACACTTACGCTACCGCTACACCACAGTCCGCCTGGCCACGGGTGTCTTCCCAGACGCTGGTGTTACCGCTAGACCAAGGAGCCCTCTGGTAGCCCTGTCTGGGCATAACAGAAGGCTCGCACTCTTGTCTTCTGGTCACTCCTCACTATGTCCCCTCAGCTCCTATCTCTGTATGGCCTGGTTTTCCCTAGATTATGATTATAGAGCGAGGATCATTATAATATGGGAATAAAGAGTAATTGCTACAAACTAATGATTAATGATATTCATATATAAGCCTATCTAAGATCTATATCTGGTATAACTATTCTTATTTTATATTTTATTACACTGGAACGGCTTGTGTCCTCGGTCTCTTGCCTCAGCGCCTGGGTGGCCTGCCGCCCACACTGTCTCAAAATAAATAAATAAATAAATAAATAAATAAATAAAGTTTTCACTAAAAAGTGATGCTTTCTGTGTGTGTTTTATAATATTGTCCCTACAGTGGCACAGACTTTCAGCATGAAAGTCTCCTGAGAATTAAGGTGGAATTCGACTTTGCAGTAGGATTCTAGGGTGTTCGAAGGCGGTCCTCCATCTAAGATCTTACCTGTGTCATTAGCAATACCAGCAGGTGACTAAGGAAGTGGATATAACTTGTAGAGACGCCAGTCCACTTTCCGCTCCCATCTCCACCTCTCCCAATTGTTTTATATGGTAACATTTCACCAAGCTGGAACCCTGCACCATTCCTTATTCTACCCTAGAAAAACGGAGAACCTTCGATGTGAACACTTACGTTTTGTGCCAAAAGCTTGAAGTTCTATTCTGAGGTTTAAATTAGCTCCCGCAAAGCGTCCTATCATTTGTGTATGTGGAAAGCTGCTGTAAAATAAAAGCATTGTGCCTGGTGTCCCGGCAGTGTCTTTTCACAAATGGAGTTTGGTCGGCCTCATTTTTCACTCTTTCCATTAGGTGGCGATGGATGCACAGGAAATATCCTCCGAAGCGGCGGTGGAAGCTCTGAGAGGGGCGGGTTTTCAGCTTTTATTTTTTTGCTTTCGCTGAGTCGTCAGTAGCTGATCCACACCGGCGGCCTGTTACTGTGGCTGGGCCCGGATCTGCACCTGCTTCGTGCACCAGTGGGTTGGGTTGGGGGGAGGCGCTGCGTGGCCAGAGTACTCGCCACGGACCACCTGTTTTTTTGTTTTTTTTGAGACGGAGTCTTGCTCTGTTGCCCAGGCTGGAGTGCAATGGAGCGATCTCGGCTCACTGCAGCCTCCGTCTCCCGGCTTCACGCCATTCTCCTACCTCAGCCTCCTGAGTTGCTCGGATTACAGGTGCCTGCCACTACACCCCGCTAATTTTTGTATTTTTAGTAGAGGCGGGGGGGGGGTGTCACCATATTGGCCAGGCTGGTCTCGAACTCCTGACCTTGTGATCCACCCACCTCGGCCTCCCAAAGTGCTGGGAATTCAGGCGTGAGCCACCGCGCCCGGCCCAGACCACCTGTTTAATCCAGCTTCTCCCTAAGCATTGGGGAGCATCCTGCCAGCTGGTAGGAAAAAAAAAATCTCTAGAAATGTTCTCAACTATCCATAGACTTGACATGAGGATGGAGCGGATTCAGGAGCGCGGCCAGCATTGGTCTGGAGGCCCCGCGGCGTCCTTTGCATCCATTTGTGGGGCTGGAAGACAGATTCGCTGGGGGGAGAGGCCCCGGCGACCCCTGGACGGAAATCCCACACTGAGACCTGGCACCCTAACCAGACCCCACCAGAAGCTGCGAGGGCGTCCTCGGCCCCCTTAGAACAGCTTGGAACACACAGAGGAGTCAGTGTCCAGCCAGGCCCGGCCTGATGCAGTGAGGACGGCGGGTCCTATAAGCATCTCAGGGTCAGTGGGGCCCGGAGCGGCCTAAGGGTCAGGCTTCGTGCAGGGAGAGGAGGAGGGAAAGGCCGGGGAGGAACAGGAAGAGGGTGAAGAGCTCCGCGGGGAGGGGGCGGGATCCCTGGAGGTCTGGAGGGAATTTAGAACTGGGGAGGAGAGAAAATGCGGGCCGGGCTGCAGCCCGGGAAAGCGCCGGCTCAGCGGGCCCTTCTCCTTTCTTCACTTCGGCCGTGGGCTTTCCAGGGAGAGTGCGGCGTTTCGGGTCCGGCTTCTCGCCCAAGCAGTCACCCCGCGCACCGCGGCCGGCAGCTGCGGACCCCGCCTGGGCGGAGAGCTCTGGCCACCGCCGGCCGCAAACGGGGCGTGGCGAGGGCGGAGGGGGCGTGGCGAGGGCGGGCGGAGGGGCGTGGCGAGGGCAGCCGAAGGGGCGTGGCGCGGGCCGCGGAGGGGGCGTGGCAGGGCGGGGGAAGGGGCGTGGCGCGGGCAGGCGGAGGGGGCGTGGCGTGGGCGGCCCTACTGGGCCGGGCTCTGCTCTCCCCAGCGCCTGCCGCCGACGCCGCCGCCTCCTCCCGCCGCGCGGACCGTGGAGCGGGGTCGCAGCCGCCTGCCCGCCCTGCGGTGGGCCAGGATGTCGGGCTTCCTGGAGGAGCTGCTCGGCGAGAAGCTGGTGACGGGCGGCGGCGAGGAGGTGGACGTGCACTCGCTGGGCGCCCGCGGCATCTCGCTGCTGGGTCTCTACTTCGGCTGCAGCCTCAGCGCCCCCTGCGCGCAGCTCAGCGCCAGCCTGGCCGCCTTCTACGGGCGCCTGCGGGGGGACGCGGCGGCCGGGCCGGGGCCGGGAGCGGGGGCCGGGGCGGCGGCGGAGCCCGAGCCGCGGCGGCGCCTGGAGATCGTCTTCGTGTCCTCGGACCAGGACCAGCGGCAGTGGCAGGACTTCGTGCGGGACATGCCGTGGCTGGCGCTGCCCTACAAGGAGAAGCACAGGAAGGTGAGCGGCGCGGGCCTCGCCGGCCCCTGCCCGCCCCCCACGCCCGTTACCCCTGCCCGCCCCCCACGCCCGTTACCCCTGCCCTCCGCCAACCCCGTTGTCCCCCTGCCCGCCCTCCACCCCCCGACCCCTGCCCCCAGTCCCCCGCCCCCCGACCCACTGTCCTCTCCCCGCCCCCCACCCCGCCGTCCCCGCCTCTGCCCCCCCCCCTTCCGCGCTGTGCCCGCACCCTCATCCCAGGACCCCTCTTTGGTTCGAGTGCTGCGCTGCGCCCGCCCTGGAAAGTTGGACCCCCCTCGGCCCCCGGGATCCCGGCTCGAGCCCCTCCGTCCGCACACGCTGGGAGCCTCGGGTGGGGGCGGCTGCGCTCGGGGATCCCGGTTCCGCGACCCCTTCACCCGCGAGCAGAGGCGCCAGGCCCTTCCTGCCTCCGCCGCCGACCCCCGCGGATTCCCACAGTGGGGAGGGGAGGGGAGGGGAGGGCGCACGCCCCCCGCCCGTGGCGCCCAAACCAGCGCGTTTCCTTTCTTTCCGGGAGAAACCTGCCTTCCCGGAGCCCCTTCCCCGGGGACCGGGGACCTGGGGGCCGAGGCCGAGGTCAGGAGAGGCGGCCGGTGACCGTGGCCGTGGCTGTGGCCGAGAAGGGCGCTCACGGCTCCGTCTCCCGCCCCCGCCTCCCCCGCCCCAGGCTGAGTTCGCGGCCACCGGGGAGCTTTGCATTGTCTGGCCGTCCAGCCTCCTCCCCAGACGCCTCCCGGGCGCGGGAACAGCCCGGGCTGTGCAGAGCTCAGCTGCGTGGTGGCCCCTGTGGTCCCGGGGTCTTCGAGTTAAGGGCTGAGCTGACCCCATCGATGCACATTGACTGGAAGAAGGAGGATTTGGGGAAATGGATACTTTGCTGTCAACTTCTCGTGTCTCCCAGTTTGCTGCCGAGTTGAGTTTGGGTTTCTGAGTGTGTCCCTTGGGTGAGGATGTCTGTCTCTGTGATAATAAAGCACATCCAGGACATTTTGTAATGAATGGAGTCAGAAAAAGTTTTGGAGCGCTGTTGCTTCGTGAGTGTATATGATGCAACGTGTGAATCCAGCCCCTTTCCCTTTTTGAGGAAAGCCTGTTTCTGGAGTGGACAGAAGGGCTATTCTGGGGGCGTTTAGTTTCCTCTGGGGAGCATGGCGAGGCGTGCCACGTGTTCCTTTTATATGTGCAGAATCTTGTTGAGAAGCATGATTTAGATTTACTGGGAGCAAAAGGCTTACACTGTGACCCCAAATGTCTTGAGTAAATCATCCATCCCGAAGCAGTGGGAGGTAGAGATTCGAGATTTAAAGTATGAAATACAGTTGATCCGATGCAGTTTGTAAATTTCATATTGGGAAAACATAGGTTCACTAACCACTCAGAGGCAAGAGTTGGCATTTTTACTGCTTTTTAGGTTATTTTGCCCATTTTGATTGACATGCTTGATATAGTATGAATATGCATGGCCAGTACTTTTTGATTCAAAATACGAGAATCCTTTGTTTTCCTTGGTGGTGGTTTTTGTGATACGTTCGTGGAGAAATAATGTTCAGAAAGGGATTTGCCAAAAAACATTTTCATTGTTACGGCAAGTTTCTGTTGTAGACTAAAGTCTACTTAAAATAATGTCCTTATCCGGCAATACAAATGATTTCTAGCTTTTGAAAACATAGAATTATGGTAAAATGTTACAGGCTTAACAGCCTATTGTTGTGTTTTTTACTGAAGAGGAAATACATTTTTTGGATAGTAAAAATATGGAGCAAACAGATGTTTTGCAAATGCTTAGAGCTTTTTCCGAAAAAGGAGAATATTTGATAGGACATGGGCCATGGCTGGCTCTCTATACCCTGGACAGGCTCTTTGCATGACAAAAAGTATTCTGCGGCCCTAGCCTGGACCTGCTGATTCCTCCATGATGAGAACCTGGATGACACAGGGCAGACTCTCATTTGAAAATACCGTTGAGAGTGCTGGACGTGCCCAAACCCTGGTGCGTTAGCATCTTAAACATTTTATTTTTTGGCCCAGAGTTTTTCTGACTCACATCCTATACTTTATTCTCTAAAACCAGTCCAGTTTTCAAGGAGGTAGTTTCTTTCCTTGGTCGTGAACAAACCACTCAAGATCTTTCTCGGGGATATATACCAGGTAAAAAGACTCCAGCTGTCCTTCTTATGGAACACATACTCTTGGAAATTACAAAAGCTACGTGCTGATTTTAAAAGGAATTATTGCCGGGTGCGGTGGCTCATGCCTGTTATCCCAGCACTTTGGAAGGCTGAGGTGGGCGGATCACCTGAGGTCGGGAGTTCCAGACCAGCCTGACCAACATGGAGAAACCCCGTCTCTACTAAAAATACAAAATTAGCCAGACCTGGTGGCGCATGCCTCTAGTCCCAGCTACTAGGGAGGCTGAGGCAGGAGAATCGCTTGAACCTGGGAGGCGGAGGTTGCGGTGAGCCGAGATCGCACCATTGCACCCCAGTCTGGGCAACAAGAGCGAAACTCTGTCTCAAAAAAAAAAAAAAAGGAATTATTTTCCCCCTTGAAACCAAAGAGATGTGGAACAAATGCCTTTTCTGTAACTGAGTTTTTGTCTCATTTGAAGTTAGGGTGCTTAGAAGCCCGTGAGCTAATGATGCTAATTTCCCCATCAGAACAAGTGAAGAGCCGGAGTTCTCCCAGCTGAGGGCACTGGATGGGTGAACACGTCTTGTGGATGGACTCTATCCGTGTCATTTCGCCAATGATAAAAATAACTCTAGAGAAGGGAATTTTGTTTTACACTGAAGGGAAACCAGAGTTCCAGATTGCTAATTTTTTTTAAATTCTCATTAACATTTGTTCTTTAAGCCCATGCGTATACTTCTTCCCATTGGGATAACAAAGGGTATGGTTCTAATTAGTTATTGGCTGGCATTTCTCTAAAGAAAATTGAAAAATTATGGTGGGGAAAGAAAATGCTGTGTGGTATTTCTTTTTTTCTTTTATTAATTTCTCCTTTATATAGTTAAAAAAAACCTGGGGATGACCGTATATGTTAAGCCTGCATTTTGCCTGGTTCCTCTCACCTTGACAGGAACTGTGAGAAAACACCAAAAAAAAAAAGGACAAAAATGTAAAAAAACATTCTTTATACAAAATTGTCCTGTTTCTGCCTGTTGTCATGGTAGGTACAAAAGTAATTGAAGCTTAATTTTTTTGGCTTCCAAAACACATATTATTTCAGCTTCCAAAACACACATTATTATATAGCTGTGCATAAATTGTAATTAGATGGTAATAGAACTTTGAGAGCATTTATAACAATTTCATCAGCAAATCTATAATCCTGAAGTTAAGGCAGTTAGACTTGTTTTAATAAGTAGGTTGGTAGATGATTTTCACATTTCTAGAGAGAAGGAATGTGATCGATAGTCAGGAGGTGGTGAAATTTGGACTTTGGGGATTTGGTCTTCCCTTTGGATTAGTATGTTACTCACTCGTCAAGACTGGAGAGGTCCGTCTCCGGGATCCACTTCAGCCTCATAGAAGTGAGCACTCTTTTGGTGTTAAAGTCGCAGAGCTCAACTTTGTCTGGGCTGGATGCCTGATCAAAAACATATGGTCAGTGTGGGTGCACTGACATCCAAGGGTGCAGACCACTGGCTTCCTCTGGACAGTTTTGTGAGGCTCTGGTGTGGCCCCAGGACTTCCTGCATGACAAAGGGGAAGAGAAAGTCTGCAGAGTCAGGGGACCCTGGTCCAGTATCCCTGGTCAGCCTGCTCCAGCCAGGGGAAGTGGAGTCTCACTCTGGCTGCTCTGGGTGGTTCTTTCAGTTCAGACTCAATGAGAAGCTTGGCTGAGAATTTACTTGAATCCCTTTGGCCCTATGGGTGGGACAGGATTTGGTAGCAACCTCAACATTCTTACAACTCCAGCTCTGCCACTCTTCCTTGAATCCAAACACTGCAGCCAGGAAGAGAACAGTTGCTGTGACACCACTGTATCTTTTCTTTGCATTCACTTTCAAGGTGGGAAAAGATGGCAAAAAGGTGCAGATTTGAAAATTAGGATTTTCTGCCTTCTTCATAAGAAGCCCGGACCAGCCAGGACAGGCTCCCACTGGTGACTGTGTTTCTAGGACTTGGGCCAGTCTTTTAGTAATAAAGGACAACAGTCCAGTTAGGAGCAGGCCGGGTGTGATGGCTCACACCTGTAATTCAGCACTTTGGGAGGCCAAGGTGGGGGGATCACTTGAGCCTAGGAGTTTGAGACCAGCCTGGGCAACATGGTGAAACATTGTCTTTGCAAAAAATAACAATTAGCTGGTCACAGTGGTGGGTACCTGTGGTCCCAGCTACTCGGGAGGCTGAGGCAGGAGGATTGCTTAAACCCAGGAGGTGGAGGCTGCAGTGAGCCATGTTTGTGTCACTACACTCCAGCCAGGACAACACAGCAAGACCCTGTATTAAATAAATAAATAAATAAATAAATAAATAAAAATAAAGTAATAAGAGCAATGTTCCTTGAGAGGCTTTTTCTTGTTCCATCATTTGTAATATATTTTTTAATCTCTTTGTTTTTTCTCTGCATAATAAGGCAGTCTAATACATGGCTAAAAATATAGAGTCTTTTGTCCTTCTGCTTGAGTTCACGCCCCCGCTCTGCCGTTTATTAGCTGTGTGTCCTTGTGCAAGGCGCTGTACATCTCTGTACCACACGTTCCTTTTCCATTTGTGATAACAGCACCTGCCTTATTGTGTAAAGGCTACGCGAGATAATATACACGTGCCTGGCATGTGGTGAGTGCTCAATAAATGCTATTATTGTGTTTAGATAAATGATCATTAAGTTTAGTCATTCATTTCATAGCTTGAGCCTTGGGAATCTATCACATTACTGAACTGTAAAACGGTTATGAGGTATATCCATATATCTATATATATATATCTATATACTTTTTTGAGATGGAGTCTCGCTCTGTCACCCAGGCTGGAGTGCAGTGGTGCGATCTCGGCTCACTGCAAGCTCCGCCTCCCGGGTTCACGCCATGCTCCTGCCTCAGCCTCCTGAGTAGCTGGGACTACAGGCGCCCACCACCACGCCTGGCTAATTTTTTTTGTATTTTTAGTAGAGACGGGGTTTCACTGTGTTAGCCAGGATGGTCTCGATCTCCCGACCTCGTGATCCGCCCAGCTCAGCCTCCCAAAGTGCTGGGATTACAGGCATGAGCCACCGCGCCCGGCATGAGGTATATTTTTAAACTTTTCAAACCAATGACTTTTACAAGCATACAAGGGGATTTGATGAAGGTGTCAAAAAAATTGCCCTACAATGGCCGGGCACTGTGGCTCACGCCTGTCATCCCAGCACTTTGGGAGGCCGAGGTGGGTGGGTCACTTGAGGTCAGGAGTTCAAGACCAGCCTGGCCAACATGGTGAAACCCCATCTCTACTAAAAATACAAAATTAACCAGGTGTGGTGGTACACACCTGTACTCCCAGCTACTCGGGAGGCTGAGGCAGGAGAATCGCTTGAACCCGAGAGGTGGAGTTGGCAGTGAGCTGAGATCGGGCCACGGCACTCCAGCCTGGGTGACAGAGCAAGACTCCGTCTTGGAAAAAAAAAATTAAATAAAAAAAATTGCCCCATAAGAGATTATAACTGCGAAGAAAGACCTAGAAGAATGAAACAACAAATACAGTGCCTTAAAGTCCCGGGATATTACTGATACTTACTGAGCTCTGTATTTCTATCTGCCAATGACGCTCCAGACTGCTGCTGATCGACGAAGCCTGGGAAAGATTTAAGTTACTATTAAGTTACCCTTTCAGTCACCCTTGTAACTTAAAGATGATCAGGCACTCTTCTTGAGAGAAATTACGCACAAAGCAATCATTTTGTGGTTTCCCAAAGCTATTAGGTGTGTCTTCCGCTGACCCTGTTTGCTTAACTCTGGGCGGTGTAGAGGTTGAAAGACTGCTGTTTCGCGTGGGAAATGGAGGGTGCTCATCTCTGGAGCTGTAGAAACGCCACCTCTAGCGTGGACCTGCCTCCCGTCCCAGCTCTGGAATGCTGCGGGATGGGTTTGCTCAGACATGTAGGCATTGCTGGTTTGGTACTCATCTCCCAGTTAGCAGCTCAGGCCTGCCTCTGAGTAGCCGTCCACAGCTCTTGCTGATCGATTTGTCTTCTGACACGGGTTGGAATGTGAGCTAGAGCACAGAGGCAAGCCCTGGAAGTTAGGGTCACTGATTTGATTCTACCTTTTTTTTTTTTTTTTTGAGACGCAGTCTCGCTCTGTCGCCCAGGCTGGAGTGCAGTGGAGCGATCTGGGCTCACCGCAATCTCCGCCTCCCGGGTTCCTGCCATTCTCCTGCCTCAGCCTCCCGAGTAGCTGGGACTACAGGGGCCCGTCACCACCCCTGGCTAATTTTTTGTATTATTAGTAGAGACGGGGTTTCACCGTGTTAGCCATGATGGTCTCGATCTCCTGACCTCGTGATCCACCCGCGTCAGCCTCCCAAAGTGCTGGGATTACAGGCGTGAGCCACCGCACCCGGCCCTGATTCTACGTTTTAAAATATTCCTACCTTTTGTTGGGAAGGTGTTGTAATGTGCACACACATTTGAGAAAACAGGCTTTGTGCACAGCTGGGGTCGGGGTTGAACAAACCCCTTGGGGATCTTCCTTTTTCCTGACAGTGATCAGGGTTCCAGGGCTCCAGCTCGTCCCGTTGTGAACTAGGTGGGATCCTTCCTGCATGATTTCATTTTGGCCAGGAGAGCACAGGCTTGGCATAGGATGTGTTTTCTTTCCTTTTTTTCTTTTTCTTTTTTTTCAGATGGAGTCTCGCTCTGCCAGGCTGGAGAGCAGTGGCGCGATCTCGGCTCACTGCAACCTCCGCCTCCTGGGTTCAAGCGATTCTCCTGCCTCAGCCTCCCGAGTAGCTGGGATTACAGGCGCCAGCCACCACGCCTGGCTAAGTTTTGTATTTTTTAAATTTTTTTTGAGATGGAGTTTTGTTCTTGTTGCCCAGGCTGGAGTGCAATGACACCATCTCAGCTCACCGTGACCTCTGCCTTCTGGGTTCAAGCAATTCTTCTGCTTCAGCCTCCCGAGTAGCTGGGATTATAGGCGCATGTGCCACCACGCCCGGCTAATTTTGTATTTTTAGTAGAGATGGGGTTTCACCATGTTGGTCTGGCTGGTCTCCAACTCCCAACCTTAGGTGGTCCGCCTGCCTTGGCCTCCCAAAGTGCTGGGCTTACGGGTGTGAGCCACCGTGACTGGCCAATTTTTATATTTTTAATAGAGACAGGGTTTCACCATGTTGGCCAGGCTGGTCTTGAACTCCTGACCTCAGGTGATCCACCCGCCTCGGCTTCCAAAGTGCTGGGATCACAGCGTGAGCTGCGGCGCCCGGCCAGGATGTGTTTTCTTTCTTCATGATCTGAATTCCCAGTGGTGCATGGTGTGAACCACCAAGGTGCTTAGTTTTCTGTGTTGCATTGAATTTACCGTTTATGCGTATTCCAAGACAATCAAGGAAAATCGCTATGAATTTGGAATCTTTGTGAATCCTGACTTTCTTTTTTTTTTTTGAGATGGAGTCTCGCTCTGTCACCCAGGCTGGAGTGCAGTGGCGCGATCTCGGCTGACTGCCAGCTCCGCCTTCCCGGTTCACGCCATTCTCCTGCCGCAGCCTCCCGAGGAGCTGGGACCACAGGTGCCCGCCCTCACGCCCGGCTAATTTTTTGTGTTTTTAGTAGAGACGGGGTTTCACCGTGTTAGCCAGGATGGTCTTGAACTCCTGACCTCATGATCCACCTGCCTCGGCCTCCCAAAGTGCTGGGATGACAGGCGTGAGCCACCGCGCTCGGTCTGTTTTTGTTTCTCAATGAGTGTTTTAAAGAGGACTAAATGAGCAAATGGATGTCACAGCTGGGTGAGTCCCAGCAGCTTCTTGTGCAACTGGATTGCCGTGTGATTCTGTGCTCAAAAATAGGAAAAAGCTTGACTCTCCATTTTTGAAATGTCAAATATCTGAGTCTATTAAAAGAGACTCGGCCACGCGCGGTGGCTCACGCCTGTAATCCCAGCACTGTGGGAAGCCGAGGTGGGCGGATCACCTGAGGTTGGGAGTTCTAGACCAACCTGACCAATGTGGAGAAACCCTGTCTCTACTTAAAATACAAAATTAGCCGGGTGTGGTGGTGCATGCCTGTAATCCGAGCTACTGAGGAGGCTGAGGCAGGAGAATCACTTGAACCCTGGAGGCGGAGGTTGCATTGAGCCGAGATCGCACCACTGTACTCCAGCCTGGGGAATAAGAGTGAAACTCCGTGTCAAAAAAAAAAAAAAAAAAGAGTCTCATATCTGCAGACCTGTCATGCCATGCTTTAATATTTCATTGTTTGCATTTCTCTAGCATCTTTCTTCCAAAGAACTCAAAATGCGTACATATTACGTCTTCCAGCAACTAGTAATCAGTAGATATTCACCGTTTTAACTTTTCCAAGTATGTTAGAGCTGGAGAATTGAAGCAAAGAGCACCGATTATTAGATCAGGGTCACAGTGTTGGATGAAAGAGCTTGGCTGAACTCCCTTAAATTCAACTTGGTCCTTTCTGTTCACGGAATTGTACCTTAAAAAATACTCACATCAAACGTTCCGCATGGAGGAGGAGGAGCAGCAAGCCTCTTCAGGTGGCTTTCTTCCTCTAGGTGTGCAGGGACCGCTCTGAGATAAGACAGAGGTAGTTGAACGGCTTGAAACATTCGCTGGTTGCTTGGAAGGCAGGAGAGCGAGAACCTCTTCTCTCTTGCTGCCTTTTTCCATGGTGGTGTTTTTTTTTCTAAGGGCCTTTTTAATGATTTGGCTTTTTTTTAGTTCCTCCAGTGAAGGGCCCCCCAACTCCCCCTTCATCCTACGGAAAGCCTGCAGGCTGCTGTAGTGCTTTTTGTTCAGAGACAAAATTGAACTTCAGGTGTCCTGCCGAGATCCTAGGACTAAATCAGTCCTCCCTTTTATGAGGTTTGCAGAAACTGCCGTTCCAACTTCCAGTGAAATCTCAAACCTGTGCTTTCTGCACCACGACGAGGCAGAAGCCCAGTGCCGTTACTCGGGAGTGAGACCCGTCATGGAAAGTTTTGTTCTGTGGCCTCCGTGATTAAAAGCAAACGTAAATTTTCTGCGGCTTGCCGGTCATAACTCTTGGACCAGATACACAGTGTATTTTTGTATGAACTACATCAGAAAGTCCTTTTAAAAAAACAACGTAAGCTTCACTTCGTCGCTTCCTTCTGTCCAATCCGTCAGCCTCTCCCCCTGCTCCCCAGGGTGTCTCAGTACAGGCACCAATTACAGGTAAATTCAAGTGCTGTTTCTACAGTGAATGACGGTTTTATCTCATATCGTTGTCGAACAGTCACCAAACAGGGTGTGGTGAGTTCTGCTGTCCTAGGGATAGGGCTTTCTCTTTGTTTTCCTGGGAGAATTTCATCCAGATGCATCAGTTCCACATTTTTTTTTAATTTGTCTTTTTTTGGTCAATATGCCTGGGATAAAAATCTGGATGGATTTAATCTGTTTAAAATCAGAAGGCGCTGCTTTTCCTCCCGTTAAACGTGATCAGGTCAAGACGGTTTTCTTTTGATCGTGGTGGCTCACAGCACAGCTGCCTCATCTGTTACTCATTTTTCAGGTTTTGATGTGAAATCTGAAGATTGGGCGGGACCACGTGCAATAGGGAAAAATCGCAGTGTGACCGCCGGAGCCCCGAATAGGCGTGAATGTAGCTGTGAGTGCAGCGTTTTCCAGCTCTGGGCATGTTCTTGACTGCAATTGTAAAAATTGTTTTTACCCGTGATCTTTCAAAAATACTCCATTATGGTATGTGAATATTTAAAGTGTGTTCCATAGTAGACGAAGAATATAGACTGGAAATCCAGATCCAGGTTTCCCGGGTTGGAAACTTGGCTGTTTCCCGGGGGTGTGACTTTGGGGCCAGTTCTGGAATTTCTGTGTCTCTAGTTTCCTGGTGAGTAAAATGGAGATGATGGTACCAGCCTCTTAGGGTGGTTGTTAAGGATTGAATGACATAATATTTGACAAGTACTTAGGATGGTGCCTGGTGCATAGCACGTGCCGTTTAAATGTTTACCAGGCGCTTCGGTATTCATTCCACATTTTATGGTTATTTGGATTATAAGAGAGAGGAATTCAGCCTTTTTACCTCTTTGTACCCCTCCCCCATTCCAAAGCACCTAGTTATTTATTTGTATCTAGAGACTATCACAGAACCTGGTTTCTCTTCATTTTTTTGCTTCTTTTCTTTCTTTTCTTTTCTTTTTCTTTCTTTCTTTCTTTTTTTTGAGACCGTGTCTCTCTCTGTCTCCCAGGCTGGAGTGCAGTGGTACGATCTCAGCTCACTGTGACCTCTGCCTCTTAGGTTCAAGCGATACTCCTGCCTCAGCCTCCTGAGTAGCTGGGATTACAGGTGCCCGCCACCACGCCTGGCTCATTTTGTCTTTTTAATAAAGACAGGGTTTCACTATCTTGACGAGGCTGGTCTTGAACTCCTGACCTCAAGCGATCCGCCTGCCTCAGCCTCTCAGAGTGCTGGGATTACAGGCGTGAGCCACCATGCCTGGCCTCTCTTCATTTTCCTTCTAGGACAATAATTGTCTGTCAGTTGTTGATTTGATGACATCTGTGTCTTTGATTGTTTGCTTGTTTGTGTGAGAGAGCTCTTGCTGTGTTGCCCAGGCTAGAGTGCAGTGGCACAGTCAGGGCTCACTGCAGCTTTGACCTGGGCCCAGGCAGTCCTCCCACCTCAGCCTCCCGAGTAGCTGGGAATGCAGGTGTGCACCACCACGCCGGGCTGCATCTGTGTATCTTTGCATATGGGTGTAATTCTAGATCATCTCTTTGACTAATCAGGTGCTCGGTTTTACTGAATGGATCCCGCACCCTCTTTTGAGCTGGGAGAGGCCAGGGGGAGATACTGGTCTGTGCATATGTCTCTTAATATTATTTATTTTGGGAAACTTTAAATATCATGCAGGTAGAGAAAGCAGTTCAGTGAATCCCCACATATCCACCCACATTCAACAGTCATCAACTCAAGGACACCTACTGCCCCCACCCCCACCTCCTCAATGATCTTGAAGATAGTCCCAGCCGTCATCTCATTTCCTTCATAAGCATTTCACTAAGTAACCCTTAAAAAACATAACCACAATATCACACCCAAGAAATCCATCAGTTCTTTAGTTTCAGCAAATATCCAGTTAGTATTCACATTTTCCTGATTGTCTCCTAATTTTTTTTTTTTTTTGAGACGGAGTCTCGCTCTGTCGCCTGGGCTAGAGTACAGTGGCGCGATCTCAGCTTGCTGCAAGCTCCGCCTCCTGGGTTCACACCATTCTCCTGCCTCAGCCTCCCAAGTAGCTGGGACTACAGGTGCCCGCCACCATGCCTGGCTAATTTTTTGGTATTTTTAGTAGAGATGGGGTTTCACCATATTAGCCAGGATGGTCTTGATCTCCTGACCTCGTGATCCACCTGCCTCGGCCTCCCAAAGTGCTGGGATGACAGTTGGTTTGTTTGAATCCAAATAAAATTTGCCCATTACATTTGGTAGCTGTATCCCTTAAGCCTCTTTTAACCTATAGTTTCCCTTCCCTGCTTTTCCTTGCAATTTATTTGTTGTTCTTATCCATTTAACTTGGTCCTGTCCCTGGGTCTGCCTCCTTGCCACATTCCTGAACTTTTCTGAGCCCTGTTTTCTGCCTTATCTAGGTGTGTAGAATATCAACTCCTGGGTTCAGAAGGGTCTGAGTTTCCTGTGGGTGAGAGGTCCAGATATAGGTCAGCTTTAGGCCCGGGTGGCACAGATGCCGTCCTGGGGCAGGTCCTTGCCCATCTCCCCGCCCCGCCTGTCTCTGCGCCCTGGCCTCTGGCAGGCTGTTCCTCATCTCCTAGTGGCCTGAGGACCATCGGCAGTTCTGAGCCTGCTTCCTGTCCTCCCAGACTCCCAGCAGCAGGAGTCCGGCATGGTCGCCCTTGATCCCATAACTGGTCACTGTGGCCGGGATGTGTAAATACCAAAGGGCCAAGCCTGAGTTGTGTCCACACCTGTGTAGCTGGAGGCTGGGGTCCCAAGCCAGGTGGACTGAGCCTCAGGCCTGGGGGCTGTGGGGGGGCTTGTCAAGAAAAATCAGGGTGTATTACTGAGGGAGAGTGGCCCCTACGGTCACCGTCTCTGTGTGGGGTGTTTCCAGTGACCCCAACACACCATCTCCTGAGGAAGTCCATTCTGACCTCAGCCGTCCTCTCCCAGGGGACCGCTGGGCCGTGAAGAACTGCAGACAACTCTTCTCTCTCCCCAGGGAGAGTCCCCTGGTCCTTGGAGCATTTCTCCTGTGATGTGGGTTCACCCTTCCCCCCCACCCAGGCCATTCAGATCCAAGCACCCTCCAAGATTGTCTGCCCCACCCCCCCAACAGTCATCCCCCCACCTGAATGCAGACTCCAGTGTGGTCTGTCCAGGCACAGAGGGCAGCTGGCTGCCCTACCTCCTTTGTTGCCCAATTTTTTGGCCTCCCTGGGCCACGTTGGAAGAAGAATTGTCTTGGGCCACACATAAAATATGCGAACACCAGCCGGGCGTGGTGGCTCATGTCTGTATTCCCAGCACTTTGGGAGGCTGAAGTCGACGGATCCCCTGAGGTCAGGAGTTTGAGACCAGCCTGACCAACATGGAGAAACCCCGTCTCTACTAAAAATACAAAATTAGCCGGGCGTGGTGGCGCATGCCTGCAATCCCAACTACTCGGGAGGCTGAGGCAGGAGAATCATTTGAACCCTGGAAGCGGAGGTTGCGGTGAGCCAAATTCGTGCCACTGCGCTCCGGCCTGGGTAACAAGAGCGAAACTCCATCTCAAAAGAAAAAAAAATGCTGACAACACTAGTGATAGCTGATGAGCTAAAAAAAAAGCAAATAGCAAAAAAATCTCATAATGTTTTAAGAAAGTTTACAAATTTGTGTTGGGCCCCATTCAAAGCTGTCCTGGGCCACATGTGTCCGCGTGCTGTGGGTTGGACAAGCTTGTTGTAGATGTTATGTAGACTTCTGTTACCATGTCGCGAGATCTCATTGCATTCACTTTTCTTTTCTTTTTTTTTTTTTTGAGACAGAATTTTGCTCCTGTTGCCCAAGCTGGAGTGCAGTGGTGCCATCTCAGCTCACTGCAACCTCTGCCTCCCAGGTTCAAGTGATTCTCTTGCCTCAGCCTCTCGAGTAGCTGGGACTACAGGTGCCCGCCACCACACCCAGCTAATTGTTTGTATTTTTAGTAGAGACAGGGTTCCACCATGTTGGTCAGGCTGGTCTCGAACTCCTGACTTCATGTTTTCCCCACCTCGGCCTCCCAAAGTGCTGGGATTATAGGTGTGAGTCACTGTGCCCTGTCTGTTGAAGTCACACCATTCTCCTGCCTCGGCCTCCCGAGTAGCTGGGACTACAGGCTGATGTGATCACCTACAGTCATCAAAGCCCCTTCTTAGCTCTGTGTTATGTGGTCCCTGCTAGACTGTTGTTTATACAAGCAGTTGATAAAAATGTTGATTAGCCTGAGTCTGGGGATAGAGTTGGGGGGTTATGCCGCTAGACACCTTCTCCAGGCTAGGAGGAGTCTGTTAGTCAGTTGCTCAGCCGTCTTCAAATCCAGCCGATTCCAAACTTGCCCTGATTGGATTATGATTCAGCCCACACTCCTCGGTGTGATCAGCATGTTTATTGTAGGAGGCCCTCACAGACAGCTTGCTATCACTTAGATAGTTCCTATTGATAGTTTTCAAGGAAAGATAGTCTGAAATGACGTGTGTTTGGTGAATGCATGCTTGCTTCTAACAGATCCCTTCTTTTCCTAAGTGTGTGTGATAACTAAAGTAAGCCGGAAGGTCTGTTGAAGGGTTGATGTCGAGTCCAGCTCTCTGCCATCTGGAGAATCTCCCACTTTTGTCTTTTTGAAAATCGAGACTCCCTCCGTCGGTGGGTTGCTGGTCACGAAATCACGGATGACGGTTAAGTGAGCTTAAGGCCCACGTTCTCCCTCTTGGATGTAATCTGAGAACTGCTTTATCTGCTGGGCATGTGTGGAGTGTGGGTACAATTGTTTCCTGCAGAGGACCCTGTGGAAATAGCTGGCTAGATACGCCCAATAGTCAGTGTGCGGTTGAGAGTCCCCCATTTGTCCAGAAGGCGCAGAGCTTGTACTTCCTGAGGGCCATGTGGTAATCCTGACTGCCCTGCCCTCTACCCAACACCCCTCTCCCCGCCTCCTCTCATTAGGGCATTAATGGAGCCTGAGGGAGTCTTTTTCTTAATACCATTCTCTCCGTCACACACAGGATGCGAAGCCCGCTGGCTAATTAAGTGTGGCATTTTGTTTCAAAATTATCCATAGACAGTCACTAGCTGCAAAGCAGCCCACTGTCCTTGTGCTGATAGATGTTTTTCTTAATATTTTAGGGTGACTCAGTCCATTTATTTCATGAATTTTACCTTACTTTGAAATAGGTTTCTTTTCTTACACAAGTGTCTTTGACCACCTAAAGTTACACACAAATCTGTAATATACATTGCAGTTTGGCACCTAAGGATTCTGACATTTCAGATGTAGGCGTGAGGGTGAATTGGAAGTAAATGCCTTCAGACATTTTCCTGGGGGGAAATCAGTTTCCTAAATTTGCAGAAAGTCCCGGCTTCAACCCTTGGATGCGTTGCTTTAAGCTTTTTACAAATGTTCTTAAGAATAAAATGCTACTTAATACCACGTGAACATATTCTCTTTCATTTGGATTTGCGGAAAGTATTAATTTGCAGAGACTGGGGTGGAACACTCTAGTTCTGAAGCGCTTTTTGAAGCCCTTCTTTCTTGTGAAGAAATTAGTGACATTTTTTCTGAGATCCTCTGGATCTGTTCTGCCCCTGAGCCAACAGTTCAGGCAAATAGAGATCCTTACAACAAAACACGGTGTGTGTTCATGAGGAGACAGGGATTTATCTGTCTCTGTACATGCAGCACAAATTATGGCTTTCCTGCTGACTGTTTACATTAGAAAGCCATTTATATTCCTCTGCTCAGCATGACTTCATACGCCATGTTTCTCTGTGTTCACTGTTTTCCATCTGCAAGAGAGAGCCAGCATTTTTTGTTTTTGTTTTTGAGACGGAGTCTTGCTCTGTCGCCCAGGCTGGAGTGCAGTGGCGCGATCTCGGCTCACTGCAAGCTCCGCCTCCCGGGTTCACGCCATTCTCCTGCCTCAGCCTCCCAAAGTGCTGGGATTACAGGCGCCCGCCACCACGCCCGGCTGATTTTTTGTATTTTTAGTAGAGACGGGGTTTCACCACGTTAGCCACGATGGTCTCGATCTCCTGACCTCGTGATCTGCCCTCCTCGGCCTCCCAAAGTGCTGGGATGACAGGCGTGAGCCACCGCGCCCGGCCCAGCATTTTATTTATTAACTGTAACAATAATCCTCTTTCCAAAGATAACATCACTGTTAGTAGTGTCTGGTATGTTTTTCCAGAAAAAGAATAGGCATATACTGCATATGAAAATACATATGCTTAAATGGTTTTTTGCGCAAATCAATTTAGCATTTTAAAAAAAAAAATTTCCTTTTTGTCCTTTTTTCCCTGAGACAGAGTCTTGTTCTGTCACCCAGGGTGGAGTGCAGTGGTGCGATCTTGGCTCACTGCAACCTCCGCCACCTGGTTTCAAGCGATCCTCCCACCTCAGCCCCCTGAGTAGTGGGAACTGCAGGTGTGTCCCACCACACCGGACTGATGTTTTTATTTTTTGTAGAGGAGGGTTTCACTATTTTGCCCAAGCTGGTCTCGAACTCCTGGCCTCAAGCGATCCACCTGCCTTGGCCTCCCAATGTGCTGGGATTACATACGTGAGCCACTGCGCCTAGCCCGGATATAGCATTTTAAATTAACTGTTATTTTCTGGAAGGGCAGTATGTTAAAAAAAAAATTTCAAATAAAATGAAAGGGGTGTGTGTGTGTGTGTGTGTGTGTGTCCGTCCCAGTACCTATACCTTTTTTTTTTTTTAAATCAAGCCTTTTAAATGGGTCTTGGTTATATCCTCGGCTAACCTGACAGGTGCTGCTTTTTCTGTCTCAGGTGGGTAGAGGCTAAAAGTGTCAGTGTGTGCCTGTCTGATAACCTTGTATGATTTCTGCCTTGATAATGAACCCAACACAGTTAGAGACAAGGAACAGAATCCCTCAAACCACCGCTCTCCTTAGATGGGAAATGTCTCAGGCTGATGTGCTCCCTGTGTACAACAGGCGAAAGGAGGCCTTTGAAAGCCGCTTCCCCGTCCTTAGAGAGGGGCCCCTCTAGGACTGATGGAAAGCAGTGAGAAGATGGTGTCTGTGAAACTCCCGCCGCTGGGCTCTGCCGTTTGGATAAGCTGAGAGGCTCATTCTCTGAGGCCATCAGTCTCCGCTTCCAAGCGCATTCAGATGTATATGGGGACAAAAGCCTTCTCCGTGCCGGGCACTTCTATTATGCTGTGGCTTTTGTGGGGGACTAGTATTAGGCAACTTGTATTTAATATAGATTTTTTTACTTACTGAAGGTTGCTGTATTTTTAAAAACCCACCTCACCTTAAATCCAAAGTTATGAAATAGATAAATTCAGGGACAATTCACATTTTTAAAATCTAATATTTATTTATTTATTTTGAGATGGGGTTATGAGACTGGCTAATTTTTGTATTTTTGGTAGAGACGGGGTTTTACCGTGTTGTCCAGGCTGGTCTCGAACTCCTGGACTCAAGTGATCCACCTGCTTCCACCTCCCAAAGTCTTGGGATTACAGGCGTGAGTCACCGTGCCCGGCTGGGAATCCTCTTTTTATCACAGAAGGACCTTCGTTTTGTTAGGCAATATGCCTAGTTGTTTCAGATTGTGAGCTCCTAAGAGGTGTTCAACCTGTGATTGCCTCTGCTTAGGAAAATTCACCTGCAGTGTCTCAGGAATGTATCTATTGCTTTGAGAAAAGTGTACAAATATGATGTCAAAAGTCTTCTCACCTACTATTACACACAACTCTCCCCCGTTTTCCTGAATGTTCCTTCTTTTCTTCTTTTCTTGAGACAGAATCTCACTTTGTTGCCCAGGCTGGAGTGCAGTGGCGCGATCTCGGCTCACTGCAGCTCCACCTCCCGGGTTCAAGTGATTCTCCTGCCTCAGCCTCCTGAGTAGCTGGGATTACAGGCACGCGCCACCACGCCTGGCTAATTTTTGTGTTCTTGGTAGAAACGAGGTTTCACCATGTTGGTCAGGAAGGTCTTGAACTCCTGACCTCAGGTGATCCACCCGCCTCCACCTGGCAAAGTGTTGGGATTACAGGTGTGAGCCACTGCACCCAGCTAATGTTCCTTATTTTCTTCTTTATGAGGCCACTGAGAAAATTTATAATTCATTTGGTTGCAGGTTCATGTAAGCAAGTTGCTTAAGAAAAGTCAAAGGGTTGCTATGGGAATGTTAATTAAATAAATAGATAGTAGAAATTATGAAAGGCAAACTTTTCAAAGATTCAGTGAGCCCTAAGGGAGGACTTGATTTAAGAAGGGAAGGGGAATTAATGTCAGTTTAGAAGTGAGAATATGATCTGAATTAGTCATAAATGCAGATGAAATGTACATCCTGTAGGTTAGGACAAAACTGTTAAGATGCTTACCTCATTTTACCTTGCCCTCCTGAAGAGATTCCTTACAGCTGTATATCCTAGTGAGACCCTGGAAATCCTCTGAATGTTAACAATCATGGAAGGGTTAAGTAAATTACAATACTTACTGTCTTGTTGAACAGCTATTTCTTTTTCTTTTTTTTTTTTCTTGAGACGGAGTCTCACTCTGTCGCCCAGGCTGGAGTGCAATGGCATGATCTCGGCTCACTGCAACCTCTGCCTCCCGGGTTCAAGCGATTCTCCCGCCTCAGCCTCCCAAGTGGCAGGCACGCGCCACCACACCCGGCTAATTTTTGTATTTTTAGCAGAGAAGGGCTTTTGTCGTGTTGGCCAGGCTGGTCAGGAACTTCTGACCTCAGGTGATCCGCCTGCCTCAGCCTCCCAAAGTGCTGGGATTACAGGCATGAGCCACTGTGCCCAGCCTGAATAGCTATTAAAAATCGAGTTAATTGGCCAGGCACGGTGGCTCACGGCTGTAATCCCAGCACTTTGGGAGGCCGAGGCAGGCAGATCACGAGGTCAGGAGATCGAGACTATCCTGGCGAACACGGTGAAACCCCGTCTCTACTAAAAATAGAAAAAATTAGCCGGGCGTGGTGGCGGGTGCCTGTAGTCCCAGCTACTCAGGAGCTGAGGCAGGAGAATCACTTGAACCTGGGAGGCGGAGCTTGCAGTGAGCCGAGATTGCGCCACTGCACTCCAGCCTGGGTGGCAGAGCGAGACACCATCTCAAAAAAAAAAAAAAATCGAGTTAATTGGCCAGGCGTGGTGGCTCACACCT